>NC_000006.12:44302424-44605454 GCF_000001405.40 Homo sapiens | reverse complement strand
ACTCATGCCCAGGCTCCACCACAGGGATACTGATGCCAACACCCAGGAGGAGCTCACCCACATGAATCCTCTTAAATGCCTCTCCAGCCATGGTTGAGAACCACTGGGTCAGACTGTCTTCATTAAAGGTCTCTGAGGGGCTCACATTAGGAGTTGATCATTAAATGTGTCTTGGTTCAGCCCACATTTATGGAGGACTGCTCCATGGCATAAACCTGTCCCAAGGCACATGAGGGTAAACAAGACATGTCCGTCAACCTCAGCTCCCACCTGCCAGCTCCCACCTGAGAGTGAACAACTAGAATAAGACAATGACATCAGCCCCTTCCAAACTCAAGACCCAGGGTGATGCATTGCACCACTCTGGGAGCATCCTTCCTACCGTAGACCTTAGGGTTGTCTCCAGAGGGTGTCACCAATATACACCAACAGGATGGATGCATGTGATGCCTCATAGCTGTGCCATCTGGATCTACTGCTGAGAGTGCCCACTTCATACTACAGGTACCTAAAGAGCAAAGGAGAATAGAATATTGGTTCACTCTTTGGAAACCCATGGATATCAATATGCCACTCCTCAACAGCAGTCCAGCTTTATCTCACTTCACTTATTCCAAAAACATGAGTTGCTTGTTTTTTCCAACTAGATTGTGAGCTCTCCAATAGTATATATATATTTTTTAATTGAGACGGAGTCTCACTCTGTCACCCAGGCTGGAGTGAGTGCAGTGACGCAATCTCAGCTCGCTACCACCTCTGCTGCCTGGGTTCAAATGATTCTCGTGCCTCAGCCCCCCAAGTAGCTGGGACTACAGGCACGCACCACCATGCCCAGCTAAATTTTTTTGTATTTTTAGTAGAGATGGGGTTTTGCCGTGTTGGCCCAGCTGGTCTTGAACTCCTGACCTCAGGTGATCCACCTGCCTCAGCCTCCCAAAGTGCTGGGATTGCAGGCGTGAGCCACCTCACCCAGGCTTTAATAGCATTTTTATGTTGAGGGTGAACATATCACTTATTGTCTGAGCCAGGGTGCTCCTAAGACTAAAAGGAGGAGCCAGTAAGAATTATACCAGTACAACAGGTGCAAGCCAGGACTGCACCAGACAAGTAGGGCATGTGGTTCCCCAATTTATGTTCCTTCTGTTTCCCCACCATACATAGCACAAAGTTTTGCACACACGAAATATTGAGAACTATAAATATTTTTATTGCTTGATGAATTTACTTTCCTCTTATCAACCAATTCAAGTACAGAAACAACCATTGTTTTGAGAGTATTCTACTTTACAGCACCAGAGAAGGACGTAGCCTCGTTAGGCTCTCTGCATTGAATTAATGTCCCTGGTGAACAGAGCAAAACCATGTTGCTGGGTCCTTCGTCAACTGGAGAGCATGAGAAAATGGCATGCATCAGACTCGCCCCAGCCCCTAATGAATGTTCAAGTGAGCAAAGTGACTTCCTTGCCCTCCAACTTGGAGCATTTCCAGAGGATTATTAGGCCTTGTTCCTGATGCATGGGTTGTGTTAGAGAAGGTGGAAGCATGATTTCCACTTCCCTTGAAGAACATCAAATAATAGGAGAGCACTGGCAGAATGACAAATGAATTATTCGTGCCAGGAAATTTTGGATCAATGTGTACCTACCCTTGAACCCACTCTCAGTTGACCAAGACCATGAACTCAGTGAGATTAAGGTCTTATCACCTCTCTGAATTTCTCACTACAGCTTCCCCAGACTGCTCTTCCCACTAGAAACTTCCTCCCCTGGGCCATCTCTCCCAGGCAGAGCCACAGATCTCTCCTGTACCTACCTCCATATAGAAGGCAGCTGTCCTGGGTTACATGGGTTTTACCATGCCTGCCTTCCCCCTAAGAAAGCCTGCTTGGGTATGGTTGCCTGGTAGTGGGTAGAGTAGGCTGCCCCACCTAGCGAGCTATTGCTTTTTGACAGGAGCCTCTTGAGCCGAAGGCCTATCTCCTACAAGAGAATTTCTATTTTAGGCCAAAGGGTAGTTGGGCCTTTTGGAGCTCTTAAAATTATATCCTACATAAGTGGACACTTCTCTGCTGACCCACAAAAACAGTGAGGATAGAGGCCAAACCCATCAGTAGGTGAAAAGTGGTACTCTGGGGCACTGGGTCGTGTACTTTGGTTTTGTTTGTGACTTGCTCACAGCCCAGTCTCTTGAAAACAGACCCGCTGTCATCCCTGCGGCTGGCGTCTGTGTGATTGGTCCTGCCACAGAGTCAGTCTGAAATGACACACGCCAGCATAGAGCCAGGAAGAGAATGGGCATCAGTCAGGGGTTTGCTCCCGGGGTGAGAGGATTTGAGCACAGGCCTGTGGGCAGGTATCATGTTCCGTGGCAAGTCTAAAAAGGAAGGGAGGAAAGGAAATGCAATGGAAATGGCCAAGCATCTCTGGAAGCTGGAGAGTTGAAAGGCAAGGACAGGGACGCAGCCCTTGTCTTTTCTGTTGGCTCTCTTCACAGCTGTTTTCATTTTGCCAAATGTACTGGAATTAGAATGCTGATTAGAATTAGAATCTCAGTTTGAGCCTTCAAACAGGACTTTCTCTCATTAGGGGACTGCATCTCATCAGCCACTCAACAACCAACACATGGTTACCACTTGCCCGGACAGCAGTACCCCTTGCCCATCGCAAATGCATCCAGAGACTACGTCTTTCTGCCTGAAGTTGATTCTTCTAGAAACCAGGAAAGTATTGGTCCTCTGTACCTCCCCAGAGCCCTAATTCCCTGAACCACCGACGATCACCTGCCACTCCTGGCACAGGACACCCTCAGCCTAACTTTCAGCTGTTCCTCTTTCCTGTTTCAGTGCCTTCCCCAGGTGCCAGACCCTCCTGGACACCACCCTGTCCCTCTGACTTTTTCTGGGGAGAGGTAACATTTGCTGAGCAGCTAGATGCCCCAGATACTCTGCTAAGCACCTCACAGTCACCATCACATTCAATCTCCATGACCCAAATGCAGAGAGAGAGGTAACTTCCTGGTCACCCAGATGGCTCTTGTAAGAATGAAAATTTTAAATAATCTCTGTTAGCACCAAAACCCATGCTCATCTTAAATCCTTTCTTTCCTACTTTCCCCAACTCAGAATGTAACTGTCAACCTTTCTAAACCTTTGAGTCTAGCTCTCTGATAATTAAAAAAGCCAATAACTTAATAAGCACTAAGTTGTTCATAGTTGAGAATGGTTTTAAACAGTGGTATCTGACCTGTGGACTATGGGTCCCTTGTGTCCTTAGAATGGACACAAACTGCAAACACTTTGTGAATCCATAATGCATCAGGTAGTGTCAGTATATTGCATAAATTGATACAAATAGAGAATGTAACATCCTATTTGTCAAATGGATATGGATTAATAAAGTACAGTTCATTTTAAAGAACTGTATTTTCCAAGTACAGCTATTATCACATATGCATCTATGAAATGTTTTGAGCTTAAAGCGGCCTCCCTACTGAAAAAAGGTTAGGAATCATGGATTAAAATATCACACAGCCCCTATCCAAATCTCAGCATCCTCAAGTTATAGACATTCAGCTCACTCAACAGGTGTTTGTTGGGTGCTCACCATATGCTAGACGTGTTCCTAGATACTGGGGTTATATCAGTGAAATATTACGTTGGTGCAAAAGTAATTGCTGTTTTTGCCATTAAAAGTAATGGCCACCCACGTCCTAATGTAGGCCATGCTGCAATTACTTTCGCACCAACGTAATAACAAACAAAAATGCCTGTCCTCCTAGAACGTACAGTCTGGTAGGAGGGGCCAGAAAATAATAAATAGGCAAAGTATATTGTATGTTAGGTGAAAAGTACAATAAAAATAAAATAGGGGCCAGGCACAGTGGCTCACACCTATAATCCCAGTACTTTGGGAAGCTGAGGCAGGAGGATCGCTTGAGACCGGGAGTCCAAGGCTGTAGTGAGCCATGATCACACCACTGCATTCCAGCCTGGTCAACACAGTGAGACCCTGTCTCAAATAAATAAATAAATAGGAAGTTTTGGGTGGCAGGACTGCAGTTTTAAATATGATGGTCAAGGTAGATCTCACTGCAATGTGGTTTGAGCATGGGAACAGTTCATGATGGGCCTTCTAGTAACATTCTCAAGCCAAAGACTTCACTCTGGATAGGCATTTCAGAATTTTAGAAAGATGATGGGGAAGATGGTAGATGATCTACAGAAGCTCTTAGCACCCCACAAAGATTCCTCACAGCCTGCCTGTAAGCACCGTCCATTGTGCCTCGCCTCATGGAAACACAAAGGGACTGCATGACTTTGATCTTTCCGTTTCATAAAGACATACTATAAAGTTCCTTCCTGCATGCCCTCGTGTGGGAGAGCATGGGCCCCAGCCTTGTTCCTTGTGATCTTTTTAGGTCAAGATGCTGGATCCCTCACCGTGGAGCCAGCCACACCCAAGCAGGCCCTCCACCCCAGGAACACTCCCGTTCCTTCACTGCTTGCCCTGAGCCCTTCACACCCAGCACCCTCACTGTTGTCTTGTCTGCTCTGGCCAACCTGGCAGCATTTGCCAGCTTTATACTCCCCTCCACCTGTACCCTAATGTACGCCATGCCCTTTTTCACTCCCGACTGGTCAAGCACAGATGGCCTTGACATTCACATGTATTCAAACTCCAAAAAGCAGGTGTCTTTACAGGCCCCAGTCATTGAGAATCCTGAGTTTTCCAAATCTATCTTTACACCCTAAGCTAACCATCCTTTAGATAATCAGTAACACTTTCTCTTTTGCAGATCTCTTTTTCTCCAGAAACAAAAGGACTGAGATGCACCCACAAGGGATGAACAGGGGATGCTGGCTGCACAGGTGGCTCCTTCCTCCATGCTGCCCGTGGCAGAGGTGATTCAAACCCGATCAGCAGATTCCTACTTAACTCCTGGGGATGACCAAACTTAGGAACTACAGATGTTCTACCTGTGAACACCAAGGACCAACCAAATGGGAGCTGCTTGCCTGTGCCCTTCATGTCTGACAATCTATGAAAGCCCCCTCATGGTCCCTCCCCAGGAATCAGGTGGGCTGTCTGGGCCCATGGGTGTCACTCACAGGCCCAGGGTGGATGCAGTGTAGGAGGAGCTCTCAGATTTCTTCCCTTGGGGAAGGGAACCAAGACATGCAGGACATTAAGGATCAGGAACTGAAAACAAAATGTTTTGGAGTAGAAAGAAGGGTTCTCTTGGGCCTTTGGTAAGAGGAGGATGTCCCTGAGAAAGCAAGAGAGAAATAGACAGAAAAGTGTAGAAGAGGAAGACCAACAACCCAGAAAGAGAGTTCCAGAAACCTAATTGATATTCTTGATTTCACTGCCTGGCCTTGGTGCCTTCTGGCTTGGTCTGCTTTCAGTGGGTTTCTAGTCCTTGAAACCAGGATAATCTGTATGATGGCCCTGCCCGGGCCCCAAAGTCTTGTGCATCAAGCTGCTCCCCACAGCTGTCAGGGCTGGCCTGGGCTGCATGCTCTGAACCAGGCAGCTGGGGGCCCACAGGGATGCCAGGGGTGCAGGGGAGGGCCCATGTTCCCAGGAAAAGTTGCCTGTCTGCAGGTCTGCACTTTGCCTCAGTTTCCTGACTTTCCCTCCAGGTCTCTCATCTGGGCCTGTGTTCTAGCACATTTCAGTCCCGGTTTTACATTCTTCAACGTCTTTTTCTTTATTATAATAGCAATTTTCTTCTGATCAGAACAATGGTTACCTGTGGGAGATACATGAGGGAAGCTTCTGGGGTGCTGGTAAATGTTCCACCTTTCTTTTCTCTCTCTCTCTCTTCCTTTAAGAGACAAGGTCTCACTCTGTTGCCTAGGCTGAAGTGCGGTGGCGCAATTATAGCGCACTGCAGCCTAGAACTCCTGGGCTCAAGAGATCCTCCTGCCTTAGCCTCCCCAGTAGGTGGAAATGCACCACCACACCTAGCTAAACTTTTTTTGTATTTTTTGTAAAGATAGGATCTTGCTATGCTGCCCAGGTTGGTCTTGAACTAGTGGCTTCAAGGAGTCGTCTCATCTTCGACTCCCAAAGTGCTCAGGTTGGTCTTGAACTCCTGGCCTCAAGCGATCCTCCCACCTCAGCCTCCCAAAGTGCTGGAATTACAGGCATGAACCACCATGCCTGGCCAATGTTCCGTTTCTTGGACTTGGTGGTGGTAAAAAGGAGTTGACTTTGTAACCATTCAGTAAGCTGTGCTTATATGCTTATGCATTTCTAGATGTATATTATTTATTACAAAAAAAGAATAAATTTGAAAGTGAAGACATTTCCCCAGCCTTTGAAGAGGTTGCAGTCTCCTTAGGGAGGGGGAGCTGAAGGGAGAGGGAAGAGAAGTGTTGAGAAGCCTGTCCATCCTCCCTTCTCCTCTGTCCCTTCTGCCCACCAGTCTCATCTGTCCCCACTGCACCTGCTTCCTAGGCCTTGCTGGACCACTCTCCTGCCCAGAGGCCTCCTCCTCCCCAGCACCTTGCTCTTGCCCTTCCCTCCTGGTTTCTCTTCCTCCCCTCCTTCCCACAGGCCTCCCTGGTAACCCACAGCCTCCGCGCCTGCCTCTGTCTTTCTATCTTTGTCCCCGATTGCCGACTTTCAGTTCTGGATACACAGATGGTGTTCTCTCCCCACCTCTGAGGTCCCCTCCCTCGTCTCTTTTTCAATGTCTTGGTGACAGACCCTCCCCTCTCCCCACAAACCCCAATCCAAACATCACCTGAGGTCAAAGCAAGTGAGCTTTGGCTCAGAGGGAGATGAGTGGGAACGAAGCAGGGGCCTTAGTTATTGCTGTTAATGTGAACAGCTAAAAATCATGGCAGATCTGGAAATGTTTCCATGTCCTGAGGGCCTTCCACCTGGAACAGGACTAGAACTGATGGAGAGGCAAAAAAGAAGCTTCAAACAAATGGAAAGTCAAGTTATATGGGGTCTTGGATAGGAATACTCAATGTAAAAAAAAAAAAAGATGTCAATCTTTCCTCAATTAATGTTTTAATTTAATGAAATTCCAATAAAATACTAATGTATTTTTTGAACTAGATTATCTGATTCTAAATTTCATATGGAAAATAAGCAAATAAGAATAGCCTAGTCACCTCTGAAAAAGCAGAGAAATGAGGGAGTCCTGCACTACTAGACATTAAAACATATTCAGTGTTCTGAAAGAACTCTGACACTGGCATATATGCAGATTAACAGACGGCACAGAATAGAAATACCAGAAATGCACCCAAATAATACAAGATGGTGTTATGATAAAAGTAGCACTTCAAATCACTGTTAAAAAAAAAAGTCAATTATTCATTATTCAATAGATGATATCAGTATATCTTGGTAGCAAGCTAGATAAAAATAAGCTTAGACTCAATTAGAAACTTTAAAATTAATCAAAGACTTAAACAAAAGATAATAAAACTATAAAAGTACTAGAAGACATGGGAGAATTCTTTTAAAATCTTGGCATAAAGAGGGTCTTTCTAATGACAGCATATCCATATTATAAAAGGAAAGGCTGATTCGACTATATGAAAATCAAAACTTCAATGTGGCAAACAGACAACAAAAAACACCTAAGGAAAAAATTTTTAAAAAAGCAAATAAACATGTCAAAATAGGAAAAAGCATTTGCAACTTATCTCATTGACAACGAGCTGGTCTCTATAATAAATAAAAAGCTCCTAAAAATTAATAGAAAAATGACGAACACCACAGTACAAAAGTGGGCAAAAATAGAAACCGGTAATTTATATGTATATAAAAAGAATAACATAATCTCCTTTAGGCATTTGAAAATATCTCCAACCTAACTCAAGATATTAAAAATGTAAGATAAATCTTTTTCACTTCTCTCCTATCAATGATAAACGTCAGAAAGTTTGAATACCAACACATTCTATTGGTGAAACTGCAGAATACTGCACTCTCTGCCAGGCGCAGTGGCTCATGCCTATAATCCCAGCCCTTTGGGAGGCTGATACAGGAGGGTTGCTTGAGCCCAGAAGCTGGAGACCAGCCTGCACAACGCAGTCTCTACAAAATAAAAATTTTAAACATTAGTCGAGCATGGCAGCACAGTCCTGTAGTCTTAGCTACTAGGGAGGCTGATGTGGGAGGATTGCTTGAGACCAAGAGGTTGAAGCAGCAGTGAGCTATGATCACACCACTACACTCCAGCCTGGGCAACAGGCTGTCTCAAAAAAAAAGAAAAAGAAAAAGAAAATTGTACCCTCATACACTGCTGGTAGGGGGAAAAAATTGCCACAACAAACCCTGATAGAGGGCACTTTTGTATCATCAAAATGTAAAATGCATATACTCTTCGACCTAGCAATTCCACTTTTAGGAATTTATCTTTCAAGTATATTTGAAAATATGCAAAGTGACATATGTAGAGGATGTTCATTGCATTGTTATTTATAATAGCAAAATGTTGGAAACAAGCCAAATGTCTGTCAGTGAAAAACTGGTTAAATAAATTGTGGTACATCCTTACAATGCCATACATCTACTCAAAAGAGAGAGAATGATCTTGATGTTCTTTATCCTTGTATAAAATACTTCCAAGTTGTATTAAGGGGAAAAAGCAAGATGCAGTATAGAGTGTCAGTATTCATGAGAAAAACAAGGATAAAAATAATGTACATCTCAATTATCTTACAAATGTACAAAATAAAATCTGAATGGAAATAATGAACTAGACACAGTGGGTGCCTATGAGGTGAAATGGGAAGTGGACAGACAGAGGGCATGGGTGGGAGAGCATCTTCTTACTGTATATACCTTTAGATATTTTTTAATGTTTTAACTATATATATCTATATATATATATATATATATAATCTATTCAAAAATAAATAAAAAACAATACAGAAAGAGAAAAACAGAACCAGCATTTAAGTGGCTTAACCATAAAGGATGTGGCTGGTAAATGTTCACATTTCAAAGAGGAGCTCAAAACCAGGTTGAGCAATGCCAGCCTGGTTGAATGAGGGCAGCTTTGGGGCACAGCATTTCTTTGGCCATTTCCCTTCAACCATGTTTTATGCAATCTCAGTGGTTTTATTACCACTTGCCTGCCTATCCAGAGCACACCTAGAACCAGGTACATGAATCCCCAAAGACATTTGCGTGGTTCTACCTTCCTGGTGTTGTGTGCCTCACACAAGGGCACCCCCTCAACTCCAAAGGGTCCCAAGTCTGCTTTGAGGCTAAGGATATGGAGGGAGGAAGGAGTCAAGATTCTCCTTAAAGCACTCCCTTCTTTCTTTCCTTCTCTCCCCACCTCGATCTGACCTTCTGCCTGGCTCTCTACACCAAGTGGGGGGCCCTCTTCATTTCACCCTATTGCCACCTCTCTACTTGCACTTAACCTCCCACCGTCCCATCTGCTTATTCTCTATCCAGTTACGTGACCTGGGGTAAGTCACTGTTGCAATTTGCTCACCTGTAA
Organism: Homo sapiens; assembly: GCF_000001405.40. NCBI lineage: Eukaryota > Metazoa > Chordata > Mammalia > Primates > Hominidae > Homo > Homo sapiens. Next base: position 44,595,971 of record NC_000006.12, on the reverse strand, counting down.
AATGGGAAAAATGAAAATGATCTCCCAGGGTTGTTAGGAAAAGCAAGTGATATTGGATAACTCCAGGAGCTGCATTGACATAAGCGGTTGCATTAATCTAAGTAATTAGTCCTAGCAGCCACAAACATCAAAATCTTAGTGGCTTGGCACAATAAAGGTGGATTCCTCCCTCAGGAAAATTCCAGTGCAGGTTGGGCAGCCTTTCTCCATCTTGCAGTCCAGCTGTCTGGACCACATGGTCTCCAGGGTTCCTGCAGCAGGGGAAGAGGGGAATGGAAAAGGCACACTGGCTTTTACCTGCCTCAACCCAGAAGAAACACACATCATTCTGCTCGTGGTCCCTTGGCCAGAACTAACCCCATGACTGACCTTAACTCCACAGGAGGCTGGGGAGTCCAATGGCACCTGGAATATTTGGAGAGCTCTATCTCTGCCCCAAGTTTCTGCCACCACCCTCATCGTATCACCCCCATCAGGCTGCATACTTTGCCACCCATAAAAATGTCTAATTTTTCTCTCCTGAGGCCTGGGCAGCAGACATGAAAAATGAAATGAAGTCCAAAGAGATCTCCTCACCCCACCTGCCCCATTTGCTAGCCTTCAGGATGTCAGCTTGTCACCTGCTGTCCCCTCCTCTCCAGCCCTTGATTTGTTTTAACTGGGGTAAGGCACAGCCGGGAGTAGACTTGAGTGACCAGGTTTCACCAAGAACCAGGTCAGCAGGACAATGGTGTAGGGACCAGAGTCAGAGAGATTGGCTGGGTCTCTTTGACCTTCAACTCCCTTGACGCAGTGGCCATAGTCGCTTGGCATTTGTGTAGGACTGTGAGGTCCTGCGGGGCTGTAAGACACCTTGTTTCATTATCCCTTCCCCACAAAACTCCAAGTGACTCCCATTAGGTGCAGGCTTTAGTCAGAACCCAGCCAGGGGAGCCAGGACAAATTGGGGACAGGGCAGGTCCTTCCTTAGGCTGTCCCTCTGTCTGCCAAGGGCACTTTCCCATTTGGAGGCCAAGAGTGTAGGTGAGAAACAAGAAACCAACATGTCAAACAGATACAGCAGAGAAAGTCCAGGCAAATTCTGTCCCCCACCCCCTCCCAGCTTCAGTCCTCACAGCCCCTCCTTCCCAGAATAGCCTTGGAGGAAAGAGATGGGTGGGGAAGGCAGCTTTCCCTCCTCCTAGGGCTGCAGCTGCTGGCTGGCCCCAGGACGGCAGCTGCTAGGGGCTGCTTCCTCTCCTGTGGACGGGGTGGTTTCTGTCAGTGAGTGTGGGAGGACTGCCCTCCCTCCACATCTCAGGTGACCTCTCTGACCTCCTGTGGCCCAGACCACCTGAGCCCTGCGGCCCTCTGCAGACCCTTTTCCTCTAACAGCCGAATGAATGAAATGGCTCCAGGCTCATCCTAGAGGAATGTGGAAAATGTTGCTTTGTTCCTAAGTTCCAGAGACTCCTGGGAGGTGTCCATCCTCAGGGCTTCCCTCCCAGGGCTACCCTCCCGGGGCTGTGGTCTTCTTTTGGGACCCCTCATGTGACTCCCCCAGCTCCTCCTCCCTTCCTCAGCCTACCTCGAATCCCTGCCTGCCATGGGTGGCAGATGAACGTGAAAAGATACCAGCCCAGGATGCAACAGGAACCAACACCACATCCAGTATGAGCCCTCGCTGCTCCAGAGGGGCTGAATGCCAATACACACACACACTCACACTCACACTCGGTCACACAACACTCAAAGGAGTCTTTATTTATTTATTTATTTAATTTATTTATTTAAAGATGGGGTCTTGCTCTATCACCCAGGCTGCAGTGCAGTGGCATGATCATAGCCCTTTGCAGTCTTGAACTCCCAGTCTCAAGCGATCTTCCTGCCTCAGCCTCTTGAGTCGCTGGGACTACAGGCGCGCACCACCACACCTGGCTGATTTTTTATTTTTTGTAGAGACAGGGTTTCGATATGTTGCCCAGGCTAGTCTTGAACTCTTGGCCTCAAGCAATCCTTCCAGCTTGGTCTCCCGAGTAGCTGGGATGCAGAGGAGTTTCCTGTGGGCTGTCCTTCCCCTTAGGCCTGGCTGCATCTGTTCTTCCTGTCAGAGCTACATCTCCACGACCACATCTTCTGTCCTTTCTAAGATTTCTTACCCCCTATCCTCTTACATGCCAAGGGAAGATTCCAAATTCCTGGGTTTGGGGGAGGGTTTTGTTTGTTTTTTAATTACCTAGAATGATAGCTCTCTCACACATCACAAAGAGGCAGACTAGCATGACGGTTACCAGTACACAGACCCCTGAGCCAGACTGGAGGGCTTTATATCTCAACTCTGCCACCTGCTGGCCATATGACTTTGAACAGGTTACTTAACCTCTTTTGAGTCTCAGTTTCCTTATCTATAAAATCAAGGTAATGATATTACCTACCCCACAGGGCAACCACCCTTTGAGGATTAAATGATATAATGCACGTAAGCCACCATAATAGGCTGGACAGTGGTCCCCCCCAAAAGATATGCCCACATACTAATCTCTAGGACCTGTGAACATGAACTTATTTGGAAAATGGGTCTTTGCAGATGAAGTTAAGGATATTGAAATGAGATCATCTTGGACTGTCTGAGTGGTCCCTAAATCCAGTGACAAGTGTCTTTATGAGAGACATACAGAGAAAGCCATGTGAAGACAGAGGCAGAAGGCTGGGCACAGTGGCTCACGCCTGTATCCCAGCACTTTGGGAGGCTGAGGCAGGAGGGTCACTTGAGGCCAGGAGTTTGAGACCAGCTTGGCTAACGTGCCAAAACCCCATCTCTACTAAAAATACAAAAATTAGCCAGGCATGGTGATGTGCACCTGTTGTACTGTTACTTGGGAGGCTGAGGCAGGAGAATCACTTGAACTCGGGAGGTGAAGGTTGCAGCGAGCTGGGATCGAGACACTGCACTCCAGCCTGGGTGACGGAGTGAGTCTTTGTCTCAAAAAAAAAAAAGAGAGAGAGAGAGAGAGAGATAGAGATTGGAGTGATGCAGCCATGAGATAAGGAACACCTGGAGCCAAGCTGAGAAAAACCTTCCACTTTTCCCTTAGAGCTCCGGTGGAAGAATGGCCTTCGGGTCGGACAATGGCCTGCCCACACTTGAGTTGGGCTCCCACCCTCCAGAAATGTGAAGAATAAATGTTTTAAGCCACCCAGTGTGTGGTAATTTGCTGTGGTAGCCCCAGGAAACTAACACAATTACTCCAACAGTGCTTGGCACATAGTAAATGTTCAATAAATGTTAGTAACCTTTATTATTGGCCCTAACTGTTATTGGACCTAATTGTTATCTGAACCTAACTTTTCATTAAAAGTAATAATGACGGGGAAAAGAAAAACCCATCAACTGTTTTGCTAAACTGAAGGGACATCTTCCCAGGTCTCACCCTTAGCAATATAAAGACACCTCCTAAAGCTTTGAAATTACATTGTTTTCAGAGCAAATCCTTAGATTGGGCTCCCTCCCTCACTCCCCAGGGGTTGGGCAGGATCTTCCTTCCTGTCACATGTCCAGAACCCTCCAGTCCATTTTTTGGTCTAGAGGCTGGACTGTTGGTCTGGGTGGGGTCTGATGAATTTTATTTTCCCCATCCCTTTATTTTCCCCATGCTCCAGCTGAATGAGGGGACTTGCTATCTCCTCTGCATCCTCTAATGCCTTCCTGTCTCCCTGCTGCATCCACAGGGTTTCTGGAGCCTGATATTGCCCCTAATATTTCCATGTGCTCCAATGTTACCCACGTTTTAAGGCCCAGCACAGATTCTGTCCCTCTATGAACCCTACAGAAGAGAGAATACAAACTCTCCTGCCTTCTCCTGCCTCTCTTTGGGCACTTACATCTTTCTAGTACAAGGTCAGTCTTCTATTCTATGTTGATACCAGCAAATCACTCCTCAATAGCTCTGTCTCCAAAATAAGGCTAATCATTTCTTCTGCTGTGAAAGGGGTGTGAGAAAAGCTGATATGTGCCTAGAATCCCACTTATAGAGGAATGCCTGCAACTTCCACACAGTTTTAACTGAGAAAGTTCACATAACTGCAAAGCATCTTAACATTATTTCTCAAAGTTATCTTATATGCACAATCTCATCTGAAGCATTTAACAACATTATGGAGAAGGCAGGCAGGGATTATTGACCGTCTTTAACAGACTAGAAAACTAAGTCCTAGAAAGATAAATATTCAACTAATATTTACTGAGCACGTTCTATGTGACGGGTATCGAACCCAGCACAATCACATTATGTTTTCTCAGGAGCTCTTTGAGTTAGGTAGTTAAAAGTATCAGAATCTAGAACACTAAATCCACTGTGAGTGTAGAACAAAAGTCACAAAACCCAGGTTTGGAGATGATCCCCTGTGGGTATTTTCATGAGTAAGTGCTTGGGCCTCAGTTTTCTTACTAATGAAATTGGATTTATAGTTGTAGCTGGTTTCTCTTGCAGGTTTTGTTTTGTTTTGTTTTCCTGCTAGGAGGCCCATGATCTTGGGATTGTTTTTCATGGGTGATGATATCATAACTGCCCCTGCCCCTTGCCCATGCAGGCCTGGGAGAAGAGTAGAGATGGAAACCTGAACTGTCATTCCATCTCAGTCACCTATGAGCTATGTGACTTTGAGCAACTCTCAGTTTTCTCACCTATGAAATGGGAATTCAGTCTCTCCTATTCAGCACACAGGTCATTGGTGGTTGAGAATAAGAAATGATCTCATGTCTGTAACAATGCCTTATTTTAAAAAGACAAAAAAGGCCAGACAAGGTGGCTCACACCTGTAATCCCAGCACTTTGGGAGGCAGAGGCAGGCGGATCACTTGAGGTTGGGAGTTTGAGACCAGCCTAGCCAACACGGTGAAACCCTATCTCTACTAAAAATATAAAAATTAGCCGGGCATGGTGGTGCACACCTGTAATACCAGCTGCTCAGGAGGCTGAGGCATGAGAATCACATGAACTCAGAAGGCAGAGGTTGCAGTGAACTGAGATTGCACCACTGCACTCCAGCCTGGGCAACAGAACAAGATTCCATCTCAAAAATAAATAATAAATAAAATAATAAAATAAAATAATAAAAAAAGACAAGAGACACCCATTGCATCCATTTTAATGATATCACTTGCTCTGTCTTTGCTGCCGTAAGAGTGTCCAAGGATGAAATTGCTACTTGGAAAGGCTTAGAGATTCCAGGGTCCTCAGACCCCACAAGGAGCAGGAAATGGCACACACAGCTGAAGGCAGGTCATGGGGTAGAGCAATGAGCCTTGCACATGGCTTTGATTTCCAACAGTTTGCAACAGAGATGATCCTTGTGAATGCAGTGGCCTCACCAAAGGCTTAAGGGGCAGGATGCTGGGACTTGACATGGAATTCAGCATTCTTGAAGTTCTGAAACTGACACTTCTTATGTTTCAAATCCTCTCCCTTATTTCCTATTACCCTATTCTTCCTTGCTATAATCTTACCTATTAACTCAGAAGCAACAAAATTTAAAAGGGACACAGAGTTTCAAATAGTTCCAAGGTGGTCAGAGTTTTAAATAAACCACTCAATTTCCCCTTTAAAAAATTTTGTTTTACATCCCAGAAAAATTGTATTTTTTTTCTTTCAGCACTTTTTGATTAAAGTCAGATTGACTGGGTGGTTCCAAGATGGCCAAATAGGAACAGCTCCAGTCTATAGCCCCCAGCGTGAACGACGCAGAAGACAGGTGATTTCTGCATTTCCACCTGAGGTACTCGGTTCATCTCACTGGGGCTTGTGGGACAGTGGGTGCAGGACAGTGGGTGCAGCCCACTGAGCGTGAGCCAAAGCAGGGCGAGGCATCGCCTCACCTGGGAAGTGCAAGTGGTCAGGGAATTCCCTTTCCTAGCCAAGGGAAGCTGTGACAGATGGCACCTGGAAAATCGGGTCACTCCCACCCTAATACTGTGCTTTTCCAGCAGTCTTAGCAAACAGCACACCAGAAGATTATATCCCATGACTGGCTTGGAGGGTCCCATGCCTACGGAGCCTCGCTCATTGCTAGCACAACAGTCTGAGATCGAACTGCAAGGGGGCAGCGAGGCTGGGGGTGGGGCGCCCACCATTGCTGAGACTTGAGTAGGTAAAACAAAGCTGCCAGGAAGCTCAAACTGGGTGGAGCCCACCACAGCTCAAGAAGGCCTGCCTGCCTTTGTAGACTCCACCTCTGGGGGCAGGGCATAGCTGAATAAAAGGCAGCAGAAACCTCTGCAGACTTAAATGTCCCTGTCTGACAGCTATGAAGAGAGTAGTGGTTCTCCCAGCATGGAGTTTGAGAACTGAGAACGGTCAGAATGCCTCCTCAAGTGGGTCCCTGATCCCTGAGTAGCCTAACTGGGAGGCATCCCCCAGTAGGCACAGACTGACACCTCACTCAGCCAGGAACCCCTCTGAGACGAAACCTCCAGAGGAACGATCAGGCAACAACATTTGCTGTTCAGCAATATTTGCTGTTCTGCAGCCTCCACTGCTGATACCCAGGCAAACAGGGTCTGGAGTGGACCTCCAGCAAACTCTAATAGACCTGCAGCTGAGGGTCCTGACTGTTAGAAGGAAAACTAACAAACAGAAAGGACATCCACACCAAAACCCCATCTGTACGTCACCATCATCAAAGACCAAAAGTAGATAAAACCACAAAGATGGGGAAAAAACAGAGCAGAAAAGCTGAAAATTCTAAAAATCAGAGCGCCTCTCCGCCTCCAAAGGAACGCAGCTCCTCACCAGCAACGGAACAAAGCTGGACGGAGAATGACTTTGACAAGTTGAGAGAAGAAAGCTTCAGATGATCAAACTTCTCCGAGCTAAAGGAGGAAGTTCGAACACATCGCAAAGAAGCTAAAAACCTTGAAAAAAGATTAGACAAATGGCTAACTAGAATAACCAGTGTAGAGAAGTCCTTAAATGACCTGATGGAGCTGAAAACCATGGCACGAGAACTACGTGATGAATGCACAAGCCTCAGTAGCCAATTCAGTCATCTGGAAGAAAGGGTACCAGTGATTGAAGAGCAAATGAATGAAATGAAGCGAGAAGAGAAGTTTAGAGAAAAAAGAGTAAAAAAAAATAAACAAAGCCTCCAAGAAATATAGGACTATGTGAAAAGACCAAATCTACATCTGATTTGTGTACCTGAAAGTGATGGGGAGAATGGAACCAAGTTGAAAAACACTCTGCAGGACATTATCCAGGAGAACTTCCCCAATCTAGCAAGGCAGGCCAACATTCAAATTCAGGAAATACAGAGAACCCCACAAAGATACTCCTCAAGAAGAGCAACTCCAAGACATGTAATTGTCAGATTCACCAAAGTTGAAATGAAGGAAAAAATGTTAAGGGCAGCCAGAAAGAAAGGTTGGGTTACCCAAAAACGGAAGCCCATCAGACTAACAGCTGATCTCTTGGCAGAAACTCTACAAGCCAGAAGAGACTGGGGGCCAATATTCAACATTCTTAAAGAAAAGAATTTTCAACCCAGAATTTCATATCCAGCCAAACTAAGCTTCATAAGTGAAGGAGAAATAAAATCCTTTACAGACAAGCAAATGCTGAGAGATTTTGTCACCACCAGGCCTGCCCTACAAGAGCTCCTGAAGGAAGCAATAAACATGGAAAGGAACAACCGCTACCAGCCACTGCAAAAACATGCCAAATTGTAAAGACCATCGAGGCTAGGAAGAAATTGCATCAACTAACAAGCAAAATAACCAGCTAACATCATAATGACAAGATCAAATTCACACATAACAATATTAACCTTAAATATAAATGGGCTAAATGCTCCAATTAAAAGACACAGACTGGCAAATTGGATAAAGAGTCAAGACCCATCAGTGTGCTGTATTCAGGAGACAAATCTCACGTGCAGAGACACACATGGGCTCAAAATAAAGGGATGGAGGAAGATCTACCAAGCAAATGGGAAACAAAAAAAGGCAGGGGTTGCAATCCTAGTCTCTGATAAAACACACGTTAAACCAACAAAGATCAAAAGAGACAAAGAACGCCATTACATAATGGTAAAGGGATCATTTCAACAAGAAGAGCTAACTATCCTAAATATATATGCACCCAATACAGGAGCACCCAGATTCATAAAGCAAGTCCTTAGAGACTTACAAAGAGACTTAGACTCCCACACAATAATAAGGGGAGAATTTAACACCCCACTGTCACCATTAGACGATCAATGAGACAGAAAGTTAACAAGGATATCCAGGAATTGAATTCAGCTCTGCACCAAGCAGACCTAATAGACATCTACAGAACTCTCCACCCCAAATCAACAGAATATACATTCTTCTCAGCACCACATGGCACTTATTCCAAAACTGACCACATAGTTGGAAGTAAAGCACTTCTCAGCAATGTAAAAGAACAGAAATTGTAACAAACTGTCTCTCAGACCACAGTGCAATCAAACTAGAACTCAGGATTAAGAAACTCACTCAAAACAGCTCAACTACATGGAAACTGAACAACCTGCTCCTGAATGACTACTGGGTACATAACGAAATGAAGGCAGAAATAAAGATGTTCTTTGAAACCAATGAGAACAAAGACACAACATACCAGAATCTCTGGGACACATTTAAAGCAGTGTGTAGAGGGAAATTTATAGCACTAAATGCCCACAAGAGAAAGCAGGAAAGATATAAAATTGACACCTTAACATCACAATTAAAAGAACTAGAGAAGCAAGACCAAACACATTCAAAAGCTAGCAGAAGGCAAGAAATAAATAAGATCAGAGCAGAACTGAAGGAGATAGAGACACAAAAACCCTTCCAAAAATCAATGAATCCAGGAGCTGTTTTTTTGAAAAGATCAACAAAATTGATAGACTGCTAGCAAGACTAATAAAGAAGAAAAGAGAGAAGAATCAAATAGATGCAATAAAAAATGATAAAGGGGATATCACCGCCAATCCCACAGAAATACAAACTACCATCAGAGAATACTATAAACACCTCTACGCAAATAAATTAGAAAATATAGAAGAAATGGATAAATTCCTGGACACATACACCCTCCCAAGACTAAACCAGGAAGAAGTTGAATCCCTGAATAGACCAATAACAGGCTCTGAAATGGAGGCAATAATTAATAGCCTACCAACCAAAAGAAGTCCAGGACCAGATGGATTCACAGCCAAATTCTACCAGAGGTACAAAGAGGAGCTAGTACCATTCCTTCTGAAACTATTCCAATCAATAGAAAAAGAGGGAATCCTCTCTAACTCATTTTATGAGGCCGGCATCAGCCTGATACCAAAGCGTGGCAGAGACACAACAAACAAAAAAGAGAATTTTAAACCAATATCCCTGATGAACATCGATGCAAAAATCCTCAATAAAATACTGGCAAAGTGAATCCAGCAGCACATCAAAAAGCTTATCCACCATGATCAAGTGGGCTTCATCCCTGGGATGCAAGGCTGGTTCAACATACGCAAATCAATAAATGTAATCCAGCATATAAACAGAACCAAAGACAAAAACCACATGATTATCTCAATAGAGGCAGAAAAGGCCTTTGACAAAATTCAACAGCCCTTCATGCTAAAAACTCTCAATAAATTAGGTATTGATGGGACAAATCTCAAAATAATAAGAGCTATTTATGACAAACCCACAGCCAATATCATACTGAATGGGCAAAAACTGGAAGCATTCCCTTTGAAAACTGGCACAAGACAGGGATGCCCTCTCTCACCACTCCTATTCAACATAGTGTTGGAAGTTCTGGCCAGGGAAATCAGGCAGGAGAAAGAAATAAAGGGTATTCAATTAGGAAAAGAGGAAGTCAAATTGTCCCTGTTTGCAGATGACATGATTATATATCTAGAAAACCCCATCGTCTCAGCCCAAAATCTCCTTAAGCTGATAAGCAACTTCAGCAAAGTCTCAGGATACAAAATCAATGTGCAAAAATCACAAGTATTCTTATACACCAATAACAGACAAACAGAGAACCAAATCACGAGTGAACTCTCATTCACAATTGCTTCAAAGAGAATAAAATACCTAGGAATCCAACTTACAAGGGATGTGAAGGACCTCTTCAAGGAGAACTACAAACCACTGCTCAATGAAATAAAAGAGGACACAAACAAATGGAAGAACATTCCATGCTCATGGATAGGAAGAATCAATATCATGAAAATGACCATACTGACCAAGGTAATTTATAGATTCAGCACCATCCCCATCAAGCTGCCAATGACTTTCTTCACAGAATTGGAAAAAAACTACTTTAAAGTTCATATGGAATCAAAAAAGAGCCTGCATTGCCAAGACGATCCTAAGCCAAAAGAACAAAGCTGGAGGCATCACACTACCTGATTTCAAACTATACTATAAGACTACAGTAACCAAAACAGCATGGTACTGGCACCAAAACAGATATATAGACCAATGGAACAGAACAGAGCCCTCAGAAATAATACCACACATCTACAACCATCTGATCTTTGACAAACATGACAAAAACAAGAAATGGGGAAAGGATTCCCTATTTCATAAATGGTGCTGGGAAAACCAGCTAGCCATATGTAGAAAGCTAAAACTGGATCCCTTCCTTACACCTTATACAAAAATTAATTCAGGATGGATTAAAGACTTACATGTTAGACCTAAAACCGTAAAAACCCTAGAAGAAAACCTAGGCAACACCATTTAGGACATAGGCATGCGCAGGACTTCTTGTGTAAAACACCAAAAGCAATGGCAACAAAAGCCAAAATTGACAAATGGCATCCAATTAAACCAAAGAGCTTCTGAACAGCAAAAGAAACTACCATCAGAGTGAACAGACAACCTACAGAATGGGAGAAAATTTTTGCAATCTACTCATCTGACAAAGGGCTAATATCCAGAATCTACAAAGAACTCAAACAAATTTACAAGAAAAAAAAAACCCCCATCAAAAAGTGGGCGAAGGATATGAACAGACACTTCTCAAAAGAAGACATTTATGCAGCCAAGAAACACATGAAAAAATGCTCATCATCACTGGCCATCAGAGACATGCAAATCAAAACCACAATGAGATACTATCTCACACCAGTTAGAATGGTGATCATTAAAAAGTCAGGAAACAACAGGTGCTGGAGAGGATGTGGAGAAATAGGAACACTTTTACACTGTTGGTGGGACTGTAAACTAGTTCAACCATTGTGGAAGACAATGTGGCAATTCCTCAAGGATCTAGAACTAGAAATACCATTTGACCCAGCCATCCCATTACTGGCTATATACCCAGAGGATTATAAATCATGCTGCCATAAAGACACATGCACACATATGTTCATTGTGGCATTATTCACAATAGCAAAGACTTGGAACCAACCCAAATGTCCATCAATGATAGACTGGATTAAGAAAATGTGGCACATACACACCACGGAATACTATGCAGCCATAAAAAAGGATGAGTTCATGTCCTTTGTAGGGACATGGATGAAGTTGGAAACCATCATTCTCAGCAAACTATTGCAAGGATAAAAAACCAAACACCACATGTTCTCACTCATAGGTGGGGATTGAACAATGAGAACAGTTGGACACAGGAAGGGGAACATCACACACCAGGGCCTGTTGTGGGGTGGGGGGACGAGGGAGGGATAGCATTAGGAGATATACCTAATGTAAATGACAAGTTGATGGGTGCAGCACACCAACATGGCACATGTATACATATGTAACAAACCTGCACATTGTGCACATGTACCCTAGAACTTAAAGTATAATAATAATTTTTAAAAAGTCAGATTGACAGAAGTTTAAAAAAAAACCATTAAAAGATAAGCAGAATAATATAGTTTTGACCTTACTTTTCCAAAGATGAATGTATCTACTATTTTCTGTTTCCTGTGTCTATAGCCATCATTTAATGTTTTTGCAAATAACCACCATACCTCACATTTGTTAAGCACTTTAATGTTCATTATCTCTATTATTTTTCACAACTCTATCATTTCTATTTTACAGATACAGAAACTAAGACTCAGAACCCAGGCCCATAGGACCATCAGAGGCAGAGCTCAAACTCTAAATTGCTGTTCAGAGGCAGCACTCATTCCCACGTAGTTCCAAGGCTGGCCTTTGGAATTATATTTCTGGGCTGGAGGTGGCAGCCAAACAGGGCTGACTTGAAAAGTCCAGATAGAAAAGACAATGGGTGAGTTTCAATAATGCAGGCAAGCCTTCTGTGCTGAAAGGATCATGAGGGTAAAAGGTACAATCCAAGGAAGTCAGCTGAGGCACGTTGCACAAAGCACTATAAGCTCTCAGGGCTTATAGAGAGACAACGGGCATGTCCTGGCCCAAAGCACACATCTGGCTCCCAAGAGATCATGTGTGTAAGTCTCAAGCTAGGGGACAATTTGGGAACATGAAATAATAGGCCTCTATCAATAAGGTGTTCACTGACTACTCATCATATCAGGAATTGAGCCAAGTGCCATGAGAATACAAATGGTACATAAGACAGGGGTGCTATACTCAAGGGGCTTCGAGTTTAGTTAGGGAGACCAGATTGAACATGAAATAACAGAAGAAATCGTGTCTATATTCAACTTTAGTGGTATAAACTAGAAATTGTATGAGTCTGGAGCAGAGGAAGACCCATGGGGACCAGAGGCAGTTATGAGACATGGGAGAGAGAACAGGGAGGCTTGACAATTCTAAAAAGAATTCCAGAAGGAAGAAAAGATAAGATGGAGAAGAGGCAATTGTCAAGGAGACAATGGCCTCACATTCTTTAGAACTGATGAAAGATCTGAATCCACAGATACAAGAAGCACAAGCTATATTAAGTAGGATTATACACATACACACGCACACAATCTGAACATATGATAATGAACTGTAGAACACCAACAATAAAGAGAAGATATTAAAGCAACCAGAGAGAGAAGACAGATAATCCAAAAAAAGGCATAGCAACCAGAGAGCAAAATTCTCAGCAGCAAATATGAAAACAATCTTCAAAATGCTTGGAGAAAATTATTGTCTACCTATATTTGTATGTCTGGAAAAATTATCTTTTAGAACTATGGTGAAATCAAGACATTTCCTGATATGCAAAAGTTAAGAGTAAACCCAATAAGCAATTAGTAGGAAAAAAAAAACCCTTCTAAATAATATACTTTAGGAAGAAGTAAAATGATCCCAGAAAGGAGCTCTAAGATGCAAGAGGATTGGTAAACAAAGAGATGAATAAACCTGTATACGAATCCAAACAAACAATTTCTATATAAAATTTATAACAATATCTAATTTGTAGGATTTTAAAAATACATAAATAAATACTGAATATAAAAGCATGTATGTCTGGAAAGTGTGCACAAAGAGTTAATATCTTACAAGGTTCTTGTATTATTTGCGAAGAGGGTTCAGATATTGATTAAGTTGGGGTTGGTCTAGTATGCCTCACAAAATTTCTATGAAAAAATAACATCCAAATCAGTAGGAAAATGGGAGGAATGGAATAAGAAAACAAACAATTCAACAAGAGAGAGCAAGAAAGGAGAAAAAAAATAATAGAAAAAGCAGGGACAAATAGAAAGTATGAAGTAAAACAATAGGTATGTCCAAATATGTCTGTAATCATAAGTATAAAAAGACTAAAATTATCACTTAAAAGACAAGGATTGTCAGATTGCAATTTTTTAAAAAAAAACAACTATATGCTGCTTATAAAAGACACGCCTAAAACATAAGGACACAGAAAAGTTGAAAGTAAAAAAGGATGAAAAAAAGATTCATCAGTCAAGTACTAACCAAAAGGAGGCTGGGAAGGCAAACTTAATATTAGACAAAATATACTTGAAGACCTGAGGAGCCCAGGAAGGCTCCACAGAAGAGACGGTACCTGCTTGGTATTCAGGTAAGCAGAAAGGAGGGTAGCCTGGATGGGAAGAACTCAACAGGTCCCTGCCATAGGAAGAAGTCTGGACAGTGGGATGGTACCTTTGGGCTCTTTCAGCTATACATAACCATACAATGTAGTCCTCTCCTCCCCAAACAGCACGGCAGATTAAAACAATATACCGTGTGCCACAAAACATATGGAGCCTGACCTCACTTACATGAGGTGACTTCCTTCTGTCTGATGGAGAAATGAAAGCTCAGCTTTGTTTAATGCCTGGTCTATGGGCAACAAGTCCTCCCGATTTGTGAAAGTGCTGTGACTAGGCCCTATATGGCCTTGAATGGGATGTGAGGGTCCCTTTCTATTTGATGTCTCTAAAGGAAGTTTGTTTTTTTTCTTCAGTGAGTGTTCGAGATTTGGATAAATGCAACATCCCCCTAATGCAATCAAAAGTGGGGTGTCAAGGAGAGGGTCCATGCCAGAGAAGGCTTTCTGAAGACAGTCTGAGTTCATCAGTGCATCTTTAAGGCATGGCTGTACCTGGCTTTTGTCCATGCTTCTTGTTTCATAACAACCTACTCCAAATTCTCTCCACCCCGACCCCTTCCAGTCTCTACAATATAGTAAATCCTTGGGTAACCAGAACTTGAGGTTATACAATGTCTACGCTTTCAGAGGGAAATCATCTGCATTTTCTTTAAAAGCTCAGCTTCCGGAATAAACACTGGGATTAGTTAAACGCAACCTTCCTTCCCTTCTGGAGCTGTTACCCCACAAGGCACTGCCTTGAGTGTGTGAGGTTGACTGACATTTGCCCCCAATGTGTCCCAGCCAGATTTCAGCAAATCTGGAATTCAGCAGTGTCTCACCCCCTCGCTGTTTACACCCAGAGTCACTGGTTTCTAGGCAGGCACGAACCCAGAACAAAGCTGGAGCAGCCATCGATGTAGCATTTTAGAAGCAGCATAGATAACTGAAAAAGTGAATTCCTGTGGCCAGTGACTAATGATAAAATAATAAAGGTTTATCTTTGACAAAAAATGTCAAGAAATGGTAGAGAATATGACAAAGGCAGATACTGTTGGACTAGGATATACTAAAAAAATAGACAAAAGATAAATTTCAGAGCGCGCCAATGGCTTCATACCTGCTGTCTGCCTAAGCCTTCCAGCCTCCAGAGATTTTCTCTTTGCTACATTCTTCTTGCTGATACAGGGATAGGGACTAATAAGTTCCATCAGGATTTTCATCCCTAAGATTTTAAGCAAACAAACAAAAAGATTTCTTGTTAGCCAACCAATTAATCTGAAAAGCCAATCAAACAAAGCACTTTAAATTTGAGAGGTACTCAATGACTAGTCTACAGTAGTGCAATAAAATCACTTTAGGGTCCTGAAGCTGTGTTTTTATTAGCACACTTCAAATAATAATAACCATAATAACAACAGTACTCTCAGGCCAGAGTCCGATGCTTTCAGTTTAGAGAGCAATGCTATTATTTCCTAAAAGAGCCTGTTATCGAGCTAGAACGTATGGTTTAGTGAGCAAAACAGGAAAAACTTCAAGGACCAGGGAGTGGACTTGGGTTTTGGTATTGCTGGCAGGAGAAGACACAGTTCTGTGCCCCCAACACTTCTAAGATACCACTCTGATTTCTTGTCCCGCCGTAAAAATGACCAGTCCTGTGTCTCATTTCCTCAGGATTCTGTTCTCTTCCAGATGACAAGAATGAATTAGCCCATATCCATGGGACAATGGGTGTTAAGGCATTCTTTCTTCTAGGAAACTCAGTGGGGACCTCTCTTTAAGTGCACCTTATTTGTCCCACTTTAGACCTCCCCACCCCCATAGTAATGCACAGGAGACATGGGTAGAGCAAACCTAGAGAAAGTGGAGCCCACACAAATCGTGGGGCCACCTGACTGTCAATGACTCCCCTGTGGTCATATCTGTGCTCCCACCCACCTTCTTTGGGGCCCCTGTCCCCCTTTCCCTCTCAGACCAGCATGACCCCATGTCCCTGGCCATGGTGGTTTGTCAAACTCAGCCAATCACACTTGGCTGGCCCTGTGATTGTTCCAAAGAGTAAGTCACATGACCAAAGACCTTGCTTGGACAGTTTAACCTGGAGCTAAGAGAGAAGCTGTTTCCTTTTCAGTGGGCTAACTCTGGGAAATGTGAAACAAAAGCAGGCAACAGCCATGGCCTCATTGTGTAGAAAATTCCCATCCAAGGTAGGAAAAAGTGGAACAAAGCCACAGAGAGACTTCTGGTGACTTCAAGTCCCTGACTGCTACCTCCCCACCCCACCTGTACCTTTCCAGACTGCATGAGTGATCAAAGTCTCTTTTTCCAAGGCTAGTTCCAGCTGGGTTTCTGTCATCTACAGCTTGCAGTCTTGACTAGTACAGGAAGTGCCCTGCCAAGCATTCCCACCTTGTTGGTGGCTGGGCTGAAACAAGAATCCAGAGCCTCTGATTCCACCTCTGCAGGTCACAAGGACCTTCAGCTGGCCGTGTGACCTCAGACAAGCCACAGCCCTGCTCTGGGCTACATAGATGATACATGCTACCTATGTTGTAGCATGTATCAGGGTTAGGCCCATGACAGCAAAGATGTCTCAAGAAGTAAGTGTGTGATTTGGTTTGGTTTTAAGGCAATGAAGAAGGAGAAAGAGAAATAAAGAGTGAGAGACAGAAGACCTGGTGGGGGAGGGAGGGAGAGAGGGAGGAAGGGAGGGAGGGAGAGAGAGAGAGAAAAAAGAGCAGCTGCTTTAAAAAAGAAAAGTGCATATGGTACAATTAATCTTCATAACCTACTGGAGATTGAAATAAAGAGTGACAGGCAGAAGACCTGGGGATGGGAGAGAGAGACAGGTTGAGACAGAGAGAGGAGGGCAGCTGCTTTATAAAAGAAAAGTGCATATGGTACAATTAATCTTCGTAACCTACTAGAGATTGAAAAGGTAAGAAAATTACGAGGAGCTCTGAGACAGACTGACATCAATCACCGGCATATAACCAAAATTCTTGGTTACAGAATGTGCAGCCCCCAAACTAAGCTTGTGGAGAATCAGATGACCAGCTTAGGAAGAGCCAACAGGGGTACCTCAAGTGGGTGTGGCCAGAAATAGCAGGGGGCTTCCAGTCTTTTATTACCCAGATATTTTGTGAACAGAATGTTGCCTGGAATACATGCCTAAAATCCCCAAGTGCCAGAAACTTCTGTGGCTCAGGGTTTCCATTCTTAACAGCATGGGTAGTAAGTTCATCTGTGGCTGAGTGGTTCTAGGTCATTTGTGGGGGAAGCAGCTTCCAGATCTGGTCAGTTCTGCAGCATGGTTCTCAGAGTGTTCCTCGATGCTCAGTCCTAAATGTGTTTCTCCAGCCCTCCCAAGTCTGGGAGTTAGCCAATATCTCTCAATATATTCATTTTCTGTTTAAACTAGCCAGAGTAGATGCTGTGGCTTGCAACTGAGAACGATAATATGTTCATGTCCATAGGGTAGATAGGAGCTTGGTGTGGGAGGCGGGGTATCAACTGCATGCAACTATAGGTGGTGCAAACACAACCTGTGGATCATCTCCTAAGGAACCATGAGAGATACACTGCTGCCTTTACCATACAGATGAGAGAAACTCAAGTCGAAAATGTTAGGTAGCCTGCCCCAAATCACCCAGAAATTTGCAGAGCCCAGATTCAAATTCAAGTCTGAATCCAAACCCTACATGCCTTCTTCTGTTCCAGATATTTCACATGTGCATTCAATAATTCACTTCATTAAGAAGCCAATTTTCATTGTGTTTAAAACTGTCTTAAGAATTTAGTCTGAGAGATCCAAGAAATGTCCATGGGATGCCCCACCTCCCCATGGCCTCTCTCAACCCGGTCTCTTGTGTGTCCCAGTGCCCTCAGGACAGTGGGTGGGGAAACTGATCTCTCAGGTCACCTTGACCCTCTGTGGTCTGACCTCTGCTACCTTTTCAGTCTTGTCCTATATCACTCTCCCCCTCATTTATATTGCTTCTTACACTGGACTTCTTTCATTTCCTAGAACATTCCAGGCTCTTTCCTGTCTACTGGCACAGTGTTAAATCTCCACGGCCAGCACTGAAACTGGCACTTAGTAAGTGCTCAATAAATATTTATTGAATGAATAAATAATGGGTGATTCTTCTGAGGGGGTTGCTGTGTTGAATCTTATAATACAGCAGAGGGATTCTGGGAGAACTCAAGTTTTACTTCCCAGAGCTCCATGGCTGAAGTGCTGTGAGGTACAGGACCCAGGCCATTTTTCCTTAATGTGGGGGGAAAAGATGAAGGGATGTAAAAAGAAAAGATCCTTCAGGACTTTTCCAAAGGATCTCAATACTCATGTCTATCGGATTAATTCCTTTCCACTCTCCAGTGACCTTGAGCTGGGAGGATGGTTGGAGAGGTGGGAGTTGATGGGGAAGGGGTCCCAGGACATCCTCACTGGGGAAGTTCATGGGAACACCATTCAATTCTAGCCAACAATTGTTTGTACGTATGTGTACGTATAAATATGCGTAGGTATACACTTTGAGTAGTTGATCCACAAATGTAATGGGTAGATGACAGCCCTTTAGGAAATAAGGAACAGAGATGAACAGGTAGAGAACTTGACAGCTGGAAAGATGAGTGAAAACTGCATAGCATTTCTCAAGGAGACTTCAACGGGATGGTGTCCTAGACCAGCAAAGCATTCGTGTCTGCTTCCAGTGACCTGGTCTGGGTATCCTAAGGGTGGCCTCTCTGGGTCCGTCCTCACTCCTTTTCACTCCCATACTTTCCAGTGTTGTGATGTGAAGTGAGCATCACAAAATTGTATAACCCATCTTGATTCTTTTGTGGTCATTTCATCTAAAATTCACAGATTCTTATGGAGGTGAAAGGATAATTCATCTGCTTTCTTAAGTAACAGAATAAATCAGTCTAAAGCTCACAAAACACCTTAGAGACTGCCTAATGTGACCTGTCCTTATGTTAAAGGATGGGGATACTGTATCCCAGAGAAGAGAAATAGTTTGCCCTGAGTCACATTCTGACAGAAGCAAGCATGGAACCCAGGCTTCCCAACGTCCAGGCTAGGTCTCTTGTCACAGAACCACATGTTCAGCCACCCAGGACCACAGGCTTGATTTACACCACAACCTGTGAGCTTTTACAGTCTCCAACCTGGGCTCCCCACCACAGGGGTCTGGATGTGCCCCTTACCTCACACGTTGACTTCAGCAACACCAGCCCATTTTGCTCTGCCATAGGGCCTAAGTCCCCCATTGTTAATCATCTTTTAAAACAGTTTAACATCTGCTGCAGGGAAATTTACTGGCCTCAAGTTACCGGCTATAATTTTGGTCATTTGGGGGAAATAATGATGCTATAGTCGTCACTTTCCAAATGTTGCAGGAACCTGACCCAAATCAAGAAACCTCTCAATAAATCAGCTCAGAAATGGCATCAGTTTCTAGCCTCACTGTTTAGAATGTTGCAGTTCTGAATCAGTGTCTGGGCTGGAGAAAGAATCCAACTCAAAGTCTCTAGATTTTAATAATAGCTGCCATTGTTCAAAGAGGGATTCATAACTCTCAAGGGACTCTGGCCAAAAATCTTGAGCCAGACTCTGTATTTATGTATGTTTGGATGTACTAAGCACCCTACAGTTTTCTTGAGTGGTTCTTTCAATGTGGAAGCTACCCAGATCTCCAGGCCATGATCCTGCTTGTGGACCTCACCCTGAACCAAGCCCTCCCTGCTGACAAGATTTTATAAGTCTTCTTTGGCCCTTGATTTATGGGCATGTGGCCAGGATTATTGTACTGCATGACATTCGTCATTAACAGTAAAAGCAGTAGGTAACTCTTATGGAGTGTTTGCTCTGGGCCAGGAGCCATTCCATTAACTCATGCAATCCTCACAACAACCATATGAGGCAGTTACTACTATCATCTTCATTTTACACATGAGGAAACTGAGGCACAGAGTGGGCAAGTGACTAGGCAAAGATCACACACATAGCAACAAAAAATGCTGGGGTTTGAACTCAAGCAGTCTGGCTCTAGAGAACCCTCTCTCTTTTTTGTAAACAGATTTATTGATATATAATTCAAATACCATATAATTAACCCCCTTAAAGTGTACAATTCTGTGGTTTTTTAAAGGATATTCACAGAGTTGTGCAATTCTCATCACTATCTAATCCAAGAATGTTTTCATTACTCCTCAAAAGAAACCCTATACACATTTGCAGACATGCCCAACTTCCTTGTTCTCCCAGCCCCTGGCAATCACTAATCTAATTTCTATCTCTATGAATTTGCCCATTCTGTACATTTCATGTAAATGGAAGCATGCAGTATGTGACTTTTTGTGTCTGGCTTTTTTCACTTAGAATGTTTTTCAGGTTCACCTATGTTGTAGCATGTATCAGTATTTCATTTATTTCTATTTATTATTATGGCCAGATAATATTCCATTGTACAGATATACTGTATTTTATTTATCCATTGATCAATTGATGGGCATTTGGGTTATTTCCACTTTGGGGCTGTTACAAATAATGCCACCCTGAACATTTCTGTACAGGTTTTTCTTTCTCTTGGTTATGCACCTTGGAGTGGAATTACTAAATCACACGGTAACTCTATGTTGAACTTTTTGAGGAGCTGTCACACTGTTTTTCAAAGTAGCTGCACCATGTTACATCCCCACCTCAATGCATAAGGGGTCTGATTTCTCCACATCCTTACCAACACTTATTATTTTCCATTGTTTTGATTATGGTGGATGTGAACCGGACGTAATCATAGCAGATGTGAAGTGGTATCTCACTGTGGTTTTCATTTGCATTTTCTTATTAACTAATGATGTTGAGCATCTTTTCATGTGCTTATTGGCCATTTGTATATATATTTCCTTTCTAGAAATGTCTATTCAAATCCTCTGCCCATTAAAAATGGTTATCTTTCTTGTTATTGTTAAGTTGTAAGGGGTTTTAATATTAATATATGTTTCTTATCATACAATTTGCAAATTTTCCCCCCATTCTGTTGATTGTCTTTTCAGTTTCTAGATGATGTCCTTTGAAGCACAAACATTTTACTTTTTGTGTAGTTAAGTTTATTTTTTTTCTCTTGTTGCTGTATGTTTGATGTCATATCTGAGAAGGCTTTGCCTAACTCAAGGCCACGAAGATTTGCTCCTATGTTTTACTCTAAGAATTTTAAGGTTTTAGATTTTATATTTAGGTCTATAATCCACTTTGAGTTAATTTTTTATATAGTGTGAGCTAGTGGTCCAACTTTATTCTTCTGCATGTGAATATCCAGTTGTCACAGCACCATTTGTTGAAAAGACTATTCCTTCCCCACTGAATGGTCTTGGCATCCCAAAGGCCTCTCTTGACTACTATACTCAACTGTCTATCTTGAAGCTTTTGGAGTATGAATACGTGTGTGTGTGTGTGTGTGTGTGTGTGTGTGTGTGTCACAAAAAGTAGCAGAAACTAACCAAAGCTGTGACCTAGAATGCTCATCTCACCTGAAGTTAAATCACCAGATGTCTAAAAGTCTAAAGAGTAAAGATGATGAAATAAGACCAAGTCCAGATTATCCATATGACCACTGAAGCCTGAAACACACCATTAGAAAGAAGATGGGGTCTTTGTAAAGATTTTTAAAAGGAAAGTCTCCCAAGGAAGAAGGAAGACAGCTCCATGAAGAGCACATGCTGTTAAACTAACAGATGTCCTACAGTCACTCACAGATGGGATCTAACATTCTCTGCTCAAGACACATATGAATGAACACATAAAGTCAGATGGAGTCAGCCAACGGTGAGATTGGAGTTTCAGATCTGGGATGATTTCTATCAGTCCTTACTCTGAGACCTTAGGGTTATCATTTTCTTTGTCACAACTGTTAATACAATAACTTTCTGCCCATCAAGCCAGACTCTGCCCCATCGGTGATTCAGGGACTCCTGAGCCACTTCTAGAGTGGATAGGCCATGATTTTACTGCCCTGCTCCTTCCACAATTTCTTCAGCCTCAAAAGCACCCCTGGCATTATTCAGTTAGTGATTTATTTCTTCTTCTCCAAAGTCTGTACCCCACACATGAGGAGTGCTCAGGTAATCAGAAAGCCATGACCTTCAGAAATGATTCATTGAGGTAATTAGAAGTGGTCAAGCCCCAATTACTGTGCCTTGGAGAAGCCTGGTAGAGTTTGCTTTTCTTTGCTCTACTTTCACCATGAGCCACTTTCTCACTCTTCAAAAGGCTTGTATAAGTGAGAATAAGTGACATCAGTTGCTATAACAAGCAATCCTTAAATTACAATGGTTTAACTCAATAAAAAATCATTTCTCTCTCTCACAAAGTCCAGTGC
The DNA here is from genome assembly GCF_000001405.40 of Homo sapiens. Classification (NCBI taxonomy): domain Eukaryota; kingdom Metazoa; phylum Chordata; class Mammalia; order Primates; family Hominidae; genus Homo; species Homo sapiens. Next base: position 44,573,644 of record NC_000006.12, on the reverse strand, counting down.
AACAGAGCAGGCTTCCATGTGGTCATTCAGTGACCCAGGGTCCTTCCATCTTGTGTCTCTGCCATACTCTTAGGACTCTAAGTCCTCTGCTAGATCCTTCCATGGAGCTAAAAGATGGGAAAGGAGGGACTGGGAATCCCTTTGTTGGTGTTCATGCACCAGACCTGAGTAATATAATTTAGCCACAATCCATTGGCCAGAACTAAGTCACATGGACACATCTAATTCAAAAGACGCTGGGGGACAAGGCCTCCTATGCCGAGGAGATAAGGGAAATGCATCTTGGTGAACACATATCAAATGCAGAATTCAGCTGCCATAATGACAAAATCTTTATGATACTTCCAAGCTATCCTAGTGTGTTCTTTCCTCTGAGCTCAGAAATGTCTCTCTGGTCACCTGCTTTCACCAAGTGTGACCAGATCCACTATGGAGAAGGCCTCAAGACAGGTCTCTGAGCCAGGCAATGAGATGAGTCTGGAAAGATCTTTCCTTTCCATAATAGTTCATGGCTGCCAAACAAGAATTCTACAAATACCAGCCAGGTGTGACGGCTCACACCTGTAATCCTAGCACTTTGGGAGGCATGGTGACACATGCCTGTAGTCCCAGCTACTTGGGAGGCTAAGGTGAAAGCATCACCCGAGCCCCGGAGGTTGATGCTGCCACCATGCCCGGCTAATTTTTGTACTTTTTGTAGAGATGAGTTTTCGCCATGTTGCCCAGGCTGGCCTTAAACTCCTGACCTCAAGCAATCTGCCCACCTTGGCCTCCTAAAGTGCTAGGATTACAGGTGTGATCATGCCACTACACTCCAGTCAGGGCAACAGAGACCCCGTCTCAAAATAAATTAATTAATTAATAAAAGAATTCTGCAAATACTGAATTACCTAATCTGGGTTAAAAATCAGAACAGGTTCTGAGAGCCTGGCCTGGAGGCAGGAGACTGGGGTTGGATGTGTATACTGAGAGGGTAGGGCCCAGGGATATCAGAAAAACAGAATCTATTTCTTTTCATGGCCAAATAATTTCCCATTATACAGATATATCATGTTTTGAATAATTCTTATTCCAGAGGGCTGAGCACAGAGGCAAAACCAGATGCAAGGCCATGGAGCAGAGCCTGGAGACATCAAAACAAAGCATGAATTAATAACAACAGCTACTGACAACACAAAGAGAAACAATTAGAAAATATGTGGCTCCTGATGGAAGAGCACCACTACCTATCATCTAGGAGAAAAACTCAAACCTGAATGTGATCAAGCCTCTAGGTCCAACTACTAACTTAGCAGAAATACACAGGGTAGAGGAACATGCTAACCAACACTACAAGGATGCAATCAGTGACATTTAGGCTGCGAGAAGCTCTGCAGGCTAAATGACCCTGGTTCTTCAACAAATCCATCATGTGAAATAAAAAGGGAATGGGGGCAACATGTTTAGATTAGAGAGGCTTAAAAATATATATGGAAGAAATGGACAAAACAGAACTGCAGAGCTTAGGGATCCATACTTGTGTGATAAACTATAAAGAAATGTTCACCACCAAAGTCAGCCACCTTGGCATAGGAGGATAGCCCTGGGGTCCCAGAGCTGTTGAGGAAGAGATATAAGCTCCGGAGTGTTGAGCTCAGTTCCTGGTCCTGTTCCTTGTTATCAAGATGAATTCAGGGCTGAGAACTGTACCTCATTTTCTTCAGCAGCAAAAATGAGGTCAATTATACCAATTCTGCTAAGCTCTTAAGATTGTCTTGAGAACCAAATGAGCCTATGCCACCCACCTTTGTCTTATTCCCCTGGTGAGCTGGTCATTCTTCAACTTCTGCATTCAACCTTACCTCCTCCAGGTTGCCTTTTGGGTAAAGGAGACAGTGTGATGGATGAAGAGAAAAAAAGAACTTAATCTGGGTAGCTGCTTTGCCTTGGTAGGGTAAGCAGATGGCAGCACCAGACAGTGTGGCAGGAGGAGGTGCTGAAAGGAGGGAAGTGGGAGTAGGGTCCTAAAGCCAAACCTATATACAATTTTAACTTTGCAAGGGCCTAGGTTCATCCGTGCTGACATAGTGAATGGTGAAAACACCCTACCACATGAAAACAGCTTGGGAAAGAGGCTTGGTGGTCTAGACAACAAGGTTCTGCTCCTGGCTCTTATTAGTGAGCTTGAACTGTCTGATGCTCCCTACCAAGCAGGTGGGCTTCAGTGGAAGGCTGTGCAGCCATGAGTGAAGATCACATGGAGTCGGGGACTAAAGGTGCCAAGTGGGCCAAACCAATCATCAGTATTTCTAGAAGCCTATCCTCAGGACCTGTGCTTCCCAGTGGGCTCTATGGGAAACCCCAATACAAGGGATATTAGAAGGTGATAAAAGAGTTTGAGTGTGGGAAATACTGGATGAAATAGAATGAAACAAATTTCTTCATTGCAGAACTTCTCAGAGCCTTTCATAGGTGCTGTGAATCTCCAAGAAGGCAGGCAGTGTTTCCCAAATTATTTGTATCTAGGAACCCTTTTTCATGAAGCATCTTATAGGCTTCGTGTGTCAGAGTGTGGTTTCAAGAAAGGCTGGCCTAGATAGATGTCAGAGTTGGGGGCTGAAACATTATTTAGCTTTAAATATGGGCTTGGAGGGACAGAGGGCATGCTGTTACATGACTAATAATTCACATGAGCTATCTGCTTTGATTGTGGGGGACCTGTGTCCATTTACTTTTGCCTCCCTGCCCAGTCCCTCGGATGGACTCTTTGGTTGGAGAAACTTCTGGGCTCTCAATTCTGATCTCACCTTCAGGTACCACAGGGCAGCTCTTTGACAAGACAACTTTTAGGACATCAATTATTTTTTCTTCCTAAGTAAGGAACAGGGATGTACCACAACGGCTGAGCCATCCCCAGACAGCCACGTAGTGTAAGAGGCCTGCCCGCTCTAGGGCCAGAGCCCAGGGATGTCTCAGACCAGGGTTGGTGCAAAGGCTCATTGTCCCACAAATGTGGGGGTGCTTCACAGGCCAGAGGTGGCGAGAACTGTCCTGGGGTAATTTATCAATATGGCAGCACCTCTTTCCGGAGGTCTGGGAGGCACATATAACAGAAGGAACATTTTGAATACATCTCCAAGCAGCAATCCCTCTAGCCTGCAATGCAGGCTGTCTATGGTGGGATCTACAAGATGATATCAAAATTTCCTGAGAATTCTGGGTAGCTAAGACTTAAAAATAACACCCCAGCCCTCTTTCTGTGACAAGCCTTGGAAAAACTGAACAGAGGCTGGGCTGGAGGAAGCTCCATGAGCCATGTCCCAAGGCTAGGTCTGTGAGGAAGTTAGAGAGAGAACAGCCAGTACTAGCTCTTCCTCCTCCTGCTGCCGCCGAGGCTCCTGTTTTCTCAGCCACCTCCAGCAGTTCCTCTTTTCAGCTGTGGCTCGGGTGAGAATTATGGAATTGCTAATATTACCCCAGCCCAGCAGCCAGGGCTTGATGGCTGCTGCCCGGCAGCTCCAGCCCCGAGGGAAGCCAACTGCAATGACAATAAAACAAAGTCCTTGGCAACTGATGGCCTCTCGTCTGCATGCTGGGGCTGACAAACGGGATGTGGAGCCAGCCCTGACTCCAGCTCCTTGGGAAGTCTTGGAGCTGGCCCATTGCCTCCCCAGCATCAGATTCCAAAGGCATTTTTCAGCCCAGCTGGGAAGGCTGTGACAATCTCAACAAGGCTCACTCTATTAACCCTGAGAAATAAGTCTCCAAGCCTCAGTCCAGGGCATCTTCTGGAAGAGAAGCAGATGAGCCTGCCCTGATTTGGCTGGCTTTGTCAATCAACCAACCAACCAAACAGCATTTAGAGAACACTGTTGCATGCAAAGGCATTGCTCAAGACTTACACATTCAATGCATCTTTCTGAAAGCCTACTGTGTGTCAGTCACTGTACTGGGTCCTGGGGATATGTCCATGAACAGAGGAGACAGCCCTGCCTTCTTGGGAGCTCATACTCTGTTGTCAGGAGGGAGATGAGAAACAGAATAAATCAGTAAGTGATACAGTGAATTAGAAAGTAATCAGGTACTCTGGAGGACATTTGAGCAGTTAGGGGATGGGGCATGTAGGAGGCAGGAGTGCATTTGAAATGGGTAGTCAGAGAAGAACTCACTGAGGTGACATTGGAATCAAGACTGGAAGCAGGTGAAGGGTCAAAATGTAAACCCCAAAATGACCTACTCTCTAGAGTTTAGCAGCTCTGTTCACAGCAAAAGGCATGCAAAGCATCAGACTGATAGGTGGGGCATCCCAAGAAGGAAATGACCACAACCCTCTGTGACCCGGGAAGGGGAGTAACCGCAGCCTGGGAACTGCTCCCTGAAAGCACTTCATTGTTTGAAACCTGGGTGAGATGCCTAAGACAGGTGGGAGTTAGTTGGGACCAACAATATGAGGAAAAGGTGTGACTGGGACACACGAGAGCAGAGTAGGGGACATCTGTAGGTGACAGCAGGACCAGGGGCCCACTCTAATGGGTGCAGTCCACGGAAGAGAAATACCTGGGGACGTTTAGCAGGCTGAGCCCATGAGAAGTCTCCCTTCTTCCCACTGAGAAACTTTCAGATCAGTTGATTGTTCTCCAAAGACCAAAAAACCCTGCAAACCAGAGGGTCTCAAACATGCCCGCCCATCAATATCACCTGGTTTTTATTCTGGACCCATCAATCAGAATCTGTGTTTCTAAAAGCCGTCCAGATGGCTCCAAACACCAGTTAGATTTGGGGGCCATTGTTCTGGCCCTACACTATCCTGCTTTTATTGCGTAAATCATTTCAGAGACAACTCAAGTGGTCAGAGAAGACCAGGGGCTTTCCCCACTGAGTAGGGTGGATCTGTTCATATGTCAGTCTCCACTAGGAGACTGTGAACCCCTTGAGGGCAGGAACTGTATCTTACTTTTCTGTATGAAAATGTAGGCCCTGAAATGTAAGAGGCATTGATACATATGTTCTGAACTGAACTGAGCTAAGCCTGGTTCTACCAGGTGCTAGCCATCTGCATGTGGTCCTGACACTTAACCTCCCTAGACCTCAGCCTGCATCTATAAAATGGGTACAGGCCAGGTGTGGTGGCAGGCGCCTGTAATCCCAGCTACTCGGGAGGCTGATGCAGGAGAATCCCTTGAACCCGGGAGGCAGAGGTTGCAGTGAGCTGAGATCAGGCCACTGCACTCCAGCCTGGGTGACAGAGTGAAACTCTGTCTCAAAATAAATAAAAATAAAAAATAAAATGGGTACAATGATTCCTGCCCTTCCTACCTCACAAGATTTCTGAGAGGCCCAAAGTGTGGCAACTTGTATACTTGCAGAAGCAGCTAAACAGTTTCTTTAGGAGTTTCCAGTGGAGAGGAAGCTTGGCACAGATGACCTAAAATAAACCATCTTAAGGCCTTGTTTGACTTTAGAATCTGCCCAATGAGTAGGTTTACCTTCCTGAATTTTTTCTTTTGCTCTAATTAAAACTCACTCATTCATACTGAGCAGAGTCAAATAACAATCTACTTTGTGTCAGACACCATATTTGACAATGGGAACCCACAAACAAGTAAGTTATAGTCCGGAAGGTCACTGAGCACAAATTCGAACTGGGAAGAACAAACACATGGACCAAGAGCGCCGACAGAAGCAAGCAGAGTGAGAATTATGGCCAAATGCTTCACTTCCAGGCCTGAGGTAATGAGCAGAAGAAAATCTCCAAGGTGGAAAGTGTACAGAAAACAGATAGCTCTTTCAGGATCGGCAAGTGAATGACCAGCATGAGGAGTTGGAGCAGAAGATACAGGAGAGAGGTGAGAGAGCATCTGCCTTGAAGATGGCACCCAGTGAGCCCTCTCTCCTGGTATTCATGCCTTTGCACAAGTGCCTTCCATGAGAGTAGACTGGACCTAGTACCTCACTTCTAACAAAGAGACTATGGCAAAAGTGATGAGGTTGCAAAAATGCTGTGGCTTCCTTCTTGGGTGTTCTCTCTTGCTCTCTCATTAGCTCACTCTGACGGGAGCCAGTACCAGGCTGCAAGCTGCTCTGTGGAAAGACCTATGTGTCAAGGAGCTGATATCTCTGGCCCACAGCTAGCGAGGACAAGAGGTGCTCAGTCCAACAGCCAGCAAGGAATGGAATCCTTCCAGCGATCCCGTGAGTGAGCTCAGGCTGGGTCCTCCCTGGACTGAGCCTTCAGATGAGCCCCAACCTAGCTGCCCCCTCAATTGCAGCCTTGTGTGACCCTGAGCTAGGGGACCCAGTTAAGATGTCCCCAGATTCATGATCCATAGAAAGTGTGAAATAATAAATGTTTGTGGTTTTTAGCTCTATTTAGCAATAACTAACCAATATAGGTGGCCATCAGAGTTCTCAAGCATGAGAGGGAAATAAAACCTATTCTTTGACAATGGGGTTGATTGGCAATAAATGCAGGAATCCCAGGAGGAGTGATGGGAACTTGAACAAGGCAGTGGTAGAAAGAACAGAGAGGAATGAACAGAGATATTACAAGGTAATTGGCAAGACTTGGGTTCCAGGAGGCCAGATTGTCCATTCATCTGGTTACTTAAGCCAAAAATCTCAGTTATCACTGATTGCTATTATACTCATATCTCCACATTCAACACACTAGCAAATTCCATCTTCAGCTTCTCCTCCCTCTCCCACAGTCCTGTTCTCCAAATGACAGCCAGATCGTGTCACCTTCCCACTCATAACCCACTGATGACTTTTAACTGCTCCTATAATAAAATCCAAAGTCCTTCCTATGTCCCACAGTCCCTATGCGATGTGGCTTCTGGCCACTTTCTAAGCCTGTGTCTTCCCATTCTTCCCACTCTCTCAGTCCCAGCCAAATAGACTCTTGCTAGCCCCTCTGTTTCGAATTCTCTTCCTGCAGATGCTGCGTTTGCACAGCTCACTCCTTCAGTCCTTTCAGAAATTGCTTCCTGACGGGGGGGCATTTAAACTGAGATCCTGAAGAAAAATCATAGAACTTGCCATCTTAGATGGCTTAGGGAAATTGGCTGCATTCATTCAGAGTCACATCTCCCACTGCAGGACTGGTCGTATTAGGCACAGCAAAAGCTTTCTTGGATGATGCCAGAACTTCAGGGCCTGGGGCCTGATGACCAGAGAGTAATGGGGACATTCTCCTCCTTGAAGGTCTTTGCAGATGTAGAGCATCTTAGGAAGTAGCCCATCACACCTGTCACTGACGTGTGTTTTGTTTTGTTTTGTTTTGTTTTGTTTTGTTTTGTTTTGAGATTGAATCTGGCTCTGTTGTCCAGGCTGGAGTGCAGTGGTGCCATCTCAGCTCACTGCAACCTCCACCTCCCGTGTTCAAGCAACTCTCCTGCCTCGCATCCCAAGTAGCTGGGATTACAGGCAACACCATGCCTGGCTAATTTTTGTATTTTTGGTAGAGATGGGGGTTTCACCATGTTGGCCAGGCTGGTCTCAAACTCCTGGCCTCTAGTGATCCACCCGCGTTGGCCTCCCAAAGTGCTGGGATTACAGGTGTGAGCCACCACACCTGGCCGTGTCACTGCCTCTTTAACTGCCCCAGACACTTCACATCCACCAGTGGGCTTGATCCTCCCTGCAAGGTTGCAGAGAAATATATTCAGATGTTATTTTCACCACTGCCTAGACAGTTGAGGCAACAGAGGCACAGGGAGGTGGAGTGCCCTTTCCTGGGGTTTCTTTTTGTTTTTTTTTGAAACAGGGTCTTGCTCTCTCACCCAGGCTGGAGTGCAGTGGCACAATCATAGCTCACTGCAGCCTTGAGCTCCCAGGCTCAAGCAATCCTCCCACCTAAGCCTCCTGAGTAGCTGGGAGTACAATTGTGTGCCACTACACCAAACTAATTATTATTATTATTTTTAGAGATCAGATCTTACTGGTTGGTCTCGAACTCCCAGACTCAAGGAATCATCCCACTTTGGCCTCCCAAAGCGCTGGGATTACAAGACTGAGCCGTCTGTGCCCAGCCCCTAGGGTTTCTTGATTGCCAGTTAAGTGTACCTCATTATCCTTGGGTCTTCAAAACAATGAGAGCTGGACAGGAAAAGATAAATAAATCATAATAAGAAAATAAGAGACATATAAAAGTGCTGTGTCAATTGCTATTCATTTAATAACTATTTTAGCTTAATATGTTGTGGCTTTGAAGCAGTCATTCATTAAGCTGAATTTCTCTGGCCACCTACACACCATGTGGTCAGGCGCTGTGCTAAGCAGCAGCTATTCACCCTGAGTGCCCAGTATAGGCCAGGGTGTGGCCCGTGTGGCTCCGGGTGGGGCCACTCAGTCTGCAGGGTGGAGGGAGTAGACTTGGAGAGAAGAGGGCATTTGGAGTCAGTTGCCTGGAGTTGGCGAGAACCACAGCCCCCATGGGGCTCTCTGTCGTCTGCCCCATGAAGGGTCTTAGTGCTCTGCAGAGTCACTGCCCCTCCTTATGCTCACACAACCAGTATTGCTCTGGGTTCCTGGGAGGCCTCCTGCAGGGCATAGGACAGTGCCCACCAGCAGAGTCCAGTGATCATCTCTTGGTGATGTAAAATGGCTCCAGGGGTGACCCGGTGAGTCAACAGTGTGTCCCTCCCCACCAGTCTTCTAACTCATCATCTCCCCTACAGGCCACCCACAGTGTGCTAGAAATGTCTGCTCTTTTTCACTTTTTCCCTAAAGACAGAAAGAAAAAAAGAAAAGGAGTTGAAAAAGCACAGGAGCCAGGTAATGCAGCAGGGCGGTGCCAACATGAGGAGCCAGCCAGGGTAGAGGCTCGGCTGGGAGCAGAGGGCTTCAGGGACAAGGGACATTCAGACTCAAGGGCAGTGAGCCCCTCTCCTGTGCTAACATGAGTCTCTCAGACCCCCTCAGCTAGAACTGGAAGGTCCTTTAAACAGCATCTCATCAAACCTTGGTTTCAAGTCAACTGATGTTCAAAGAGGCCATGTTGTAATTAAGCCAGATTTGTTCTGGCCTTAAGAGAATGGAAGAGAAAGTTGAAAAAATAGTTACCTTGGACAGAAAGCCTGAGTTTTACGGCGCTCAACCATATAGTGACACCTAATCATTTACCTATGACTGGTCTATGCCTGGTTTCCTCTAGGCCAGTCTAAGTTCCTTCAGGGCCGGGGCCTTTCCCAAGATTCCTCTTGTGTCATGGATACCCAGGAAATGTTGGCCCACATTAGGTAAACTGAAGGAAAAAAAAAGAATAGCAGATGAAATCCAAGCAGTGAACAGAATAAATGATGAGCAAACAGACACCTCCTAAGTCACCTACAGCTCATTCCTGCTAAGAAGTCAAAGCCAAAATTACAAAGCAGTGTGACCTAGTGGAAAATCACAGAATCAGGAATAATTACAGCAATATTAGTAACAACATCAAGACATGCACATTGTGTAGCACACTATTTTGTCACAGAGCCTCTCCATTGTGGCCAAGAACTGCTGGCCAGGGCAGGTCTGGACCATCTTTACTCTGCCCAGGCCCTAAAGTCTTGCAGTGAGAGGAGTCGTCCCCAGGAAAGTGCCATTCGTTCTTTCCTGCCTGAAGCCCAGGCAATGCCCAACAAACTCAATTTTCACACCTTCCTGGAATGAAACTAGCATTTGTCAGTGCCTGCCCTGTGTTTATCAGGCTCTCCAGGAGGAAGTGAGAAGTTTGCAAAAAGCCTGATCTAAAATTACCATTGATTTTTTGAAGTCACTGTTTCATCCATTTTGAAATTTCAAAAAGCATCCAGAGGGCGCAAGATTTTTTAGCACTCCTCGAACAGGGGCCCAAGCTTGAGTCCGCTCTGCTCAGGGCATGCTCCCCACTCCCGTGTGTCCTTGTAAAGAATGCAGGAGGGCGTGAGCTGGGGTTTCCTTCCTTGGCTATTCTCCCGGCATGGGTAACGTGAATCCTCCAGCTGTATTAGGGAATACTTCCATCTTCCTTTTGTTGTCCCCTGCCCTAGAGAGGAAAGAAAGAAGGGGAGGGACTAACACGACTGAGCAAATAGATCTGCCAGTGACGTGTTAGGCCTTGGCTCACACACACGCATGTATTGGGACAGTTTGTAACTATGATCTTCTGTATTTACACAGCACTTAGCTGTGAGTCATTTCACACCCACCCACAGAGCACAGTGGGCCTCGTAATCCCTCGATGCCTCAGTCTCTTCGTCTGTAAAATGGCCACAATGATACGTGCTGCCCAGGGTTGCTGCAAGGACTGCCAAGGTCAGGGTCTTAAATGCCTGCACCAGGTCAGGCCCAGCCACCCCTTATGGGCTGTAAGATCTTCTTGCCCTTATTTCATACCTGAATCACGGAGACGTGATGTGCCACTGCTGGTTGGTACATTTGAGGTCCCTGACTCCCAGTTGAGGGCCCTTTCCCAGCCCTGCTGTGGGTCCGGCCTGCAATGAGCCAGGTTTGCCCATCCTGAGAGCACAGGAGAATTCTAATAAGAACCAGAGCCCCGACATCCCAGTGCCCCCACACAAACCAACCTGGAAGGCAGTCACCATCAAATTAGGTCAGGCATTTTATTTTCAAACCCAGATTTTATTTGTGAGGTTTGCTTTTCCACGAAGAGGTCTGTTGCAGCACTTGCAATTGCTTTTTTAAGGTGTGGGAATTCTGGCTGGGGCACCAGAGTAACTTCATGATCAAGCACTCTGTGCACAGTCGCTTGGGCTCTGACACCCAGCAAGGGTTCTCCTGCCATTTCTGATGTGTGCTACCAAGCATCTTCTGGTTCCTGATGTTCACACTGGGTGTTCTGTTCCAGGCTGTCATGCCATGGCTGCAAGTCCAGGTGGAGAATGGAGGCCTCTGCTCACCAGTGGTTCCACGCTAACTGATGTGTATGGCAATGACCCACAGCCACAAAACCTCACTCAGTATTCAGCATTGTTCAGTATCAAATGTAGTTATCTTGATCATTTTCTGATTCCTTGAAAATTGGTAAAACTCCATCCGATAGACATGGGAAATTTCTGGTTACTAAAATATAAATTTTTAACTTAAAGAAACTCATTCCCAATGCCACTGATACTGAAATGTCCCCCAGCTCTCTGATCTGGAGTTCATTTTGTTTCTTTCCTTAAATCACTGTCTCCATGGTTCCTTGTAGGTCTATTGGGTGGTCCTTACAAACAGGAAGTTTCCAGATGCCAGAAAATGGTTCTCACTTCATGTCTTGGAATATGTGTGAGAGGCATCCACACAGCCAAAGAGGGCAGCTGGATGTTTCAGTGGGGGTGTTGGCTGGGGTCTAGTTCCAGCCTTGCCACTTTTCTGTGTGGCATTGGGCAAGTCACTTCTCCTCTTCGGGCCTTGGTTTCCTTGTGTGTGGAGTAAGCTGCTTGTTAGAGAGGAAGTCTGGGTAGCCTGCCTGTTTCAAGTCCTTGAGACTTGAGGGATCTCTGAGAACCTGACTCAAGAACCAGAGGGATCCTGGGCAAGTCACTTACTGTCTCAGTGCCCGATTAACAGTGAGATGATAACACAACACCTGCTTTAGGTTTTGTGAGGAGTAAATGGATGAATACATGTAAAGTGTCTGGAACAGCGTCTGGCCCATGGTAAGCAGTCAATTAGTGTCAGCTTGCACTCTGGGTGATTTGACAGCACAGAACGGGACCTCCCTGAGGCGAGTGGTGTGTCTTACTCATCTTTGTGTCCTCAGCACCTGGTGTGGGACCTGGAAGGGGCTGGCTGAAATGAGAGTTGAATTAAAATTCGTGAAGAAACATCCAGCTTCGAAGCAGATCTATGAAGAGGAAGGGAGCATTAAGGGGGGCGGGGGGGGGGGCAGCTATTCTGCGGAGTGACAAATGGATTCCCTGTCCCCAGCCCTTTGAAGTTTGTGTGGCTTGGGGATGGGGGTGGGGGGAGATAGAAAAATCTTCAGCCCCTCCCGTCCCCTTCCCCCCGCCCCCACCCGCTCCTGCGGTGGCCCCGCACAACCCAGCCCATGCCAGTTGCCCCTCGGTCTTCTTTCATCCCATAGTCCAGCCTCAAACTTCAGGAAAACAGTAGTCAAAAAAGAAACAGCCCTTGCCGCCCCTCAGCCCCGGGCCAGCAACCTGAGCTGCAGAAGGAAAGCGGCAATTATGGTTTGGGGTTTCCCCCCTTCCTCTCCAGCTTCTCGACTCACTTTTCATCTTCCTCCTGCCTTTTGAGAGCTCCACATTGAGCTCTACGGGGCTGCGCTCCCAGCGTGGCTGGGGTGGGGGCGCCGCAAAGCCCCCCACCGCCTACGAGAGCCCGGGGTGGAGCGGCGGCCCCCAGGGGACAGGCTGGTGCCCCCTCTGCTAATCCGCAGCCCGCAACTCTGGCCCAGCGCCTGGCAGCTCACCCCTCGCCCAAGGAAATTTATTAGCAGAGGCCGCGGGGAGGGCCGGGTTCCTGAGACTTCATTACTCTTACAAAATATACTATGGGACGTTTACTAGTGTCCCATGAAGTGTGGCCATAAATCAGGGGCTCCAATGCGCTTGTCAGAAGAAATGAGGAAAGTGCGTTTGCTTGTGCCCCCGTGGCCTTGCTGGCCCTGGGAGCATCCTCGTCCCTGATCAGGAAACCTCGGCCACCCGCCTGGCCCTGGGGCTGGGCACAGGGCTGTCCCACATTCGCAACGAAAATGTCATCCAACTTCGAATGCACACATGTCACACACTGAATCTCTCCTGGAAATATTTCCTCTGCCAATTTTATTCTCCCGGCCCCAGGGACCTACAAAACTTCTGTGCAGCACGATCCTGTTTCTAATATATACACATGAAGGAAATACCCCCGAAGGTTAGCAGTGATTCTCGCTTGGTAGAACAATCACAGGTGACTTTTATTAACTTCTTTATACTTTCCCAGATTTTCCACACTCTAAAAAAAAAAAAAAAAAAAAAAAAGTGTGACTTTTTAAAAAAAAGTTTAAAAAACATTTAAAAAATATTACTTTTTTAAAATTTAAAAATCAATCGTGGGAAAATATAAATATGTTTTCTGTTATTTGTAAAAATGTAAAACTATAAACAACCTAAATGTGTAACAATCAGTCCATACTTCCGGGACAGAATATCACATACCCACTTAAAATATTGGTCATGAAGAGGTAGGAAATGCTTATGATTTAATGCTTAGCAAAAAAAAAAAAAAGCAGGCCATTTTTGTATACATATGCTGATTAGTAGTATATAAAAAATATACATAAAGAAATATTGTTGTATTAGGGTATGGGTTTCTGGAATCTTTTATTTTTTCTCTTGTTTTCCAATGTTGTGTAGTGTGGTTAGTCTTTTTGTAATTTTTAAGTGTTTGAAAAGAGAAAAGAAAATGCAAACTGGGTCTTGGCCTCCTGTGCCCCCCTCCCCCATCCCAGCTCAGTACCACACACGGGCTGTCGCCCCACATTAAAACGTGAGGCCCGGGGTGCCGTGGTGGGCTCAGTTCCGTTAGGACAATCTGGAACAATCAGCTCCACCAATGAACTTTTTATGGAGTTTTTGACTTTGAAGCTAAGTAATGAGACTTGGCCCCTGACCAGGCCTTGAAATGTTCAAAGTGGCCTCCCCATGTCAATTAGCTAATCTGAGGCATCTGAGGTAGGCCAGCGGGCAGGCGGGCTGTGAGGCCCTGGTTGATGGAGGATGGGAGAAGTAGGTGTCCCTGCCCAAAGCCAGAAGAAGAGTGTGAGGGTCCTGTTCCAGTCTATGGCCAGATCCGGGGATGGGTCTTTCTGAGACCCTCCCCCAACCCCTTCCTTCTGTCTTACATCTGGGCACAAGTTCAGAGAGGGAGGCAGGTGAAAGACATGGAATTTTCAGGTCTCCGAGTCAGTCTCTACCTAATCAAAGGCGTGCTTCTTTCAGAAAAGAGACTTCTCCTGTTTAAGGGAAACAGGCTGGTCTCGAGCACCCTCTAGCCGGCCAAGATGCCCACTACTAGGAAGTGTCACCCCATGCCTAAGCACAAGCAAGAGGTGCTGCCACTGGTCTCTGTTCAAAGAAAGTCCCCAGGAGTCTTCTAGATGCTGGCTACAAAGAAACTATCCCTCTCCCCCACCCCCAAGAATTTTAAAGTAAATTGACCATCCTCAGCAAAGGGATTCCTCAACCCTAGAAGAGGGGCATGTTTTGCTAGGTTTGGCTTTTGGGGGTTTGGTGGGCTTCTCCCCCTTATTTTTTTTTTGATAAAAAGCCACTCTGTCCTGACCTGGTGGGAGTGGGTGCAGGTGAACCTCTGGCCTACCCCAGATAATCCTTCCAGATAATCACTCCACATTTTGAATGGGTCTCACAGCATTTGGAATTTCAGTGGCTTTTGGTTTTGATTTTTTAAAAAGGGAAGGGAAAAAAACCTTTTGCCTTGAAGCAATGTGTTATCTTGGCAGCTATAAGGAGCCTGGCAATGTTGAGACCTTTACTGGCAGGGCTGAGAAGATGAGCTGGTTGGTTGTGGTGTGTTTAGAAGTTTAAAACAGCAAAAAGACATAGTGAGGGTTTGCAGGAGGGGGGCCTGGGCCTGGGATGGGGGTAGCAAGACCTCCAGATCTGCTCTCCTCTCTACTGTAAATTACAAGCCTGCTTTTTTAAATTTCCTTTCCCAGAACAATGTTATTCATTCAATTCCAAAGTAAACATTGGGCTTAGATACTCAACAGTTTCAGAGAACAAACTGTCCTCGTTGTCAGGGTCTTTACCTGTCAGGGGCCTGATTAAACCCATATATCTTCATGGCAGCCATCAGCAGCCACAGTGGGCTGAGGAGGGACCCCGCACCAGCCCCACCTTCTAGCAGCAGGGCAGCCCCTTGGTGCCAGTCCTGGGCATGCAGGGCTTTCTCTTTCACTGGATGGGTGACAGCATGGTGTCTGTTCAGGGCTCCAGCCTGATCTTGGACCTCTGGGGCAAGGAGGCAGATCTGAGGAAATGCTAAGGGGCTGGAGGGCACCAGGGACAGGGGAAGACAAGGGGAAGGTGGTGTTTGAACTGCCTTCAAAGTGATAGATGTTTGCACTAGAGGGGAGTTGATGTGGGGAGAAATGCAAGCCTCAGGTAGTAAATCATGCAATCCAGTGTCGGTGCTAAGAATATGGAAGGCCATTTCCTTTCTCCTAGGGGAAGGCTGCTTAATTAAGAGATCTCCGGGTACTTGACTTTGCTCATAAATTTTAGAGAGCTGTAAAACTCAGTGTGTGTCTGTCTGTGTGTCTGTATGTGCACATGAGACAAGGAGAGCAGAGTACATCCAGAGCTCTGTTCAGAGTGGCTTTCACGTGACCACTCACCTCAGCCCTTTTGTGACTCAGTTTCCCCATGTCGGGAATGGCAGGAGGCTGCCTCTCACATCCCTGCTTGCAGATAAATATCAGGACACTGACTTGAAAAGCACATGCGCCCTGATTGCTGAATGACTAGAAGGGCGCTGGGGCCCCCACAGGGGGAAAAGGGGAAGTATGACTTTGATCATGTTGCCAGTGTTGGGGCAGGGGTAGGGGGACACACAGCCCAGACCCAGGCTCCAAATGACAGTTGCAGATGTCAGGAGTAACAGCTTCCATCCTTCCCAGTCCGTGCCCCAGGGATGCCCCAGTTTCTCTGGTGAACCTTCCTCAGAAACCCGTGGCTGGGATCTAAAGTTTTCTGCTCTCCTCTAAGGAATATTTAATTTCCATAGTACAGGCTGTTTCCCTTCCAGAAGAACTTGTTTCCCCTCCTGGCTTATCTGATTGTGGGCATCTCCGAGAGCAACTTGTCACCTATCATTTTCCACAGAAGTGAACATTAGCAGTTGTGGAGCTGTGAGTGGGGCTCCTAAGGAGCCCGTGATGTTGACACAGGGGGCTGGGGGGAGAAAGGCAAACTCAATGCAGGAGGCCAAGGAAAGGAAAAGCAGTCGATCCTAGAACAGCACCAGCCAAGTCAAGGTTTTCCTAGTGGAAAGAAGGTACTCTTGTGTGGCACTTTCCATCCATAATGCACCTTAACTCTCCGTAAGGCTTGGTTTCTGCAAGGTCCCAGTGAATGGGTAGGCTGTGATTATGACTTCGTGTTGCAAAAAGGACAGCTCAGCCGAGAAAGGGCAAGTGGCCTGTCCTGGTAGGTCACACTGCCAGAGATCAGTAAATCCAATCCTCAAAACCACTTCTTCCAGGTTCTCATCACGTTGGGTCAGCCAGTATAGGCACAGCACACAGAGAGCTACAGCTCAGAGGGGCTAGGGAGACACCTTGCATCTTCATGTCAGGATCACTCACTAATGGCATGGGAAGACGTTATGTGACAGATGTGTGGGAGGTGCTCTGACTTCTGTGCCTCCAATCAATGCCCTTGACTTAGGCACTATCCATGGTGATGGTGTCCAGCGTCTGGTATGGTTTGGGGGCACTCTAGGCCTGCTTTGTTCTTGTAAGCTCTAGATTTCATTTGATAGTGAGCACTGGTGAGGATCAAATTTGATGATGTCTGTGAACATACAGGCATGAAATGAGCTCTCAAGACACATTGGTTCCATTCTTCCAGAAAATTGGAATATGCATTTGAGCACATTCAACTGGCAGGCCGGACGCCTTGGCTCACGCCTGTAATCCCAGCACTTTGGGAGGCCGAGGTGGGTGGATCACCTGAGGTCAGGAGCTCAAAACCAGCCTGGCCAAGATGGCGAAACTCTGTCTCCACTAAAAATACAAAAATTAGCTGGCCGTGGTGGCACGTGACTGTAATCCCAGCTACTTGGGAGGCTGAGGCAGGAGAATCACTCGAACCCAGGATGGGGAGGTTGCAGTGAGGCGAGATTGCACTACTGCACTCCGGCCTGGGCAACAGAGTAAGACTGTCTCAAAAAAAAAAAAAAAAATGCAACTGGCATGCTGCAGTTCTACCTCAAGTTGAACCTGTTGAGAACCTGTTGAATGCTAGAGCCAGGTTTGTTTATGGGGCTCCTTCCCTCCAAGATGACAATGTCAAAGATATGGAGAGTGGAGATAAGGAAGCAGGGGAGAAGTCTGGTGCTGCAGGAAGTGCTCTGAGGGCTCCAAGGTATTCCAGCCCCTAAGCACGCTCCCCCTGGGTCCATGGTTCCATCAGATCATTGCGGAGATTTTAATTTTTTTCTTATCTATTTTTTTCATAATAAATATGCATTGCTTATATAATACCTGAAATAATAAAATGTTAAGAGAAGATTTACGTTATATGCCCTAGCACATAAGACCCCTATTTCTTTTCCTTGCCACAGTTACTGAGGTGCATTATAAGGTAAATCAACTTTATGAAAACTCCTTTTAAGAGACAAGCCCTTCTGAAGGATTGCTGTTACATGGTTCAGTGAACAAACATATACTGACCATCTCACATGTGTCAGGCACTGTGCCAAGTGCTGGTAACACAGGCATGAGGAAGTCACTCTCCCTGACAGCACCACACAGCTGCACATGTTCCTTGCACCTTCTGCCTCTAGGATGTGTGGGAGACTCAAGACCCACACCAAATTCCTGCCTGGCCAACAAAATGTGGTGGAAAGAGCCCTGGACCAAGGAGTCAGAGAAGGGATGTTGTAGACCTCACTCTGTGTGACTTTGGGAAAACCTCTACCCCTCTCTGGATCTCAGTTTCCCCCTCTGCACAACAAGGGTTTGGCCTATAGAATTCCCAATTTCCCTCCAGCTGTGTGGTCTTGTGATCCTTACCCCCTCTTGCCCAGATCTGGTCCTGGAACCCCCTCATCTTCCATGGAGTACTGACCAAGTCTAGGGTTCCCCTGAGCATCCCTCACTCCACTTGTCTGTGCCAATGACTTGGGTAGTGTGTCTGGCTTTCCTGGCATGGGCTGGGTCTGGGTCTAGAACAAATGGCATTTCCAGAAGGCAAGGGGTGGGCTTGTAGTTGCCCCCCTGCCCCCAGGCCCTCCTTTCTCTCTCCACCCCACCATGCAGAATGAAGGAAGAACCCAGGTGAAAAGCAATATAAAGAAGACCCGAAACACTCCCAACTTTAAAGGAAATATGAATCAAAAAGGCAGAGGAGGAGAGGAGTCCAAAGGCAACACACAGGTCTTTGCCGAGTGTGGAAAAATAGGCCACAAAGTTTCAACCAGACATCATGCCCAGTCTTCTGTATCTGGATGAGCGATGCCTGCTCTGAGCTAATATTATACCCCCTAATATTTAGCACAGTGTCCCTTAGGATTTACAGCCAAATTCAATGTATCTAGAGATCAGTGTGCGTGAAAAGGTCTCTGCCCTGGAACTCGTGGTTCGGGTCCGTCTACTACCATGAGGGTGATGTAGAGCACATCCCGCCTCTCTGATTCACCTTTTGCACATGGAGGGAGGCCTCCACATCTGCCCTGCATGGACCTCCCAAGTTCTTCCAGCCCAGACTGCTGGGACATGCAGGACAGGACCCTGCAGGTGAGGCTGGCTCTGGTGGCACAGCTTCCTTAGGGAGTGGGGCAGCCATCCCGGCTGGACTCCAACATGCTGACCAGCCACCACGCGGCACAGGGGGGTGTGGTTCATGGCTCTGCTGGCTTCTACACTGCATATTTTAGAGGCCGCCCTGAAAACTTTTGCAGCAGCCAGCATCCCAACTCCCTCTCTTCCTCTGATCTCAGTGAAAACAAGTTGGCCACATCAAAATGCTTGTGAGGGAGATTTAAGGCTCTGTGTGGGCCTGGCTACTTCCCGGAGGCCCAGCTGCCCGGTTGATTTCCTATGGCTCAATTTGCCACAGACAGCCCAGCTTGCGCCTTCTGTCCCCACAGTTATTAGCACTGCCTCCTTTCACACTCAAGTGTGACTGAATTCGGAAGATAAGTGTATGGTGACCTGCCCATGGGGCAGAGTGGCCTTCCCAGGAACAGGAGTTTGTACCAAGTTCAGGGACACAGACCCACCTCAGGCCAAAATATGAGTAAAAGTTGGGGCCTTTGGGATACAGCCACCTCATTTACAGCCACCCAATCAGAGGCAGTGTTTCACCTCCTTCCTAGTGATGGGTATCTCTCAATTTACTCATCCCCACCTCCTAGACCAGTGGTTCTCAGTGTGGTCCCAGCAGCAGCAACACCTGGAAACCTGTTAGAAATGCACATTCTCAGGCCCCACTGCAGCCCTACTAGACTGGGAACTCAGGGGTGGGGCCCAGCAATGTGGGTTTTCACAAACCTTCTGGGGTGTTCTGATGCTGCTCGATGCTGAGAACCACTGCCCTAGACTGTCCCCAGTGCTAGAGCTGACCCAGAAATTCCCCCAGACCTGTGCCTCCTCCACCTCCTATTAGAGATAGAGAAGCTGAGGGCCATCGGAGGGCACGCTGTGCCCTGAATTCACACAGAGGTGATGCCTGCCCCCAACCTGTACTGCATCCAGCAATCTACTTTCTGGCCCTCAGGAATAAGGTATCAGACTGGTCAGTCTTAGCGAGGCACTTTCTCCTCTGGGCTTCAGTTTCTTCATCTGTACAACTGAGGGATTTGCTTAGATGGCCTTTCAGGTCTGGCATTCTCAAATGCTATGCCAAATGGTATGTCCATAAATCCTCCTCCAGACAACATCCACCTTTCTGTGGGAGCCTTGGTGACAGCAAAGAGAAGGCTCAGGCCATGACCAGAAAAGGGTCTTCTGGTGACCCCTCAACCATCTTAGAATCAGACTCTTAAAATTAAAAGAGATAGCCAGGTGCGTTGGCTCACGCCTATAGATCCAGCTACTCAGGAGGCTGAGGTGGGAAGAGCGCTTGAGCCCAGAAGTCCAAGGAGCCCACGGCTGCAGTGAGCCGTGATTGTGTCACTGCACTCCAGACAGGGTGATAGAGGAAGACCCTGTCTAGAAAAAAAAAAAAAAAGGCTTTAAGGCAGTTTGTCAGCCTCAGGACCACTGACATCTTATGCACTTTGTTGTGGGCTGTCCTGTTCGTTGTAGGATGTTTAGCAGTGTCCCTGGCCTCTACCCACCAGATGCCAGTAGCACTCCCACATGCTTCCCTTGGATTCCCCCTCTTCTCCCAGGGCAGGAATCTCCTGCGCTGCTGGCACCATTTACAGGCATCAGCAGGATCGCTCATTGCCTCAGGAGTTCCACCAGGGCGGCCTTCACCCTGGCCCACCCTGCAAGAACTTTCACCCAATCCAGTTCACAATCAAGGGTGGGGTTAGCCTGCCTTTGCCACTTCCTAAGTATGTGACTTTGTACAAGTTACTCAACCTCTCTGAGCCTCACTTTTCTCATCCATAAAACAGGAACCATGACACCCACCTCACTGGGATGATTGTGTGGCATAGATGGGATGCGCGTGAGGCGCCTGTCCAGTTGGCACTCAACAATGTCAGAATTCAGAGAAAATGGGAATCGTGCTGCTGTTTATTATTTTTTTCTTTTCTTCTGTCTCCAAATTACAATTCCATCTTCAACCCACTGGGGTAGATTTGCCTCAGGAGAGGTTCCATTTGTCTTGTTCAGATTTTCTTTCCCAGTGAGCATAGCTGCCTATTACCATTGGTGCAGGTAATGCTGGAAGGACATTTCCGAGCAGCTTCGGGTGTGGAGGAGAATTGAGTTCTGTGGCTACAACTGGCTCAGCCTAAGGAAACAGGGGAACCCAGACCACAGACTCGGGGCCTCTGGGTCAACCAGGACATGAAGAAAGGCCCTGCCCCTGAGTGGAATGGAGGACCAGGACCTGGACAGACATGAGATGTCATTTTTAGCAGGAGCCACCTCTACTCGGCTCCAGGTGGTTGTGTGGACATAGGGTAAGTGTGGTTCCCAGTCACTCACGAGAAGCTGAAAACCTGGATTTTTAGAAAGTGAAATTCCCAGATTTTTTAAAACAGTGTGTCAATTTGAAGTTTCTGGTAGAGAGAGAGAGAGACCCTAAAATAACTCAGTAACTCAGTATTTACTCAAAACAATTCTATGAAATAGGTACTATGATTATCCCAGTTGAGGAAACAGAGGCACAGAGAGGTTAAATAATATCCCAAAGACAAAAAAGTAGAAGTGGATTGGAGGAAGAGCCCAGCACAGGAGGGGTTAAAGGGGGAACTATAGGCCCTTGTGTTGAATAAGAGGAGACAGAGCCCAATTTTTCTATCATAACAATAAATTGGCCCCAAATTAAGCCAATACCCAGTTCTTATTGCTTCTGCAGAGAATTAATAAACCATGGCATCTTCTGAAAATGGGGAAGCCAGCAGCTCAGAGAGATGTCAGAAAGCTTTTTACGGGGCTGGAGATGTTCTGCCTTAGCAAGTAAAATGGTTGTGATGGTTATGCCACAAACATGCAGAGAGGGGGAAACGGCATGGGCTGCCCTGCCTGTGCCCATTCCTGGCTCAGTTCAGAAGTGTGCCCACCATGAGGAGCAAATATCTGCAGTAGCCGGCTCTCGGGGCGTTAATGGCTGTGGCCTCCCAGAGAACACTCCGGAATATTTTAGGTTTATATTTTGCAGATGGTGTGCCAAGTCATTCCCTCATTCGGCCTATTAGATGGTTAGTTTCCTTTTCCTAGTTAAAGGATTAACTAGAATTATCAGTAATCATGAGCTTCCCCCCGAGGACGGGTCAAAGGAAATTAATGGAAACTGCAGCAATAGAGACATGGGTTAGTTCCACAGAAGGAATTCCTGACTGGGAGAATTAGCCCTGGCACAGGTTCCAAGGGGGTGGAATTAGAACCCATCGTGGAACCTAGGCAGAGCTGGAAACCCCTGCAGGCTCTGGCTCAGAATGGAGGTTACAGGCAAAAAAGCAGAGTTAGGCGGTGAGGTGGGTTAAATACTTCACCATAAAAAGTTCCAGAAACTTGGATCTGAATGGGGGCCTTTGAAATATTTCAGCCTGACCTTTTCATGTACAGATGAGAAAACTGTGATCCAGACCTGGCCAGTGACTTGCTAAGGGTCACACAGCTAAGTAACAGCAAAGGTAGAACGCAGGGCTCCAGTCCCTGCCATGATTCCCCAACTTGGATCTAGTAATGCTCTCTATAGATGAGACGACAGCCTTCTCAGCTTCTCGGTCCATGGGACTATAAAATGGAATGTTGGGCTTGGCACATCACAATGCAATTGTCTATTTACAAGTTTATTCCCAGTCTCCAATGGAGGTGAATGCCCCAAGGATGGGGACCATGACTTCCTCATCTTTGTCACTGGGTACCTTCCACAAGGCCTGACACATAGCAGATCTTCAGTAAGTATAGAGGGATTGGGTGAAGACAACTTTGAAGATCCTGAGACGTAGTTCCTCTGTGTATACAATCCCCGTGATGTGCTTGACAAGATGTCCCTGTACCACAAGATGGTATCATTATTGTAATCAGAGTAGATAAGAAACCTGGGTTCTGGGAGCTGCATCAGATATGGCAAATACTGTTTGCTAAGTCTAGGTGATGGGTATATGGGCATTCGTTAGGCTATTCATTATATTTAAAAGTATTTATTATACTTTTCTGTTAGTTTAAATAGTTTCATAACAAACAGTCAAAAAAATAGCAACCTCAAGTTTAGTCTAAAAATGCTCATGCTCATGATGCTTGATTCTAGAACATAACCACATCATTAGATGTCATTATTTATAACCGTATCATTCAGCAGTTGTCTATTGTTGCTAATAGAATGTTCCAGATTCTTCGGTGGCACAACACTGAAGAAGACTTAGCCAGTGCCCTTAAGAAACTTGAAGAGAAATGAGACTAAAGCTGACATTGCCACAAAACAAGGCAGATGTGGCTGCAGGGGAGATGTGGGGAGAGCTGGGGTGGCTGAGGCTCAGCCGCACTCTGCAGGTTCTTCCACTGACCCTACCCTCTGACCAGCTCAGCCAACATTAACCCACTGCACAAACACGGTCACACCACAGGCACGTTTAGAGGCACCAAAGGCTTGCTAATGACCAGGGTCCCCCAACCTGAGGAGAGCTTGGGGCCCCTTGCCTCTAGCCTTCTTCATTTCCTGCTATGGAATATTTGCACATGTGACCTATAAGGTTTAAGTGAAACAAAAAGGAAAATGAGCCACAAAAGGGCAGCCTGGGGCATGTGTGTATGAAAGGAGACATGCAGGATCATTGCCGTGGGGACTTGTTTTGGGAGAGGGAAGACGGCACATTTATGGACTGCTGATGTGGTTACAAATGCCACTGCCAGCAGCATGGCATCACAAGTCCAGGGCCATGGCTGATGCACATATTTGTAAGCTCCAGGGTACAGCATGAGAGCACAGAAAAGCACCAGATTTGGCATCAGACAGCACCGGATTCAAATCTGAGCTCTACCACTTACTGGCAGTGTTCAGCAAGATGCTTAGCCTCACTTCTCCCATTTGTAAAATGGGGGTTAACAATGAGTATTTCACAAGGCTCATCTATGAATTTAATAAGATTCTATTGCACATAGAGTATGCAGCACAGCCTGGCATGGAGTAGGTGCTCAGTAAATGCTTCCTTACCCACCCATTCTTGCCTCTTTGCAAGGACAACTGGTTGAGGTTATAAATACATGGAAGAGTGTGGGTGCCTGCACAGTTTTTGTTTGTTTTGGCTCAAAATAGACACCCAAACCATCTTCTGTAGGTTTTCACATTGAGTCCTGTGTGCTAACAACCTTCCCTCTGTGGAGGCACAGTCTTGGGCAAATGCTCAAATAGGTCAATTGGTGGTGATACCTCCTGATTTAGTTTGAGTTCCTGCAAAGACTAACCTGGAGCAAGGATTCAAGAATGCATCATTTATTTGGGAGGCAACCCCAGTAAACACTAGCAAGGAAGTGAGACATCGAAGGAAATGAAGCCAATGAAGGAAGTGTCAATATGCAGGTTACCGCTGCGGGCAACTGGTTAACAACTAGGGGCTCAACCTTACAGGGGAATTCTGGGAGACAGTGTAGAACATACCTCAGAATTACCTACCTTATGGGCAAGGAAGCTGGGGTATTTATCCTCCAACTCCCATCTATCAATGGCTGAGGGCTGCTCCTGGTCATGAACTGGGAATTTTCAATCCACTGTGCAGGCATGCTAAGAAAGAACCTTCAGGCCCTCAGTTGTCAGTGCTTTCAGTACAAAGTGGTAAAATGCTCTTAGCACATATTGAAATAAGGACAAGGAGTATTAACAGGTACCAACAGCACCTGCTATATTCCCTTACATGGAATTCCTTCTTAACGCAGTCATTTTAGCTTGGGTTTTGGTGGCTTTGGGTCTCTATTTACATGCATTTCCAGCCTGAGTTTTCTCATAATCTCCTAAAATCTTTCAGCTCCAAATGAGTATGTAGTATGATCTACCAAGACGTGCACAATATGGATTGAGACTGTAAAATCATTTAGAGGAGCATCTTTCTTATATTTCTCTTTTGCTGTGACTTTGGGGTAGTGGCATGCCCTCTCTAGCCTTTTCTTCTTCACCTATAATATCAGGAGGTTTGCTATGATGGCCTCAAGGCTCCCCAGTCTGTGATTTTTATGCTGTCAGCTACCACCCAAAATCCCTGGTGCTGAGTGGAGTGCATGTCAGGTATTCATAAAGGTTCATGAACTAAACAGACACCCACACTGCTCCAAGACAGAGGTTCTTTTACTCCTCCAACTGGTGGAGTAATAGACCCAGGCCTCCTCCAGGAGAGATGGCAGGCACTAGACAACTGGCAGGCAAGATGGTGGCCATCAGAAGCTGAACAGAGGAGCACTGAATTCTGGGAAAGGAAGCTGAGGGCAGAAATACCAAAGTAAATCTGTGTGGAGAGAACCCCCAGACGCCACAAACCCACCCCACTGCCTTTCAATAAGGCCGCACTTAAGTCCTTCAGATGAAAACTCCATAAGCGACTTTTAAAGACCTACAGAGAACTAGGTAACTCTTGACCCTCCCACTGTAAACCACCAAGCAAGCCGTCCTGAAAAGTCAGAGAGAATGGAAACTGTTCTCTAGTTTCAAGCCAAAATATCCCAGTCTCAGCTAAATGGACAGTCCAAGTGACATGGGGCATGGGTTTCACCTAGAACCCTCCAGGAACTGTCTGCTGTCCTCGTTTAGGGCCAGGAGTTGCCCAGAGCCCCAGTCACTTAGTCTCTTTCTTTGGCTCCAGTCTCGCTGGAGATCATGAACAGCTGTTTGCTATTCTGGGAGGAGGAGCCTTTCATATACTTGACGACATTTTAAATCATCTCTTAATGATAGCTGGGAAGACTTCTTGTTACTGCTACCACATGGATAAAAAGCATGGGCCATCCGGTACTAATGTTAAATTCATCTGAGCCCTGGATGTGCAGGCATAGGGTAGAAATTGAACAAGTAGAATGGTCTTGTTTTTAACACTTTGGCTTCAGGCAAGGAGACTGTTAAAAAGCATATATTTCTTTAAAAAACTAAATTACTAGCAGCAGTCTAGTTGTGGGTGATAAAAAGATAGATGACTTTTATTTCTGTGTATTTGGCCATGAATAATTTTTATAACCAGGAAAAAAACCCAGACTAGAGTGCAGCGCCTTGATCATAGCTCAGTGCAGCCTCGAACTCCTGGGCTGACGCAATCCTCCCACCTCAATCTCCTGACTATAGGCATGCACCATCACATCTGGCTTATAGGCATGCACCATCACATCTGGCTAATTTAAAAAAAAATTTTTTTATAGAGGTAGGGTCTCACTATGTTACTTTAGGCTACTATCCAAACTCCTGACCTCAAGTGATCCTCCTGCCTTGGCCTCCCCAAATACTGGGATTACAGGCATGAGCCACTACACCCAGCCTGGGCTGGTTTTTGAGACAGTGGTGAGATACAGTAATAAGAGGGAGGCTGAAGGAGAAAAGTCAAGGAGGAAATGACTGAGATTTCCCTGGCATTGCTTAACAGAGCTGTCCCCAATCTTTTTGGCAGGATGGACTGGTTTCATGGAAGACAATTTTTCCACTGCTGGGGAAGATGAGGGATGGTTTGGGGATGAAGCTCTTCCACCTCAGATCACCAGGCATTAGATTCTCATAAGGAGTGCGCAACCTAGATCCCTCGCACGCGCAGTTCACAATAAGGTTCACGTTCCTATGAGAATCTAATGCCACCGCTGATCTCACAGGACGTGGAGCTCAGGCAGTAATGCACCACCTGCTGTGAGGCCTGGTTCCTGCCATGGTGGGGGTGGGGGTGGGGGGTGGGGTGGTGGGGTTGGGGACCCCTGGCCTAACACATAACAGGCATGCTACCATGATGTGGAGAATGCTGTTACTTGCCCAGTTGGTCTTAAAGAGCTTCACTTTATCTCAAGGAAACAGTAGTTGGCAGATAGACACAACATCTCCTACAAAAACTTCAGAAGGAACAGTGTGTCAGAGCTTTGTTGAATCTTACACCAAGTTAAAAGTATCTTTGGCTTTTGGAGTATGACTGAGGTTGGAAGGGGATGCCTTCACTTACCTGGGATGGAAGGAATTCCCAAACATGAATGCACTCACCAAAAAAGCATAAATGTTGGGGAAGAGTTGATAATAAAATGTTAAGTGAAAAAAGCAAGCCATACAATACTATATATTCTGTGAGCACATGCATGAAAATTCTGTATTTATAGAGATAAGGGCTCAAAAGATCAAAATAGTTGCTGTGTTGAGTTAATGAATTATAGGCAAGTTTTTTCAAAAAGTTCTTAATGTAACTGTGGTCCATTCAGGGTTTTTTAATGCAACATTTTATTATGAAAATTATCAAACCTACAGCAAAATTGAAAGAATTTTACACTGACCACCCATTTACCTGATACATAGACTCTGCCTTTAATGCTGTTCAGTTTTTAAACTATTTTAAAGTGTTTTAAGCTTTTGTTTTCTATATTTGGCATGTACATTAAGTATAAACTATAAAGGCTTAATTACACAATGAACACTTTAAGAATCAGATCATCATCTGTAATACCAGCAATTTGCAAGGCCGAGGCAGGAGAATGATATGCCTCCATGTTTTGTCCACTCTCCTATTGAGGGATATTGGAGGTTCCTGTCTTTTGCTATTTTAAACAATATGCTGTCAGATGTAGGTCTCTTGGTGCAGATGCACAGGAGATTCTCTAGAGCACAGGTTGCTCAGGTTTTTAAAACAAAAATTTTTAATGAGAGGGGAAAGAAAAAGCAACAGCAAAAGGTGGGAGTGTTAACACTTTTCCATTTTGCAAATGGCAGGGTGCAAGAGATTCAGACTCTTTGTGCTCTCCTTCAGCAAGGCACAGGTTGAACTCAGGAAAAGTAAGTCAGAGATTAAATAAATGTCTTCATATAAAGGTGTGAGTTTACAAAGAAGAATCAAATGAGGAACCCAAGCAACTGTTGCTTTCACATAACTTGGAGGTTTCTAAGGCAGTGTTTCTCAATGTCAAGATGTCACGTTTCAAAAGACAACCTGAATTCTCAGATGATTTCAATGCAAGATTAATTTTCACTTGCCTCCATTTTACAAATAAATAAATGCCATACTGTGATCTTGTTCTCTTTTTTACTGGAGGGAGGCATGTCTTGGATTCAAAGAAATAATGACAAGGTATTTCCACTCTTCCTAAGACTGGTAACACCAGTGTACAGCCCTGGAAGGAAAGATATAAAGCAGGAGAAATAAGGCTACTGGGGACAGATTTCGACTTCAGCAAACTAAGGAATAACATTAATTATGTAATTTATCCTACTAGGTTCCTGGTGGGATCCTTCTTGTTAGCTTTGACCACAAGCAAGAAATTGTGGCCTTGATGAAATGTGTTTTATTTTCAATTTATCAGTGGTAATAGAGGGAATCTGGTAACCCATCTCTTGACAGGTTAAGAAAGAAATGGAGAGATAGTCCTGAACAGCTTTGGAGTCGTTGGCTCATGGACAAATTGGATGAAGTGTTGGGAGAAGTCTGGGGGCCAGTCTGCCTTGGTTTTGCGGACAGAAAGAAGAGTGGGATGGATCTTAGTGCTGTCCTTAGAGGGCCAGGACAACAACTGGCCTCTGACCAAGAGCAGAGGAAGAACATCCAGGTGGCTGAGCTCCTCGCCTTGAAAATGTAAAGATGACCAGCTGCTCAGGAGTTAGTGGAAGTCACAATTTGTAATTCAATGATGAAAGAATGAGGCTTTATCAAGTTAAAACAAAAGTGGATGCATTGTTCACTTTTGCTGCTACTAATGGGGCATTTCCAGGTGCCATCCACTGTGCCAGGGCTTGGCATGCTTTGCCTCCTTATTCCTCAGGGCAAGCTGGTAAGGTGGGTGGAGCTACCAGTCAGCTTCTTGGTAGTGACAGAAACCAACTCTGGGTGGTTTCAGCACAAAAGCAATTTACTAAGAGGATATTGGGCATCTCAGAGAATGACAGGGAGTGTTCAGAAAATGAGCAGGAGACAGGGGAAGCCAAGACCTGGTTCTAAATCATAACACCACAACTGCCACTGCCACCACCACTGCCACCACTGCTGCTGCTAAACAAATTCTCCACCATCCTCATGTCTCTGTATCATGTGTCTCAGGTTCAGAGTCCTGGACAGAAGAGTAGGCTTAGTTGAGCCTGGGTTGTGTGCCCATGCCCTGGGCCAGCAAGGCAAATGTCCCCTAACGTAGGGATTATTGTTATGTGAACCCCAAATATCTGAGACAGGTTTCAGTTAATTTAGAAAGTTTATTTTGCCAAGGTTGAGGATGCGCACCCGTGACACAGCCTCAGGCGGTCCTGACAACATGTGTCCAAGGTGGTAGGGGCACAGCTTGGTTTTATACATTTAGGGAGACAGGAGACATCAATCAATATGTGTAAGATGTACATTGGTTCAGTCTGGAAAGGTGGGACAACTCGAGGTGAAGATGGGACTGCTCGAAGCGGGGAGGGGGCTTCCAGGTCAAAGGTAGATAAGAGACAAACAGTTGCATTCTTTTGTCAGCCTCTCCAAATGAGGCAGTCAGTTATGTGTTTATCTCAGTGAGCAGTGAGGTGGCTTTGACTAGAATGGGAGGCAGGTTTGCCCTAAGCAGTTTCCAGCTTGACTTTTCCCTTTAGCTTAGTGATTTGGGGGCCCCAAGGTTGATTATCCTTTCACAGTTATCCCCCTTTACAGATGAGGTCTTCTGACATGTCCTGTCCCTGATGCACCGTGACTGCTGTATCTTCTCACAATTAATATCTGCATTTGGCTAGCTCTAGCAAGGAAAAACTAAAATGCCCCAAAATTAGAATAAAGCAGTGTGTAAACTGTAATAGCTAACATTTTATGGTGCTTCACAGAATGCATTAACCCATTTGTTTCACTTAACCACTACCAAAAATTCTTGCATCAACCCTGGTAGGTGAAGAGGGAGGCATTTTTGTCATCCCAAAACTGAACCCAAGTGAACTCCATGACTTACCTGTAAGTAAAGGCACAATCTAGATATTCTGACCACAGTTTTCATGCTAGACCATGAGATTGTTTAAGTACTTGGCCGATTTTCTCTTGGTATAATGCTTCATTAAATGTTTTTAAAGGTTATGAAAGCGAGACTTCTCAAACTTTAATGTTCACACTAGTCACCTGGGGATCTTTATAAAATGCAAGTTCTAAATCAGTTGATCTGGGGTGGGGCCTGAATCTGCATTTTATTTTATTTTATTTTATTTTATTTGAAACAGAGTCTCACGGGTGCCCAGGCTGGAGTGCAATGGTATGATCATGGTTCACTGCAGCCTTGACCTCCCGGGCTCAAGCAATCCTCCCACCTGAACCTCCTGAGTATCTAGGACTACAGGTGTGCACCACCACGCCTGGCTAATTTTTTTTTCTTTTTGTAGACACAGGGTCTTGCTATGTTGCCCAAGCTGATCTCAAACAACTGGGCTCAAGCAATCCTTCTACCTTGGCCTCCCAAAGTGCTATGATTACAGTTGTGAGCCACCATGCCCAGCCCAAATGTGCATTTCCAACCAGTTCCCAGGAAATGCTGATGCTGCTGTCCAGGAACTACACTTTGAGTAGCAAAAGTTTAGAAGGTTGGTAGTAAGGATTAAGAGCGATCAATGTTTCGTTGTTGTTTTGAGGTGGAATCTCTGTCTCTGTCACCCAGGCTGGAATGCAGTGGCACGATCTCGACTCACTGCAACCTCTGCCTCCCAGGTTCAAGCTATTCTCCTGCCTCAGCCTCCTGAGTAGCTGGGTTTACAGGCATGTGCCACATGCCTGGCTAATCTTTGTATTTTTAGTAGAGACGAAATTTCACCATGTTGGCCAGACTGGTCTTGAATTTCTGACCTCAACTGACCCACCCGCCTCGGCCTCTCAAAATGCTGGGATTAAAGGCGTGAGCCACTGCATCCAGCCAGCAATCAATATTCCTAATCTGTATCACACAACTGCAATATTTTAATAACTTGGTGAAGAATTGTGGAGAATTTTCATTTTTTCCATGCTTCGACCTTTTGCGTTATTTCTTTATCAGGTTTAAAGGACAAGGTTTCAGGGAGAAAGGTGGTGAACAGATGAAGTGGTTTGGGCTCAATTTGGGTTCTGCTCTAGACAGAGGCACACACAGAGGGGGGTACACAGCTTGACGAGCAGACCAGGTTGGAAACAGCACCACTGCTCAGAAATCTGCCAGTCATTCAAACAGGAATTCCACAGATAATACATCTCAGCATGCAGCCCAGGAAATTCAATTCTCTCCTTTCAAAAGTAAGCTCTCCTGAAGTTTATAAACATCCCATATCCCTGCATGGAGAAACACAAAGAAGAAAAGACCTTCACAATGAGAACTTGGAAGCCACACAGCGCTGAGGGCCGCAGCCGAGTTTGCAGCAGCAGCCAAGACGAATCAACAAGGCCACTAGACCCAACTGGCAAGAAACAAGACCCGAGTGCCAGGTCACAGAGAGCCCAGTGGAGTGGAAGGTGAGGGAGCAGATTGGGATAGTTGATGCGAAGATTAAAACAACTGAAAAACCTAAAGAAAACAAAGCAGGGGGTTAATAAAGCAACTGTCTGCCTCCTCATGAAAGTAAACAAAGACAAAGGCGAAAAGAAGCAAAGAGAAACCAGATGCAAGGTTTGCCTTAAACCCCAGCGGTGGTGGCCGAGACGGGCAGAGCAGGGCGTTGGAACAGATGAAAGCTTCGGGAAGAAATTGGGAGTGAGAAGGAGAGTAAATACAGTAACCAGAGGGACATCAAATGGCGGCCGGGGGAGTCGGCGCCTCCGCCTCGAGTTTTGATTAGCAAAGGGGAGTTGGCACTAACCAGCGCTCGACAGACATATTTGGGGACAATTATTAGAAAGCTATTTTTGTGGTTTCTTTTGTCTCTCTGAGCCACAAGCTGAAGCTGCCCATATGTTAATCTGTTTTGGAGTCTGAGAAAACAACACTAATTTCATCAAAACCCTTGAGCTTTTAAAAATGAGAAAACTCCCTTCCAAAGCTTCCACAAGTTGTTTTGGTCCTTTTTGAAAGTATGTATTTCTTTTCAAAAGGGTATTACTCAGCAGTTTGGTTTATTTTTCTCCTCTCTCCAAAGTATGCCTGTGTTTATACATGGAAGTAAGAAAACATGAATGGAAATGTTTAAGCCCCTAAATGGTAGCCTTTAGGGGGCAGGGGTGAGGGGCTTGCCAGTTCTCACCCTTGGGTACAATTTTGTCCATTTCAGAAATGCTACTCCTTCCCCTGCAAAACTTGGCCTCCTCGAAGCTCTCCTTCTCTCCATGTGACCCTCACCCTGCCCTACTTCTTGAAGTGTGAAAGGGTCCTCCCTCTCTCCCTGGGCCTTGGTCTTCCCTCCCACTTACTGCCCCTCTCCCCTGGTTACTGCTAACCAGTGTTTTCATCATACTTCTTGCTGCATATTTAGGAAAGGTAGATTTGTGGGGTCACCCTCCTCATCCAAGCCCTATAAACTACATCAATGTCATTGTTTAATAGCTCCCAGACCCTACGACTGTAGGTCAGTACTGACGGGTATTATTGTCCTAGATACTTCCTCAAATTAAACTTTGGGCTCTTGTCTCAAGATGTCAAGGGAGAACAGGCCACCAGCATTGCCTGTAATGGCGTCATCCATCAGACTTCCCCTCATAAACTTTGATGGGTCCCCATCCAAGCCTCTGCTTATAACATTTGCTATGGCCTGAATGTGTCCCCCAAAATTCATGTGTTGGAAACTTAATCCCTATTGCAACAGTGTTGAGAGATGTTTAGGTCCCAATAGATTAATTCCTTTGTAAAAGAGCTTGACAGAAGGAGCTTGGTCCTCTTTCCTTCTGCCTTCCACCACATAAGGAAACAATGTTCCTCCAAGCTAGAATATGCATTCATAGTGCCATCTTGAAAGGACAGAGCAGCCCTCACCAGATACCAAAACCTTGATCTTGGACTTCCCAGCCTCTAGAACTGTGAGAAATAAACTCTGTTCTTTATAAGTTACCCAGTCTGTGGTATTCTGTTACAGCGGCACAAATGGGGTAAGACAGCATTGCTCTAACCCACCTGTGCTCACCTGCCTCTTATTCAAATCCTATCCATCCTCAAGGTCACCCTTAAGAACCAGCTGTCCCAGCTAGCCATTGTGGCCCAAGCTCCCCAAGACATGGCCCACTGGAGGTAAGTCCCAGGAGACCTTCCGGCTTTTGAAAAATCCAGAGCTCACTTCACGAAAGACCCACAGGTGTACCTGGACACTTTGATCTCAATGCTCCAATATAAAGAGCCTGACGTATATACCCTTGGGCTGCCTGCTACTTGCCTTTGGCCCATCAGGTAGGAGGCAGACTTGGCAGGGAGTCTTTCTGCATGTGACCTACTGATATTTGATCTTTTCATGGCTGATTACTGGGAAATGGGGGAAGAAGTTCTGCAGAATTAGCTTATCTCTGGGAAGACTGTCAGGTATGATTGTGATATGCACTCTTTTTTTTTTTCCTGCAATCACATCAGAGAGTGAAATAGCATGGTCTTTTAAGGCACACATGCAGAAGTGCAGCCGATTCATTTCCATTCTGTCTGTCCAGCACATCCTCCAGGAATTCTCCCATGACTCCAATCCCTATAGATGGCTCCTTTCTATAGATGTCTCCTAGATGTCTGTAGGATAGTCCTATAGATGTCTCCTAGAGCAGGCTTTGGCAAACTATTGTCCACATGCCAAACTTGGCCAAGCATCTGTTTTTCTAAATAAAGTTTTATTGAAACACACCCATGTTTATTGTTGTCTATGACTGCTTTTGTGCTATAACAGGCAAGCTGAGTAGTCACAACAAAGACTATCTGGCCCTTTAATAACAAGAGTTCTCCAACCCTCCCATATTTGTGCTTTGTGTAGTTACCTCACCTCTCCAATAAACATCTGAGAACTCTGAAGAGCCGGGACTGTCTATGTTATGTGTTCTATTGTTCATCTCCCCTTAGCATTTATAATAGTGCTAGTAATGACAAATGCTTATCCATTATTAAATAGCTGTGTCAGGATGCTTCCCCTTTAGGTAACAGAAATCCTTCTCCAGACTTGCTTAAATTATTGTGAAATTTATTGTTTCATAGAACAGGAAGTCCAGAAGTAGGGATCAAAATTGGTAGATTCAGCCACTCAACCCAGGTTCTTTTCATTTCTCTGCTCTGTCAGCTGCAGTGCTGGGTTCATCCTAATGCTGTTTCCCCTCATGGCCCCAACATGGCTGCCAACAGCACCTCGAACCACAGCTTTCGTGTTCACATCCAGCAAGATGGGAGAAGGGCAGGTGGGATGGGCCTCTCTTACTCAGAAGCTCTGAGCAAGCCTCTCTCCTTGATTTTCATTGGCCCAGATTGGCTTATACCTGCCTGGCATTAAGCCAATCTCTGGCAAGAGGGATGGAATTAGCATGACTGCCTTAGGCTGGTTAATCATTTGGGGTGTAATGGTATACCTCCCAGTATACTATGTTTTAAAATATTTCAAAACAAAAGTCAGATTATAATCACTGGAAATGTGGTGTACTTTGTACATCACCTGTTCTTCATGGCATTGAAACTGTTGTGAACATTCCCTTAGTGCTATGGTCCCAAACATACACAGGCTCTGCCCTCCCCAATTATACCTAAAATGACCCAAAACATATTCTCCATATATTATACATTTATATTCCAAACCAAAAATATCTGATTCTAATATATTCCAGAGCTTTTAATTTACTAAACCAGAGCTTTTTCCTAATACTTTCATTTCTAGACTTAACAGGACTCTTCTCCCCCATACCCCCAACTAATTGGAATTCTAAAGGGCCGGACAGTATTGAAGATCATGAAAAAATATCTGATACATCTACAAATGCGATGCCTACTTTAATACACTGCTAACTAGCTCAGACTTTCCTGGGAGAGGAGGGGAGGGGAAGGGAGGGGATCCTCCCAGAAAAGAAAAAGGGTAACCCCAGTATCACTTTGTCCCATTGCATAACAACATGAAGAAACACAGGGAGATGGCTTTAATTAAACTGCTGTCATGAATTCAGATTTGTGCCAAGAAAGTTGTGGCCAATTGTGAAAGCTCTATCCATACAAAGGATGGCAAGGCCTGGACCATGCATTCTGCTAAAGGAACAAGGACCCACAAATAGCAAGCCTGAGATGAGGAAATGGCAGCCCTTGCCAGAATGTGTTACACAAGGTGCTAAAAATCTACCCAGAGGCAGCCATCACCTGTCTCACCATCTTCAGGGGACCAGGGGCCACCCTGGCACAGGCCCAGGCTAAGCCGTGCTGAAGAGAAGGAGCTTGTATTTCCTGCATGTGCAGGAGGAGGGGAGAAAGGCTGTGCTGGTGTACACAGTAACATGTCAGTGGCAGCACCGAGGTGAATTATAGGTTGGAGACCTGACAGTGGTCTTCTCACAGGGAAAGGGCACAAGCCTCCTCTGAGAATCATCCCCCTCTCCCAGAAAAGCAATATGTCTGCCATCCCCATTGAGGCCCACTCCGGGGAGGGTGAAGAGTGCTATTAAATTATGTCACTTTGATATAAGGGCCTCTGTCTAAAAATTCAGTGTTGAATCATGGCATGCTTGACTTGAACAATATTGAGGTGAGCAGCCCACTTCCCCTGGGTAGGTCGGTCCAGGTCTGGACTCCTGTGCAATGATGACATTGTTGCTGACATAAATAATAAGTGTGATTTATTTGTTCAAGCCCCGTTTCCCAGTCAGGAGTGGTTTATGGGGCTGACTACCTGAAATTGCAAAGTGGAAAGTTTATGGGGCTGATTTATGAGGAAAGTGAAGGGCTACCTTTCTACACAGAAGACAACTAAATGCCTCCTAAGGCAAGGTCTCATTCCTCTCAGGCTGGTTTTCACCTCCCAGAGCCTGCCCTGCCTGTGAAGACAGGGAGTCACTGTGGAATCTTATTGGTGCCCCGTGCTCACCATGATTCCCTATTGTGGTTGCCAGTAGCTCAACTTGGGACGTCCCCACCACTGCCACATCACATATCGTACACCTGCCACCATTGTGCTGTCACCCCCGTTACAACCCTTGTCACCATCAGCATTGTCCTAGCCTTCACCATAACCTGCCACCTCCGTTATCATCCTTACTGTCAGCCCCTGTCAGCAATGAGATGGAGTAACAAAAACACAGATTTATTGAAGACAATTCACAGAGTGGGAGCGGGCTCAATAGCCTCTTCAATCAGGGTTTTTATTAAGCTAAAAAGAATCCAGCAACACCCTTTGGCGCTCCTCAAAGCCCTCCAACTGGCCACACCCCATGAAGGATTGTCCTGTGACCAATCAGAGGCTGACGTGACTTGTTATCATGGAAGCAAGGATGTGGCCTATGTGCTGCACCTGCTGCTCTCCTGCCTATACAAACTGGCTGCACCTGCTGTTCCCTTGCTCACGCCTCAACCCCTGATCACCTCAATTCCCTGTTCTCCTACCTCAGTACCATTCCTCCACCATCAAAACCTCCACCAGCTACTTTACTGCAGCCTTCACAACTCTCTGAGTCATTTTGGAGGGTAGTAAATTGTATTAGTCTGTTTTCATACTGCTATCATGAACTGACCAAGACTGGGTAATTTATAAAGGAAAGAGGTTCAATTGACTCACAGTTCAGCACGGCTGGGGAGGCCTCAGGAGACTTACAATCATGGGGGAAGGCGAAGAGGAAGCAAGATACCTTCTTCACGAGGCAGCAGGAAGGAGAAGTGCTGCGCAAAGTGGTAAAGAGCCCTTTATAAAACCATCAGATCTCGTGAGAACTCACTCCCTATCGTGAGAACAGCATGGGGCAAACTGTTTCCATGATTCAATTACCTCCACCTGGTCTCTCCCTTGACACATGGGGATTATGGGGATTATAATTCAAGATGAGATTTGGGTGGGGACACAAAGCCTAACCATATTGTAAATCATCTGGCCTTCTCCAGCATGGCTGAGCTGAGAATGGAGGGGACTCATGTGCTCAGAAGCAGCCACACGTGTTTCAGCCTCATTTCTGAATGAATCCACCAACCTTCACAACACTACCCACCCACTCACCATTCCTGGAATCCCGGGGATGAAAATCTTATGTTTTTTATTGCATTTGTGTCCACAGAGGCTCCAGGACACAAGGGTGCACACTCCTAGTGGGTCTCCCATGTTGCTAAGGTCTTATTAGTCCTGGGCCTACAGACCTCCCTAAGTGGTACATTCCTGACTTTTTAGGCACCATCTCTTTGCTGCCAGCCCAGGTCATTAACTCTCTAAAGCCTAATAATGTCACGGATATACCGAAGGCCTGTCTGCTTTCTAAGAAGAAAGGGAGCTCTTTCTTCTTGGGGATTACTAAAGTTAAAAGAAGCTACCCACCCTCATTACCAATGTTCTCATCACCAGTGTCACCGCCACAATCATGACCTCATCTTACCATCATCACCATCAACTCTGACATCATTCTGCATTCAGCAAGAAAGGTTAAGTATGAAGTTGCACAGGGTACTAGGTACCGCCTAGAAAACTTCAGAACCCTAGTTTCTTTTTTTTTTTTTATTTTAAGATGGAGTCTCGCTCTGTCGCCCAGGCTGGAGTGCAGTGGTATCTCAGCTCACTGCAACTTCCACCTCCCAGGTTTAAGCAATTCTCCTGCCTCAGCCTCCCGAGTAGCTGGGACTACAGGCATGTGCCAAAATGCCAGGCTAATTTTTTTATATTTTTAGTAGAGACGAGGTTTCACCATGTTAGCCAGGATGGTCTCGATCTCCTGACCTCGTGATCCGCCCGCCTCGGCCTCCCAAAGTGCTGGGATTACAGGCGTGAGCCACCGTGCCTGGCCAGAAACCTAGTTTCTAGAAGAATGGTCTCCAAAGATTAATCTCCAGAAAATAATCCCAGGAGATACGCCATATTTAAGAGAAAAAAAATTCCATTGCCAGTTGAATTTTAGAAAGGCTGCATTCTGACAATACCTTTTAGCATATTAAAGGCTCTGAGAAGTCCTGCAGGAGAGAAATCTGTTTATGGCCATTTGACACAATCTTTCTCAGGTATAATTTACCACTAAGTCATGTTTCCACCTAACTTCCATTAACATCACAATGAACACATGTCCCATAGAAGATACGTTGAGAAGGTAGCTCTAAAAGCTGAAAACTGCACAGGCAACAGTACCACGGATCAAGGCGTGCTCATGGGCCACCAGTATGGATGCTCTTCAGGTGTGTATCCTAGCACTCAATCACAAAACCTATCCTTTCATCCTAGTCCAAAGTGGTCATTCTCTCCTAGGCCCTGGAAGATGGGAGTCTTCATCATCTCTGCCTCCCCAGTGCTCACTGAGCGCCCTCTGAGTGTCTTATGGATACAAGCATTATTCATGCTGCCCTCAATATGGCCAATTTCCCCTTCACAAATCTGTGGACATCCCACAGCTCTGGATATGCGTTTTCCGGGGTGAGAAGTAACTAAGAAATGCTTCACTGATACCTGAGCCCTCACACGGCTTTCCACCTACAGATCCCCCTGCCTCGGATGAGAGAGGGGCCCAAGGAATTTCACAGTCCAACCCCCATGGACACGAAGGCCCAGAAAGGGCAAGAACCCACGAGGACCACAGTGGCTGATGCCCTCCCCCATTTCCTTCAGCTACAGCAGTGTGGGAATGGGGGCTGGTCTGAGATGGCATTTTCATTGGTCCAAGTTGAGTGGAGAGAAATAGGTCCCCAGAGTAGATTTTTCATAAAGTGAAATGCTTTCAACTTGAAGGGTGTCCTGAAATTGTCATCGCTACCTTGGGAGTTAGAATATCCTTAAATAAGGGTGAAATTGATGACAAGTGTATTAGCTTCCTGTGGCTGCGATAACGAAGTACCCCAAACTGGCTTAAAACAACCAACATTTATTGTCTCACAGTTTGGGAAACCAGAAGTCCAAGATCAGGGTGTGGGTAGGGCCATCCTCCTGCTAATCCTTCCTGTCTCTTCCTAGTTTCTGATGGGGGCAAGAAATTTTTGGCATTCTTTGGCTTACAGCTGCAGCATGCCAGCCTCTGCCTCCGTCTTCACACGGCCTTCTCCCCGGTGTCTATGTCTTCACCTCATCTTTCCTCTGTGCCCAAATGTTCCCTTTTCACAAGGACACCAGTCATATTGGATCAGGGGGTCCACTCTGCTCCAGCATGGCCTCATCTTAACCAATTACATCCACAACAACCCTATTTCCAAGGAAGGTCACATTCACAGGCACCAGGATTTAAGACTTCAACATATCTTTTTAGGGGGATATAATTCAACCCATAACAGTGGGGGGTTTTTTCCTAATGTTTTTACCAGGCAGCTCTTAGGCCGAATCAAGATGTGCATTTGCTTTTTCTTTATTTTTGTTGTTGTTTTACAGGTGCATGAAATCCCACCACTGGGAAGCTGCCGGAGGGAGCACTGTCCCCTGCACCCACTCTCCCGCCTCCTCACCCCCAAGTAGGCTGGTCCCCCAGGCCTCACCCTGAGGACTCCTAGGATGTTTGAGGACTAATTTCAGCCTCACTCTGTCCTCCCCAGGGACCCAAAGGGTGGCATTAGCAGCTTTACCTTCACCATGGCAGGTAGAGAAGCTAAGTGGCCCTCCTCCTACATCCCTAGCAGGGCCTCTCCCTGACTCATCCCAATCCCAGGAGGTTTAGATTCAGGCAGGGCTGACCTCAGCATTTCTTCTGCAGTGGCCCCTGCAGGCGGGGGCACATCCCTAGGACTGGCTTGGACTTTCTGGCTCCAGTTACAAAGCCTAGAGGACAGAGCGATGATTGAGGTCTTCTCGGCACGGGGATGAAGAGCACTCTCTGGCCCACTGTGTGCATGCTCAGGGCTCCTCTGGACTGACAGCTGCCTGGCACATAGTAGATGCTCCGGAAAAGCTTGTGGAGGTGAGCAGAATGAAACTGGATTTCATAGTCCCAGTACCATTTCATTTATTTGGCTGCACTGCTCCCGTCAAACCAGGTCCCTCTGCCCACTTTCCCTTGTCCAGCCTCTGTCAATTCCAACTTCCATCCCTTTGCTGAGGCTGTACCTGCTATCTAGAGTACTTTTTCCTTTCCTCCATGCAGGCAAATCACAGGCACATTGCAAAGATGAATGTAGTGCCTACCTCCTCCGTGCCTCTGGAGTTACAAAGCTTTTTCCTAGGCACCTGGGGTTAACACATTGTCCTTTACTACCTGTTATCTGCTTATTAGAACCAATTTTCTCCCCCCAGTTGCACAACAAACACTGATGAACAACCCTAGAAACAAATGTTATACATCACTACATGCTCCTTATTCCTCCCCGAGGTCCATGGTTCTGTTTCACAGAAAAAGCATGAGGTTTGACTTCAGGCAGGCCTGGGTTCAAATCCAGACTCTGCTATTTACTAGCTGTGTGGCCACAGGCAGTGCCATACTCTCTATGAGCCTCATCAGTAAAATAAGGATAGGAAGACCACTTCGTATATTGTAGACACAAAGATGCACTTCCTAGATTCCCCTTCCAGGACCCATTACAGCCCCCAGTTCTGGGGCTGCAGTCAGCAGACAGCCCCCAGGTGTTGGCTCCTTCAGGATCTGGCTCAGCAACAGAGCTGTACCACTCCTAAGGCCACTTCCTTCCCAGGACAACCTGCATCCAGCTACAAAGCCAGATGGGGATATATAGGCCCAAGCCATTCCAGCCCAATACCGGACACTGATGGGCAATTCTTGCTCTACACTCCTCTCAGGGATGATCAAAGCTTTGTAGAGCTTGTGTCACAGTTCAATGTCTTCTCTGCATATCCTGCTTCCTCCCCCATCCCCACTCCTGCCCTAGTGTTAACCTCTAATAAACATCTCTGCTCCAAACTCCATCTCAGCATCTGCTTCTGACA
The DNA here is from genome assembly GCF_000001405.40 of Homo sapiens. Taxonomy (NCBI): domain Eukaryota; kingdom Metazoa; phylum Chordata; class Mammalia; order Primates; family Hominidae; genus Homo; species Homo sapiens. Next base: position 44,533,301 of record NC_000006.12, on the reverse strand, counting down.
AACCAATGTGTTGCAGAAAATGTAAGAATTGTAATTTATGATCTCAAGGCACCCAGCAACATGCTTGGCACATAGTAGGTGCTGAGAGACCTCACTTCCCTCCTTGCCCCAGTGAGGAATAAATGGAAGGCTCTGTGAAGGCAGTTTGAGTCGAATCTCTCCAAAAGGGTAGGAGAGTCCCAAGAATTCCTATGTGCCAAATTCCTGGAGAGGCTGAGCAGGAAGGACTCAAAGACACCCAGGCCCCTGTGATTAAAGACACATAAGTGGATTCAGATGACCAGGGAATATTGAAACTCACCCCCGCAAGTGGTGGTAGTCAGGGGTGAGTGGAAATCTATACATGGAGTGAACGTTTTCCAGCTCCTCCAGGCACTGCTGCCCTGCAGCCTCCTGCTGTCTGCCCAGGAGTGGAAGACTGCTCAGCTTTGAGGAGTTTTTTCTATAAAAATAACCCCCCACTATTATTCTTTGCAGTGTGAAGTGAAAACTTACCTGGATGAGGTTTCACAGGAAGCGTAAGTTGCTAGAGACAGCGAGAGGAGCTCCTGCACTGAGAGCAAGAAATGAAGCAAGTTCTTGGGATGTAGAACTAAAGGGAAGTAAGCAACAATTTTTTAAGTGTGGGTCTGACCTCAGAGTCCTAGTACCAATGTCTCCTCGGCATGAGAAACTGAGGTTTGGCCACAAGTCCCCCCTTTGCCTGCCTCCTAGGAGCCCTCATCTGCCTTCACACCAACTCTCCAACCTAAACAACCTGAAGGGTGGTTTCTATCAAGGCCATAATGGAGTACCAGCGACCCAGGGAGAAAGCACAGCAAATGTCAATACAGTCTTCAGAGCCAGGCAGCTCCCATCCAGCCTCAGCTCTGCCACTTTGTGGCTGTGTGACCTTAGGCAAGTTACTTAACATCTCAGAGCCTCAGCTAGCTATTACTATCTTCATTATCATGTTATTCTTGCCATGAAGAGTTAAGATTCCTGAGCAAAAGGATGAGCATGCCTTGAAACAAAAGCAAATCGTGTGCTCTGCCCTACTGGAGTACTAACTAGCACAGGCGGCTGGAGCAGTCGAGGTGAATTTCACTCAGGAGGTGGCATTCAAGTGACAGCTTGAGGGACAAACTTTGGATGGGTATGGGAAAGAGAGAGAAAGCAGAAGGCGTAAAATCTATGGAAGAAATCACAAAGATAGAAATGGGCATGGGAAGCTTGTGGGACAGAGACTGGGAGAAACAGATGGACATAGCCTCTGCTTTCCAGCCCTGAGGATTCAAAGGTGAGTGATACACAGTCCAGAAGAGAGAGGAGAACAGTCAAGGCAAATCAGGAACCAGCCCGGGAAACAGAGACCCACAGAGGACATTGAGGCAAGTGCATGACTAAGCCTCCCATGACAGCCAGGTGGGCAGGGAAGGAGGAGGAAACGGATGGCTGTGGAGGCCTTGAGACTTGCCCAGGTAGGCCGGGTCCAGAACTCCCACCCCAGGGCTCCTCTGGTGTGCGGGGGGCAGGTCAATCTGGGGGCTCCCCCTGACCCAGGCTGCTCCTGTCGGCACCCTGTACTCTATGGCTGCCCCACAAAGACCCAGGCCTCTCGAGGAGGCAGCCCTGACCAACCCACACTGCCATGGCTCTCACTGTGGTTTTCAGGAGCAAATGCATTCCACATGGCAGCCAGCCCCGGCTTTCCCTGGCAGGGATGAAGACGCTGTGAAAGGACCCTTTGCCTCCCTGCTGAGTCCCCCAAGAACAAGGCTTCTTTGTCTACAGCTGCTTCCCTGCAGAGTGAAACCTCTGATGAAGGCCGAGCCCCAAGCCTCAGGACCACCACTCCAGCCTTCTGTGAGCTGGCACCACTATTGGTGCCCACAAGCAACCCCCTTCTCTCCTTCCCCATATCACTCCCAGAATCCAGGAAGCGGTCCCTGGGATCCAAGCACCAGCCAAAGAGCCCCAGAAAGGAAAATAACCTTGAAATTGCAGAGTTGGGAGCCAAAATAGAGGCAAGCAAAATGTGGGTACCCCAAAGGTGTAGTGGGGAGGGGCCAGCTCTACACTGGGCAGGCCCCTAAAAAGGAGCTGGGGTCCAGGGGTATGTGGGAGCAGCTCAGTGGCTTCACAAGGCAGGTTCATGGCACACATTGCAGAGCTGCAGGGCACCTGAGCAGACCATATGTGGGTCTACAGACCCCCTTCTGAGCCCCATGCTAGAGACAGCCATATGAGCGTGTCATCACAGCCTCTGTCCTAGTGATGATGGCCGGCAGGCCCAATAACCACCACTTTACACCATCAATGCTTTAATACAAGCACGTACAAAGCCCAGGAAAGATGAGCCCAGGATGAGATGAGCCCAGGAGAGAGCAGCTATACTCCTGGGGGTACTGGGACCCCTTCTGTGGCCATGCACCACCCAGATCCCCCTTCAAGGAAAGACTTGCTTCTGCAGCTGCGGGCAGTGTTAGCAGCAGACAATCCCAGCTGTTGGCCCCTCAGCCATTGACTCAGCTGTAGACAGCAATCTCCCTCAAGGCCATGTCCTTTCCCGGCCAGCCCACATCCAGTGATTAAGCAAGACTGGGGGACTTGGAAGAGCCACCTGGGTCAAAAGCAGGTCCACTGTAAATGGGCCATGCTAGCTCCAGAGCTCCCCGTGGGGCCAGGGCTGCCACTGGCCTGCCCTGCAGCTTGGCTTCTCTCTCTGCCCATGCCTGCTCCCTCTCCCCTTCCCCAGGCACCCAGCATCCTTAGCACACAAACTCCCTCTCAGAGTCTGCTTCCCAGGGAAGCCAACCTGCAACAACTTTCCACAAAGAGGTGGCAGTGTTTTCCATTGCGTGTGGGGTCCAAGGTAGAAAGCACATCCTCTGACGCCACTCCTGCATCGGCAGCTGAACAAGAAGTGGCCCCAGGTCCACAGAGCCGAGTCCAGTGGGTGACCAGTGTATAAAGGGCAATAGGACCTTTTTCTACATTGGGCTTTTTCTAAAAGCACTTTTCTATTGTTAATCTGTCTTTTGTTACGGGGTCTCAGCCATGAACCTTGCAATGGGTAAGGAAAATACACTGCTTTTCTCCCCTACAACAGCAGTGGGGTGGGGTTGGGGTTGGGGCCGTATTTCAATATTTCAGAGTTATATTGATTGGCAGATTTTAGAAACAAGAAGCCTGGTTGGGAGCTCTGGCCTTGCCTCTTTGAATCATTCTGCAAACTTTGACATCTCGTAAGCTCTTCAATTCTACATTCTCTCCTTCCTCAGTAAATGCCTTCCTTGCAGCACTGTGGTGAGAAGCACTCAATCATATAGGCAAAAGTCCCTGGAACTCAGGAAATGCTCAATGCCTTTATTTCTTTACTCTCCATATAATGGGTCTTTGTCAATCAAGGCTACCAATGAAGAAACTGAGTCCCCTGTAAAGCAAAGATGAGTTTGTTTGACAATGTACACACTGAGTAGCCAACCTCCTTGCCTGACCGTACCTATCATGCCCCGTTCCACCCATCTGGACCCCAGCCCACTCTCACACCCTGGGGCAGGGGCCAGCATCTGGAGGGCTCCACAATGCATTCCGTTCTGTAGGAGAATAGTCAGCCTCCAGGAGATCCCTTCCTGACTTGGTCTGTAGCCCAAAAGGGTGCAAAGATGGGAAGAGGCATGGGCTTGGGTATTCAGATCTCCGAGAAAGCTGAACCGGAGCCAGGGCAGAGAGGGGCCAAGACAAGCCGGGACTGGGCGGGAGGCGGGTGGGGGTGGGGGGTGGAGGAGGGCAGCTGCCTGCCACCACCTATCACCACATCTGGGAGTCAGGGAACATGAGGCCCCAGAATGGGAGAGAACAAGGGAGGAAATTAGAGACAAAACGTGAACTTCATAAAGATTTTATTCAATCAAACTCCAAAAACAGCTGCAACCCCATAATGGCAGCCAAGGCTGGCTTTCTGATTTTTCACTTTGATTAATTATCTAATGACTTGCAGGGCTCCCTGCTGCTTTATGACTTGCACGTTTTTCTGTTTCTTTTTCCCTCCACCCCCACCCTCCTGCTCTGTTCTGATCCTCATCCTCTAGAGCCTGCCTCCCCACAAAACCAGCTTTACCCCACCTCCTCTTTGTCGAGGGAAGGCTCAGTTACTGATGGGAATCTTCTGGACCCCATCTGCCCTGGTTGAACAGGTGCCTTCAGGGAGTGTAAAGAATTAGGGAACTGCCCTGTCCCTCAGAAGCTCTTGGTCAAGGTGGGACAGACCCTTTTTTCATTCACACACCAGGTACAGAAGATGCATGTCTCCATGGCCAGCCATGTAGCGAGGGCTCTAGCAGAGGCAAGTGTAATGCATCCTAGGGGGATGAAGGGGCATCTCCAGCTCTGAGCAGAGCAGCTGAGGATGGCTTCTCAGAAGAGCTACTGACCATGCTGGGTGTTGTGGGATGTGCTTGCCCAGGGGAGGGGAAGACAGGATGAAGTTGTTCCAGGAAGACAGAGAAGCTCACAGCAGGGAACAAAGAAATAAGATTGCACATTGGGGGGCAAGGCAGATGGTAACAGATGGGCATGCGGCTAGTGGGGACCCAGTACTAATGACCATGCCAGTGGTCAGAGAAAAAATGAGAGCAAATGATTCTTAGCTGGTTTTCCCTTGCAAGAAAACCCGAAGCAGGCCCTGAACTGATAATGGAGTCTGGGTCTAATTTGAGATGTGGCAGGCAAAAGATTTGGGTCTTGATCCTATGGATAATGGGATTAAGATATTGACTTGGGCTGAATTCTCCTCGGGACAGACCCTGAGACAAGGATTTTGAGATGGGTGACCACCGCAGTGTGTGTTTGTGAACAGGTTACCACTGAGGGCACCTGGGACCTCTGAGAGCCTGCGGAGGGCATGCCTCACAGTTGCCCCACACCGGTGAGAAAGCCGGGGTATGTATGCGCCATGGCATCCCTGAAGGAATGCTCCCCAGAGTGGACCCCCTGGGGCTTCCAGCCAAGTCCTCGGGCAGCCAGTCACAGTTGCTGCAGCAGGACCCCACCAGTGTGCACGGGAATGGAGGCAGCCAGGGCCTATGGCCAGGCACCAGCAGTGTCCCCTACAGATATGGCCAAGTGGAAATTTAGCTCTCATTTCCCACCATAATGAGATATCCAGGCGGTCTGGTGAGCTATATAGTGAGAGGATAAAAATGCCGCCCAGGGCTAAGGGCTGGGGGAAGGGCAGTCTGAGCTGACTTGACAAAAGCATAGACTTCACAGGTGTAGGAAGGAAGTGAGAAGATGCCAGACAAGAAGGAAAGTCATTTTTAAAGGGCTTGGATCAATGGTGGGGTGTGCAAAATTGTCACGAAAGAGCCCATTCATGCTGCGTTCCAGGAGTCTGACAGGAAGCGACGGGAAGTGGGGCTGGGTGAGTGGGTCCCTGCTAGGTACACTCGAGAGCTACCCAGAGTCCTCAGGGCTCAAGCTGTTTGCTCCTGAGGCTGAGAGAGCCCCAGAGACCTCCAGTTCCGTGGAAGGCCCAGCCCTGCCCTCCCTGGGCTGCCTTCATGGTGATCAGGCTGTGGGCAAGCAAACTAGGAGGGGGCATTCCCTCTCCCGCCCTGCCACAGCCTCTGCCTGTCCTCACTGTGACACCCCTGGACCCTCTCCCACCCTGCCACGGCCTCTGCCTCTACTCACTGTGACACCCCTGGACCCTCTCCCACCCTGCCACGGCCTCTGCCTCTCCTCACTGTGACACCCCCGGACCCTCTCCCACCCTGCCATGGCCTCTGCCTGTTCGCACTGTGACACCTCTGGATGCATCAGGATAAGCCTTTGCTTCAAGGAACAAAACAGCCTGACTGTAGTTGCTTAAATAATAGGATTTATCATTTCTCATAACGAGAAGTCTAGAGGTCAGGGGCCCCTGGGTGGGTTAATTCAGCCCCGTGGTGATGCCAAGGCTTATTGCGGTTTTTCTTTGTGGTCACAAGATGGCTGTCACAAACCAAATGTTACATCTTCACAGAACCATGTGTGGAGGCAGGCTGGAGTGAAGAAGGAAGTTCCTCCTCTCCTTACAAGAGAGGGGTGAGATTAAACGCCCTTATATCCCATTGGCCAGAAATGGCTTACACATTCATCACCGAAACAATCACTGGCAAAGGGAAATGGCATGGAACCGTGCTCTTCCCCTGTAGCCAGAGTCAGGGGGTGTCCCACTCATGAGTGAAATTGTGTTCCTGTAGCAGGATCGGGCCATTGGGTGTGACCAGCATGGTCTGCCACTCTGACTTCAGAATTCTCTCAAACCAATATTTAAGTGTGCAGGCCTTGTGGAGGCCAAGTAGGGGTGAAATGAAACTTATCTCCAAATATTTGCCTTACTGGGCATCTCAGGGTCCCCTCTTAGTTCTCTCCCTTGATGGTTTAATAAACCCCAATGACCTCATTCTCTTAAACCCTAATAACCCCATTCATTAAGGTGTAACTAACAAACAATGTTCAATCATTATTCCAACCCGGGGATTTGCATTTTAACAGAAAATGAGAAAGATTAATCCTGAGATTTCCAGTTAACCTTTCAGGAGGTCACTGATATAGTCCTTCATTTCATTATTTCTAATACTATGAAGACATCATATGTTTGCCTGTTATAAGGTCCTATAGGTAAACTCAAAATAGGGTTCCTCTGCTCTGGATGAGTGCGTTGCAGTATCTCTGCTTGTCTCTTCTGGTCTGAAGTTCTCAGTGGTGGCTACATGGATCTCTGAATGATAAAGATAGGAAAATAGATTAGTAAATAAATGGAATTTGTTTGGCAGACAAAATATTCCCAAACCTATGTCTATGAGGGAAAAAAATTTTAATGATAAAAGTTTATTTGATGGTATTGAGTGTTGCTTTAATGCCAACAATACATGTCATGGGCTCACAGGCAACCAAATTCTGGGGGGCTCACAAAGACCCCCACCCAGCCTCCCCTGAAACCTCATTCTGCACTCAGCCTCTTCCTCCTTTCACTCCAAGGCCAGATCTGTTGTCCAAGGGAAGCCGCCATTCATCACCTTCCACTTCAACTCACACAATAAACTCAGGGTGCCTCCTTCCCGTCCCAGCACTGTGAGGGATATGAAAATGCAATCCCTGACCTCGGGAATACAGACAGGCAGGGAGGAAGGGAGGGAAGATGAACCTACCACCAAACCAGAGAAGGCTGGGCTGGGGTGGGACAGGGCGTCCGACCGCGGAGCTTCATGGAGAGTGGCTGGGGAGGGACTAGGAAGGGTGGTCCAGCATCCAGCACACACAGATTGGCAGGGTGGGGGTGGCCATTCAGACGGAGGACTTCAGAATCATGGTATGGAGGAGGCGGTTCAGGGCATATTCAGGAATCAGCAAGTGGCCTCCCAGCAAAGTGATGGGAGCAAAGGCCATGCATCAACAGAGTAGTAGGAGGAGGCTGGCAAGGTAGATTGGTACCAGACCACACAGGGTCTCAAATTCCACACTGAGTTGTGTGTATTTAATTCCTTAGAAAATGAGGAGGTGTTGAAGGGCTGGATATTATTATTATTATTATTTACTGCACAACAGAAAAGAAACAGGCTCAGAGCCGTGGATATGGGGGTTGCTACAACAAACACTTTGGGGTTTCTAGATATTAAATGGCTTCATCTCCAACTCATTTAGTGAATGTGAGTAAGTCAGGGTGGGACTCTGTCTAAGACCCTGTGATTTTATTTCCAGTGGAAGCCAGGCCAGGGCAGGCCAAGGGTGAGCTGCGGGGTCAGGACAGAGCCAGGAAGCAAGCAGAGCCAGAAAGGGCCACCATCTAGGGCCACACGCAAGGAAGGGTTGGCCAGCTGGGGCAGGTCTTTGCCTCCCCAGGAAGTCCAGGGACCATTGGCAGGAGGACAGACCTTGAGTGGCAGAGAATCCCAGAGGAGGTGGAGTGGCATCGCGGGGAGACTTCACAATGCCTCCTGAGTAAGGAAGTCAAAGTGTGCGAGACCAGGGAGGAGACTGCAGGAGCACAGCCACCTGGACTGGTCAGGAAGGATGGGTTGAGCCACGCACAGTCTGGGAGAGATGAGTGGGTGGCACCATCCGCTGTCTGGAGGGAGCTCTTTCTCCGTATCTGGCTGTGAGCTCAAGTAACAGCTCCTTCTACTCTTGCCACATTGTGCACCTCTGGGCAGGGCCTGCCCTGGAGGCTCTGGCCAGGCCAACAGCCAGGCTTAAACCACATCAAAAACCCCCGAAAGATGATTAGAATCTTGATTTCAAATGTCATTGCTCCCTTTTTACTCCTTCAGGTGGGACTAAAGCAGCACTAGTAACCCAAAACCTTCTGATGTCCAAATTATTATGCTGAAAGTGAAACCAAGTCCTGCTAGCAGCAGGCAGATGCTTCCCAGTGAGCACAGGGCCCTCTGAGCGAGTGAGGTAATGATTGCCAGGTGCAGGTACAAACTCTTTCCCTGTCTGGGTCAGCAGCATCCCTAGGCCCTGTCTGTGCTGATATCCACCTGCACACACACAGGGATTCTTAACTCACACTAGAAAAGTTGGGACATGAGGAGCGCCCCAGTTTAGCACATGGTGAAGTCATGTCTAGCTCTTGCCATAATCCTTTAAGGCCTGCTGTGGTCGGGAAACCCACAAATGTAAGTGCTGGAAGAACCTTTAGGTATATAGTCTCATCCACTGGTTTAAAATGCCTTTCACAATCCCTATCAAAATTCCAATGGCATTCTTCACAGAAATAGTAAAAACAATTCTGAAATGCATATGGAAACATAAAAGATTCCAAAGAGCCAAAACAATGTTGAGAAAGAAAAATAAAGTTGGAGGCATCACATTTTCTGATTTAAAACAATATTACAAAGCTATAGTAATCAAAACATTATGGTATTGGCATGAAAGCAGACACACAGAACAGTAGAACAAAATAGAGAGCCCAGAAAGAGGTCTAAACATATTTAGATAACTAAATTTTGACAAGGGCACCAAGAGGGGACAATGAGGAAAGGAAAGTCTCTTCAATAAATGGTCCTGAGAAAACTGAATTTCCACATGCAAAAAAATAAGATTAGACCCTTATTTAACATCATACTCAAAAATAAATTCAAAACGGACAAAAGACCTAAATGAAAGATCAGAAACTATAAAACTTCACCTCCTAGCCATTAGCTTTCACAATGATTCTCAGGATATCGCACCAAAAGCTCAGGCCACAAAAGCAAAAATAAATAAATGGGACTACATAAAACTAAAAAGCTCCTGCACAACAAAGAAAACAAACAACAAAATGAAATTGCAGCCCACACTTTGGGAGAAAATATTTGCAAAACATATATCTGATAAGGGGTTAGTATCAAAAATTTATAAAGAACTGATACAAATCAATAGTAGAAAAACAAACAAAAAAATTTTTAATGGGCAAAAGACCTGAATAGATACTTCTCCAAAGAAGACACAAAAATTGCCAACAAGTGATTATGCAAAGATGCTCAACATCCCTGGTCACTGGGGAAATGCAAATCAAAACCACTATGAGATATCACATTATGCCTGTTACAATGGCTAATATCAAAAAGTCAAAAGATACCACATGCTGGCAAGGGTGTGGAGAAGAGGGAGTTCTTGTACACTGTTGGTGGGACTGTAGGTTGGTGCAGCCACTATGTAAAACAGTATGGAGATTTCTAAAGAAATTAAAACTAGTACTACCAAATGACCCAGCAATCCCTCTCCTGGAAATATACCCAAAGGAAATGAAATTGCCACCTCCTAAAAATATCTGCCCCCCCATGTTCATTGCAACATTATTCACAATAGCTAAGACATGGAAGCAACCTAAATGTCCATCTTCAGACAAATGGATAAAGAAACTGTGATATAGGTGAAAGGGACAAGATGGCTGACTAGAGACATTAGACATCTGCCCTCTTCAGAAAGAGAAAAAAAGTTATGAATAGAAAAACTGACCTTGAATAGCACATCTAGGAGAACAATTGTGATCAGCCAGGAGCCTGAAGGGGCTCAGTATTGCTGGGAAGGGGTGAGAGAACTTCAGTGGTCCACACCCTCCCCACCCACAGACTGTTGTAATTTAAACCACAAGAGAGCTCCTCTACCACACAAACCCTGACACTAGCTAGGCAGTGATTTGGAGACCCCACAAGGGCATTGCACCAGACAGGGAACTTGCGCTGAGTCACTTACCACACCCCCAACCACTAGACCTAAGCAGCTAGGGCACCATTGTGAGAGCACGGTCATCATAAGACTGCATCATGACCTGGGACCCACAGCCTCCATAGCTCCATCCAGGATCCCCCACTGACATCCCCCAGTGTCCAGTGGGAGGGCTACAGAGGCATGGCACTGGCTGGACCCCACAGTGCTCCGGGGTCTCCAGTACGCTAGGGAATAAGACAATCCAAGGAAAGGGTGGCGCAGCACACCGAAAAGGCATCTCCTAAGGCAAAGAAAACCAAAGTGTAGGCTTTCCAGAGCTCGAGAACTCCCTGTCTGGGGCTGTGAGGAGTGACCCTGCCCACAGCAGCAGCACAAACTCTGTGCTCAGCTTCACAAGAGGCAAGTGAGATCCCTTCCCACCAGTAGAGTGGCCTCTGCGTGCAGGCTCAGGTATAGAGAAAACAGGAACGCTTTTCCCAATTCACACACCACTGAAGGCACAGCCACTGGTGCTACCACCAGAGGCTGAGGCAGGCGAGCTGGAAAGTTGCCTGTATGAGGCTATGAGTGGCAACTGCACCCCTAATGGTGATGTGGCCTCCATGCCCATGCTCATGCATGAAAGGCAGGTCCTTCCCCAGCTGCTTGGCACTGCAGTGTCGCTGCTGCTAAGAGTAAGTGAGCCTAAGAGCTGGGTATCTTCAGCTGTGGGTGGCAACCCACACCACACCACCAGTGTGCACCTCTTGGCATCCAGAGAGTTGCCTCATTGCCCAGAGAGTTGCCCCAGTACTGCCATTGCCCACACCACACCAACTGCTTAGCGACCCAAGAACCTGCTCACCCACCCAGCCAATTGCCACTATTGGCATCTGAGCAAGCCACCAGGAGGCCCCAGAATAGGCCTGCCTGGTTCTTCTAACATCAGTGCCAGCATACACTACCTTGCGCCCCAAGAACAGGCACATTCAGCCCACTGCTGCTACCACTCCGGCCCACTTGTTATCCCTGTCCACCTGGCATCCTTGCTCCCAGCAAAATTTCACCGTAACCTCCACTAATAACCACATGTTAAACCACCAAGGAGATCACAGATACAACTGATGCTGTCTACTGCCAAAGAAATCACACAGAGACTATGCTACTGCATGCACCCAGAATCAAAACCAAAGGACCCTATCCAACCAACACAAGTGATACATCTTCAGGAAAAAAAAAAAAAACTCCCCTATGAAAGCAAATTCAAAAACTGGAGGAAGAGACTATAACATCAGATGCACTCACACCAACATAAGGACATAGGAAGCATAAAAAAGCAAGGAAATATGACATCTCCAAAGGAACACAATAATTTCCCAGCAACAGATCTCAATCAAAAAGAAACTCACAAAATCCCAGAAATTCAAAATTGTGATATTCAAGAAGCTCAATGAGATACAGGAGAATTCTGAAAGACAGTACAAAGAACTCAGAAAAACAATACAGGATATGAATGAGAAGTTTACCAAAGAGATAAATAAAAAAGAATCTAACAAATTATCGAACTGTAGAACTCCCTGAATGAAATACAAAATACACATGAAAGCTTCAACATTAGACTAGATCAAGCAGGAGAGAAAATCTCAGCACTTGAAGACAGGTCTTTTGAAATAACCAAGTCAGTCAAAAATAAAGAAAAAAGAATGAACAGAGTCTTCATGACATATGAGACACCACAAAACTACCAAATCTATGAATTATCGGTATTCTCAAAGATGAAGGGAGAACAAGGGTTCAAAAATCTATTTGACAAAGTAATAGATAAAAATGTCTCAAGTCTAGCAAGAGATTTAGATATTCAGCAATTCCCAATCAAGTACAATGCAAAAAAGGTCTCCACCACACGTTATAGGAAAACTGTCTAAAGTCAATGACAGAGAAAATTCTAAAAACTGCAAGAGAAAAGCATCTAGTAACTTAAAAAAGAGTCTGCATCACACTAACAGTGGTCTTCTCAGCTGCATCACACTAACAGTGGTCTTCTCAGCAAAATCCTTATAGGCTAGGAGAGAATAGGATGATGTATTTAAAGTACTAAAGAAAAAAAAAACTGACACGCAGAGATACTACATCCAGCAAAATTATCCTTCATAAATGAAGGAGAAATAAAGTCCTTCCCAGACAAGTGCTGAGGCAATTCATCACCACTAGACTGGCCTTACAAAAAATACTCAAGGGAGTCCTAAACCTGGAAGCTAGTGGTTGACAGCTGTCATCGTGAAAACACACACAAATATAAAATTCACTAATAAAGCAAACACAAAAATGAGAAAGATTTGAAAAACTCAAATGGTACCACCACAGAAAATCAGCAAACCACAAGGACAATCAATAAGTGAAAAAGAAAGAAACAAAGAATATACAAAACAACCAAAAAACAATGAACAATATGACAGGAAAAAAACCTCATATATCAGTAATAACCCTGAATGTAAACAGATTAAATTCTAGATCTTAAAAGTTGTAGACTGGCTGAATGAATTTAAAAAAAAACATAATCTAACTATATGCTGCCTACATGAAATTCACTTTACCTGGAAATACATATATAGACTGAAAGTAAAGGGATGGAAAAAGATATTCCATGCAAACAGAAACCAAAAGCAAATAGAAGTAGCCATACTTATATCAGATAAACAGACTTTAAGTCAAAAACAGTTTAAAAAAAGACAAAGAAGGTCATTATGTATTGATAAAGGGATCAACCCAGCAAGAGATATAACAATTCTAAATATATGTGCACCCAACACTAGAGCACCCAGATTCATAAAGCAAATACTACTACATCTAAAGAAAGAAAGAAACTCCAGTACAATAATAGCAGAAGATTTTAACACTGCACATTCAACATTAGACAGATCATCTAGATAGAAAATCTACAAAGAAACATTGGACTTCAATGGGACTGTTGATCAAATGGACCTAACAGACATCTACAGAACATTTTATCAAACAACTGCTGAGTATATATTCTTCTCATCAGCACATGTAACATTCTCCAGGTCTGACCACATGTTAGGCCACAAAACAAGTCTGAAAACATTTCAAAAAATAAAAATTACACCAAGTATTTTCTCAGATCATAAAGAAATTAAACTAGAAATCAATACCAAAAGGAACCTTGGAAACTATATAAATACATGGAAATTAAACATCATGCTTCTGAACAACCATTTGGTCGATGAAAAAATTAAGATGGAAATCAAAAAATTTTTTGAATCATGGAAAATCGAAACACAACATACCAAAACCAGTGGGACACAGCAAAAGCAGTGCTAAGAGAGAAGTTTACAGCAATAAATAGCTTTATTTAAAAAAAAAAAGAAAGAAAAAGAAAGATTTCAAATAAACAACCTAAAGATGCACCTCAAGGAACTAGAAAAGCAAGAAAAAACAAAACCCCAAATTAGCAGAAGGAAAGAAACAATAAATATCAGAGCACAACTAAATGAAATAAAGACTAAAAAAAAACCACAATAGAACAATAAAAAAAATTGGTTCTTCAAAAAGATAAACAAAATTTTTAAACCATTAACTACACTATGCAAGAAGATAGAAGATCCAAAGAAACAAAATCAGAAATGAAAAAGGAGACGTTACAACTGATACGACAAAATACAGAAGTCATCAGAGACTCTTATAACAACTATATGCTAACAAACTGGAAGACCTAGAGGAAACTGACAAATTCTTGGAAACATACAACCTACCAAGATTGAATCAGGAAGAAATAGAAGACCTGAATAGACCAATAATGAGTAAGAAAATTGAATCGGTAATTTAAAAAAAAAAAAAAAGTCTTTCAACAAAGAAAATCCCAGAACCAGGTGGATCCACGGTGGAATTCTACCAAATGTATAAAGAAGTACTAATACTAATCATCCTCAAACTGTTGCAAAAAAATTAAAGAGGAAGGAATCTTCCTTCATTCTATGAGGCCAGCATTACCCTAATACCAAAACCAGACAAGGCACAACAAAAAAAGAAAACTATAGCCAATATCCCTGAGGAACATAGATGCAAAAATCCTCAACAAAATACTAGTAATCCAAATCCAACAGCATATCAAAAAGATAATACAACAAGATAAAATGAGATTTATCCCAGGGATGCAAGGATGGTGCAACATATGCAAATCAATAAACATGATACATCACATGAACAGAATGGAGGACAAAACCATAGGGATCATTTCACTAGAAACAGAAAAGGTATTTGACAAAATTCAACACCCTTCATGATAAAAACTCTCAACAAACTAGACATAGAAGAACTATACCTCAAAATAATAAAGGCTGTATATGACAAACTCACAGCTAACATCATACTGAATAGGAAAAAGTCAAAAGCCTTTCCTCTAAGAAATGGAACAAAACAAGGATGCCCACTTTCACCACTCCTATTTAACATAGTACTGGAAGTCCTAACCAAAGCAATCAGGCAAGAAAAATCAACAGCATCAAAATTGGAAAAGAGCAAGTCAACTTTTCTCTCTTTGTGGGTGGCAAGATCTTATATCTAGAAAAAACAGATGACTCCACCAGAAAACTCTTAGAACTCATAAACAAATTCAGTAAAATTGCAGGATACAAAATCAACATACAAAAATCAGTAGTTTCTATACACCAACAATTAAATAGCCAAAATAGAAATCAAGAGGGCAATCCCATTTACAAGAGCTACAAAAAAAAAAAAATATATATATATATATATGAATAAATTTAAGCAAGGAGGTGAAAGATCTCTATAAGGAAAACCAGAAAACACTGATGAAAGAAATTGAAGAGGGCACAAACAAATGGAAAGATATCCCATGCTCATGGATCAAAAGAATTAATTTTGTTAAAATGACCATACTGCGCAAATCAATCTAAAGCTTCAATGTAATCTCTATCAAAATGCCAATGTCATTTTGACAGAACTGGAAAAAACGATCCTAAAATTTGTGTGAAACCAAAAAAGCCCAAATTGCCAAAGCAATCCTGAGCAGAAAGAACAAAACTGGAGACAACACAGTACCCAACTTCAAAACTTATTACAAGCCTATAATAACCAAAACAGCATGGTATTTATATAAAAACAGACACATAGACCAAAGGAACAGAATAGAGAACACAGAAATAAAGGCACATATTTACAGGCAACTGATCTTCAACAGAGCTGCCAAGAACATCTACTGGGAAAAGGACACACTCTTCAATAAATGGTGCTGGGAAAACTGGACAACCTTATGCAGAAGAATGAAACTGAACCCCAGTCTCTCACCGTATACAAAAGTCAATTCAAGATGGATTAAAGGCCTAAATATAAGATCCAAAACTATGAAACTGCTAGAATAAAACATAGGAAAAACTCTTCAGGACATTGGTCTAGGCAAAGGTTTTATGGCTAAGACCTCAAAAGCACAAGCAACAAAACAAAAAATATATAAATGGAACTATATTAAACTTGAAAGCTTCTGCACAGCAAAAGAAACAAAAAGTGAAAAGACAACCTATTGAATGAGAGAAAATATTTGCAAACAACTCTTCTGACAGGGGACTAATATCCAGAATATGTAAGGAACTCAAATATCTCAACAGTGAAAAACCAAATAATCCCATTAAAATGTGGGCAAAGGAAATGAATAGACAATTTTCAAAAGAAGACATACAAATAGCCAATAGATATATTTTTAAAATGCTCAACATCACTAATCATCAGGAAAATGCAAATCCAAACTACAATGAGGTATCATTTCAC
Source organism: Homo sapiens (assembly GCF_000001405.40). NCBI lineage: Eukaryota > Metazoa > Chordata > Mammalia > Primates > Hominidae > Homo > Homo sapiens. The sequence goes on along the minus strand of NC_000006.12, from coordinate 44,517,335 downwards.
CCCAGTCGAATAGCTATTACTAAAAAGACAAAAAAAGAATAGATGCTGGAGAGGATGCAGAGAAAAGGGAATTCATACACTGTTGAATGGATGGGAATGTAAATCAATACAACCACTATGGAAAACAGTATGAAGATTTCTCAAAAATCTAAAAGTAGAACCACCATACAATCCAGCAATCCCACTACTGGGTATCTATCCAAAAGAAAATAAATAAGTATGTTAAAGGGTTACCTGCATTCACATGTTTATCACAGCACTATTCACAATAGCAAAGACATGGATTCAACCTAAGTGCCCACCAATGGATGAATGGATAAAGAAAATGTGGCACATAGACACAGTGGAATACTATTCAATAATAATAATAAAAAGAATGAAATCATGACATCTGCAGCAACATGGATGGAACTGGAAGTCACTGTGTTAAGTGAAATAAGCCAGGCACAGAAAGACAAACACTGCATATTCTCACTCATGTGTGGGAGCTAAAAAACTTGATCTCATGGACACAGAAAATAGAACAATAGATACCAGAGACTGGAAAGAGTGGCAGGGGGTGGGAGAGGGGATGAAGAGAGGTACAAACATACAGTTAATAGAAGAAATAAGTTTTAATTATTGATAGCAGACGAGGCCAACTATCTTTAGCAATGATATTATGTAGATTTCAAAGTAACTAGAAGAGAGGATTTGAAATGATACCAACATATAAAAATGATAAACACTAAAGATGATGGATACCCCAGATACACTGACTTGATCATTACTCATTCTATGCGTGTAACAAACTCTCATATGTACCCTACAAATATGTAAAGTATAATCAGTAAAAGGGAACAAAAGAAAATATGATAGATAGATGATAGATACATAGATAGATGATAGATAGATAGATAGATGATAGTTAGATAGATAAGTGGGATATTATTCATCCCTAAAAAAGAATGAGACCTTGCCGTTTGCCATGATGTGGCTGAGCCTGGAGGACATTATGCTAAGTGAAATAAACCAGACACAGAAAGAAAATATTGCATGATCTCACTTATATGTGGAATCTTTTTCTTTTCTTTCTTTTTTTTTTTTTTTTGAGACAGAGTTTCACTCTTGTTGCCCAGGCTGGAATGCAATGGTGTGATCTCGGCTCACTGCTACCTCTGCCTCCCAGGTTAAAGCGATTCTCCTGCCTCAGCCTCCCAAGTAGCTGGGACTACAGGTGTGTGCCACTGTGCCCGGCTAGTTTTTGTATTTTTAGTAGAAATGGGGTTTCACCATGTTGGCCAGGCTGGTCTCGAACTCCTGACCTCAGGTGATCTGCCTGCCTCAGCCTCCCAAAGTGCTGGGATTACAGGTGTAAGCCACCATGCCCAACCTGGGATCTTTTTTAAAAATCAAATATAGGGAGATAGAGAACAAAACAGTGGTTACCAGGGGTTGGGGTGGGAGGTGAGGAGGAAATGGGAAGATGTAGGTCAGAAGACACAAAGTAGCAGATATGTAGGATAAACAAGTCTAGGACTCTAAGGTACAGCATGAGATTTATAGGTAATAAAATTGTATTTGGAATTCCTGCTAAATAAGTACATTTTAGCTGCTCTTGTCACATAAACAAAAAACATGGGTAACTATATAAGGTGATGAATACATTAATTTGTTTTCCTATAGTAACCTTTTTACTATAGATATGTCTCCCATAACATTGTGTTGTATACCTTAAATATACACAATAAAATTTATTTTTTTCAAATTAAAAACAAAAAATAAGACGTTTTTAAAAAATTGAAATGTTTTTTCCAGACTTCAGAGTCTAAAACAGATAGAAGGTGGGGGCTCTTGAAGTGGGGTAAAGATGGGGTTCCACTCCCCTTAAGCAGGGCCAGAGGTAGCCACTGCCAAAATTATTTGAAACAATTCCTTGCACAGCTAAGAGAAAAGCAGCAAGTTGCTTGTATCACACAGCCTGTTAAGAGAGGAACTACAATACAAACTCAGGACTTAGTGCTCCTAGTGCCAAACCTTGCTGGTTCTACCACCCAATCTCCAAACCAAGCCGCTGAAAAGTCAAAATCATTACACTTTGTTCCTGGAGACCACCAGAACTACAGAGATTCCAGACAGAAGCAGCTGTAAATGCAAATGCTGTGACAATGACAGATCTATTGGAATGTATGCATACTGGGCCTCCAAAATCAGAAATGACAATTATTTCTAAACCATAACAATAATTAAACATTATAGTCTGATTTTTAGTTTTTCTTTTTCTTTCCTTCCTTCCTTCCCTCATCCCTTCCCTTCTTCCCTTCTTTCCTTCCTTCCTTCCTTTCTTCCCTCATCCCTCCCTTCTTTCCTTCCCTCATCCCTCCCTTCTTTCTTTCCTTCCTTCCTTCCTTCTTTCCTTCCTCTTTTTTCTGGGGCAAAATTTATTCATTATCTTCAGTCTGTCCAAGAAACAATCTTAAGAAATTCTCTCATCCCATCCCCCACCACCACCCTGGTTGCTGCTCCAGTTCAGCCCCTCACCTTCCCTGGCTCCCGCCCCACCTCTGTCCTGTGTCCAAGCTTCGTGTCCCTTGAGGCACAGGGTAGCATCTTAGCACCAACAGGATTTGAACGAACTTCCCTCCTGTCTTAGTCCATTTGTGCTGCAATAACTAAATACATTAGACTGGAAAATTTATAAACAATAGTAATTTATTTATCACAGCTCTGGAGGCTGGGAAATCAAAGATCAAGATGCCAGCAAATTCAGTATCTGGTGAGGGCTTGCTCTCTGCTTTCAAGATGGCACCTCTTGCTGCATCCTCACGTGGTGGAAGGGACAAATGCTGTGTCCTTACGTGGTGGAAGGGGCAAAAGAGTAGAAGGGCATCTTGGCACTCCCTTCAACCTCATTTATAAGAGCATTAATCCATTCAAGAGAGCAGAGCACTCATGACCTAATCTCTTCCCAAAAGGCCTCACCTCTTAATACTATCACACTGGGTATTAGGTACCAACATATGAGTTTTGGAGGGACACAGACACCCAAGCCATAGCATCTCCCTCCCCTCCACTCTGGGCAGTCCTAAGACCTCTTGTGACAGGGCCTGTCATGCTCATCAGCTGAGGGCGGGAGTGTCTCCTCCATGAGGTTAAGTTCAAAAGATGTGGGCTCTAAATGCCTCAGCCTCCCTTAATAACCCCATACAGCCCATCATAGTTACCTCAGCCAAACCATCTCGGAACTGTTTCTGTTTTCAACCTAAATCTCTTTTCAAGGTAGTAAGTTCTCAACATTTACTCTCACATCTGTATTTTAATTGTCTGAACTCACCTCCTCTGAGGCTCAAGCAGTGCTGGCTTTGGGATGGGGCTGGAGGCCTTAACTCCAGCGAACAGTTCACAGTCCCCTTATCCACTCCCTCATGATGGTTTCCGCATCTGTAAAATGAAGATCATAGTAGCTACTGCATAGGATTATACTGGGGGCTAAATGCAATTATGCATTGTAAACGCCAAGTACAATGCCGGGCTCTCAATAAGTGCTCAATAAATGTTAGCTTTTAAAAATAGCACCCTGGATGACTTTAAGGCCAAAGAGGAAAGAAAATAATATTTCTTAAGCTCCCCTACTGGCAAGGCACAGTGCCAGGTTTTCTCATATGTTATGTCACTTAATCTTCTCAGCTACCCCTACGGCTATACTATACATTTTGATCCCAATTTTTACCATTTTATAAATCAGGAAATGGAGGAACTGCGAGGGCGATTTGCCCAGGATTTCTAAATGAGTCAGACCTCTTTTGGTTGCAAATGTTCAAAGCCAACTTGGACAACCTTACACAAAAAGGGACACTTGATGGTTCCGGAAATACAACAAACTGTTTAAGAACCAAACCATGCATGGGAAAGGCAAGGGGCAGCCAAGCCTCAGAACAACTAGAAGCAGTGTCTCAGACGCCACCAGGCCTGTTTCTCCACCTCTCATCTTTGCTCTCACTGCAGACTGGCTTTCTGCACATGGCAGGGAGTGTGTCTGCCTATATTCTCACATGCCTGTCATCTTCAGCCTTTGCCCACAGAGGACTGATGCCACTCCTCAGTTCCAATCACAGAAATCACAGGGAAAGGCTCTGATTGGCTCAGCCTGGGCCAGATACCTGCCCCTTAACCAATTAACTGTGTCCAGTGGGCGTGGTCATGTGAGAATGTGTCACTTCCCACAGGAACCGCATGGATAGAGTAGGGTATGGGCAAGCTCCAGAAAGTCAGTGTGCAGCTCCCAAAAGAGAGGGATATGGGGCAGGCCACAAAATAGTAACACTCTAGTCCCATGGCCTGCAAGTGGAAGAGTCTGGATTTATTCCCAGGTCTGTTGGACTCCAGAGCCCACATTCATTCTCTGACACATGCTGCCTCCCTGAGACTCTAAGTGTCTGCTTGTGCATTAGGAAATCAGGGTTGGTCAGTCAGCCTCTCCAGAAAGTTAAAACTAATTTACTCTCTAAGCAATAATATCCATGGATAGTTCTGGCGTCCAAAGCAGACAAAGCGCAGCACTAGGCTGGGAGCCATGGTTTCCATCTACTATTTGATAGTCATTCTTATCACTACTATCTTCTTCTTTGTTGTCTTTTTAGTAAACTCTGTCCTAGAAAGTAGGGTTTTCTGGCTAATAGGGAATTTCTAAAGGTATTATATTTATATTGCCAATTTTCTAAGCATGAAAATCTTATATCAACAGAGCTAAAAAGAGATTTCAAAACTATTAACTATCTCCATCCTTTTCATTTTACAGATGAGGAAATGATGACCACGAGGGGAAAGTCAGCTGTTAATGGAGAGCTGGACCACCACGCAAGTCTCCTCATTCCTTACCCAGTGCCCAGGCCCTTCTTCATTCTGTCTTTTCTGGAATGCACTACAATACAGTGTTGAATACTGTATTGAACATGGTGTTGAATACTGTATTGAATACAGTGTTGAGTGTTGAATACAGTATTATGTTGTACTAAACAGAATTTTGGTACAAATTTTTATTTGTAATGATCCAAGCACTTCTCTTTTTAGTGAGTAGGAACAAATTTTCTAAATTCTTAACTTTCTCATAGAATATATCCTACCTCCTGGCTCTACCTAAAATCCTGCTGGCCTCTGAGGATACCACTTCCTTTAAACTCTGGCAAATAAAAACCATTTATCCTCAAAACCAGTAGACCTGGGCTGAAAAGTGTTGAGAATTCTCTGTAGGTCTCTCACATTTTACCACTTCTTGCCAGCAGAGGTATTGGTTACCTTCACTTTAGACTTTCTTTTCAAGGTGGTTGTATGATGATTAGGCTTCGAAGATGGAGACAGTGTCTCTTCAGGAGCAAATGGCAGATACGCTTACTGACCAGTGTAATAAAGATAATGTCTCCCTCCAGAGCAAACAGCAGGCTGATTTACTGCTTATTATAAAAGATTCAGAGTCCATAAATTCAGGATTCCTGTCCTTAAAAATTAACCCACTTCACATGTGGGTATAACTTGACTTTCTTTACATCCTCCTGTAGGGATTGCAACTCAAAGAATCAATACAAATGCAGATACTCTGGCTGCTACCATTGCCATGAGTAATATACTGAACTTCATCTCTGACCTGAGCCTCAAGTCTTCTGCCAGCATCCATAAAGCTGCGGCAGGCTCAGCTCTTAGCTTGTAAGTAGCGTAAAATCCCAGACCATTTACAGTTCTTGGCAGAGAGATGGGATCCATCCTTCTCACTCCTCAGTCCCATTTCCAGATTACTTCTTCACTCCTGCTGGAATTCCTTACTCCATTATGTTTTAATCTCATTTGTCAAGACTACTCTCTCTCTTCATCTCTGTCTGCTAAACTTCCCCTCATCCAGTGATATCTCGGGCACCTGTCTCCCCGCCCCAAGTCCTACCATAATTTTGGATGACTTCACAGGCCACGTGAAAAATCCCCCCAACCCTTTAGCCTCCCAGTTTCTGCATCACTTCAACTCCCTTGAATGACTCCTCCACTCCACTTCAGCTGCAAACTCCCACTGGCCACACTTTGGATATCAACACTAGCAACTGCTCTATCTCAGAAACCTCAAAAACCAACATCATTCTTTACTTTGATTATTGTATTTTTCAGTTCTAAGAATTCCATTTGATTTTCAAATCTGCTATGTCATTTTTTATGGTTTCCTGTTCCCTGCAGGACTGATCTTTTATTTCTTTAATCATAGCAAGCATAGTTTTTCGTAGTCTGTATCTAATAATACCAATATCTGAAATCTATGGGTCTGTTACATCTGTGGGTTCCTCATTGTATCTGATTTCTAAGTATATTTAGTTATTTTTGACTGTGTGCTGGCTATTATGATTGAAAAATTGTTTATAGAGGATATGTGTCTGGAAATCTCACCTTAATCCAAAATCAAGATTTGAATTTCCCTGGCCAACTTAGGTGGTACAAATCTGAGCTGCAAAACTATGTAAGAATTGGTTTAATTCAGTTCACCTCCTACTTTAGAGGAAATAGTCTTAGGAGGCCCAGCTTATAGTGCCAGAGGCCTCCTATTAGACTCCTACACTTTGTACTGGCCTTTGATTTTGATTTTGGTAGACAAAACAAAACTTCAGATTTGCTAAGATGTCAGAATTCGTCAGGGCAAAAGCAGATTCTGTGCTCATTGGCTTCTTTTTTTCCCTTCAACAATGGCCTGGTAATTCCTTAGGATTTTGTCAGCTCTTGTTACCTTTAAGATGTTTTTATGTTTTATGCAGCATTCTTGATTGTTTTCAGCAGGCAGTTGATCCAAATAACCTAGCTCACCATTACCTGGAACTGAAGTTTTCACAGTCCAGTAAGGATCACTGTGCTTCTAGCATTTTCCTCCACTAATCTCACAGCATCTGTTTTTAACCTTATTAAGACCTGCAGACCCTTAGCTACTTCATTTTCTCCACTCTATCAGCCCCTTCTATCTCCACTCCCTTCATTATATGCCATCACTTCAGCCTGTCTTACAAGAACTCTTAATTCCTTGGCCTGATGTTTTTGCCCTCATATTTACCTGGAAAAACTGATCGTAAATGGAGCCAGCCTTCTTTGCTCCTATACTCGTGCTGCTGGGGACTTCTGGAGAAACCCACCCAACCATTCATTGTGAGGCTACTTTTCTTTCATGGTCCCTGGTGACAGCTGGGCCCCCACCACCTCCCAGTAGACATCCTCTATGACACAGTAAATCCCATGTCAGTTCTTCCTGGCACTTTGTTAAACTTTCCCCTTTCATGAAGCCCTCTTCCTCTTCACTGCCCCCTACACTCTTAGATGATGTCACACCTCCTAGTTCACCCAAAGCAGCTGCCCCTTCCCATTTCCTCACCTCCAGTTCCTTGCCCACCAGTCCATGCACATCTGTGTCCACCCTTGTCTCTTTCTCATCTGTTTCACAGGCAGGTTCTCCTTCCTCCTGAGGCTCATCCCCCAACCCAGTTCCATTCTCTTATACCTTCTTTTTTTTTTTTTTTTTTTTTTTTTTTTGAGACGGAGTTTCCCTCTTGTTGCACAGTCTGGAGTGCAATGGCGCGATAGCTCACTGCAACCTCCACCTCTTGGGTTCAAGCGATTCTCCTGCTTCAGTCTCCCAAGCAGCTGGGATTACAGGCATGAGCCACCACGCCCAGCTAATTTTTTTGTATTTCTAGTAGAGACGGTGTTTCTCCATGTTGGTCAAGCTGGTCTCTAACTCCCGACCCCAGGTGATCCGCCTGCCTCGGCCTCCCAAAGTGCTGGGATTACAGGCGTGAGCCACCATGCCTGGCCCTCTTATACCTTCTTAGGAAACTCAGGCCAATAACTGACCTCAATTCTTTCTCTTTCTGTTGGCTTTTCCCATCATCTGTAAATAACACTCAAGTTTCTCCTGTTTTAAAGATGAGCTCTTTCCTTCAACTCTGCAGTCCTTCCAAGGAAATATTCCTGACCCTGCTCCCCAGTATGGGACATTCACTCACCATACATCCCATTGCACCCCCAGATGACAAGTCTGTTTCCTTGTAGTCCAATTTCTCCCCAAAATACAATGAGCTCCTGAAAGGCAGGAACTTTGTCTTAATCACTATTGAATCCCCAATACCTAGCATTTAATTTGTGGAAGGAATGAAAGAGTAAGGCCTGGGGTCATTGTTAGGCCCAGCAGCCCCATTAATCTCTATGTGCTGGTTACCAGGGCATTCTGCTGTCCTGGGAGCCCAACTGGTGGCATGCTAACTTCACAGTATTACTAATGCTATGCAATTCTTTTCCGTTTATGGAATTTCTGGCTCTATTTAGTTAGTATCTAATTTGTGGGTTAATAAGTCTTTGTCTGAAGGTCTTGGTGTGCAGCACAGGGCTAGGATCACCTTTCTCAGACTCCTCTGAGGCTTGATGTAGGGGGATGAGTGTGCTTTGAGGCACTGACTCTTTGGATAGCTTACAGGATCTCAATCTGGGCATATTACTCATTAGGGTTTATTTACCTTTTGTGGTGGCCTAGAAAAAGCCAAGCTTAATGAAGTGGTTACCAAAAGCCTTTAACATCATATTTTCCACAGAGTTCATAAAAATATTGACAGTGGACTTAACTGCCACATTGCATCTTTCCAAGAGATGAACAAAAATTATATAAAGCATATTGATTTGTTGGGTTTTTTTTTTTTAAAAATAAAGGCTTCATAGCAAGAATCCTGGCATGCTCTCATTCACAGCAGCAGCAAGCAGGCCGTTCCAAGGGATGACGAGTAAGTTGGTCCTGTGGGCTTGGGCATGCCACTGTCCCTCTCTGGGCCTCAGTTTCCTCACTACAAGTAAGAAGCTTGGGGCTGAGCCCAGTGGCTCACACCTATAATCCCAACATTTTGAGAGGCTGAGGTGGGAGGATCACTTGAGCCCGGGAGTTCAAGATGAGCCTGGGCAACAAAGTGAGACCCCTGTCTCTACAAAAACTGAAATAATTAGGAGGGCATGATGGTGCATGCCTGTAGTCCCAGGTAGTTGGGAGGTGGGGGACAGAGAGTGGAAGAGAATCGCTTAAGTCCAGGAGTTTGAGGCAACAGTGAGCTATGATAGTGCCAGGTAACAGAGCAAGACCCTGGAAAAAAAAAAAAAAAGAAGCTTGGGTAAAATGAACTCTAAGGTGGTGACTGTTTCAAAATAAAATGATGCTATTCTTTGTAAATTCACTCCCAGGACAACACACTGCCTTTGCTTTAAAGGGAGGAACAGTATTATGAAATAACATCCAAGGAATATTATTTTTATTTCTAAGATGCCCCACAATCAGCAGATGGCCAGAAAGTTGAGGAAAATGGTGGCAGTGCCCAGGCCCAATTCACATGTTCTTTCATAGTTCATAGCCTGCCTTGCCCAGGGCTCACTTGACTCTGGCTTTTCCAGCTCCCTCTCCTCCTTGAGATGTCTTGCCAGACTTCCTTCCCTGCAGCCTCCTTGGTAGGGAGAATAGAGGATGATCAGAGATGCCTGAAATACCAGGACCGGGCAACCTTAGTGATCATCTGGATAGTGTGGTTTTCAAAATCACCTGAATAAATTATGTTGATACCCAGGCTCCACCCCACACCAACTGATTCTGAATCTCTAAGGTTGAGACTCAGGCCTTGGTATTTTTAAAAAGCTCCTTAGGTGATTCTGATATACGGAGAAGATTGAGACAACTCTTTTGAGCTCCCGGTCCAGACTCTTTCACAATGGTGGCACCCATATGGAGTTAAGTGCTATTGAGTCAGGCAGTCTTGGGCATGAGTCCTGATTGCACCCTCACCACCTGCATGATGCCAGTGATGCTCTTACCCTCTTGGCACTTCAGTTTCCTCAGTCGATAAATGTGAGATGCTTAGCACAATGCCTGGGACATGGTGAATGTTCAATAATTATTAGCTTTCATCATGTCTTTGTCTTTCTTACTATCATCATCATCAGCTTTATCAACATCATCAACACTTTCATTTTATCATCATCGTCAACAACATCATTACAGCCACTGACATCATCTTCCCCCTTTTCTCCTGCTCCTTTTTCCCCTCCCCTCTTCCTCTTTCATCATCATCATCAACATTGTCATCACCACCAACATCTTTATCATCACCAACATCATCTTCTTTGTCTCCTCCTCCTCCTTCTCCTCCTCCTTCTTCTTCTCCTACTCCTCTTTCTTCTCCTTCTCTTCCTTCTCCTTTTCTTTCTTCTCCTTCCCCTCCTCTTCCTCCATCATCATCCTCATCATCCTCATAGCTATCAGGAGGGCCTGATTCAGCCCATCTTAGAATATGATCAGGCATTTGTGTCTCACTTACCAAGCCTCAGTTTCCTCATCTGGAAAATAACAGCAGTAACAATATTAGCATTTATTCACTGGCTACTGTGTGTCAGGCATTATTCTAAGTGCTTTATATGAGGAAGGCAAATTATTGTCATCCCCATTTTCCTCAGAGAAGGAAAAGGAGACACAGAAAGGTTAAGTAACGTTTCTGCCCAAAGTGGTGCCTCTAGGAAGCAATTTTAAAATGGGGGTGAAAATAATTGTACTGATCTCATGGGGCAGTTGTGAAAATTAACTGAGGTGTAGACATAAGTACCTGCTACCCAGCATAGCACTGGCAAGTGATCAATGTGCATTCTCAGATCCCTCAAACAGGTGCTCAGGGCCTGCACTGGACAGAGAGTGACTGCCCCTCCTTCTCACTCCCCCACCCCACATACATACACTACCTGTCAGTGGAGCCTGAAATCCCAGGATAAACTGCATATCCAGTGGGGTCAGAATTCTATAGAGAGAAGAAAAACATGCTGCATCCCTTTCCCCACCTCCAACCATCATCCCCTGCCTGATCCCTGACCCACCTGACTCATCCACATGCTCACACACATGCATAAACCTTTCTAGAGTGACACTAGACCTGCTGGGAACTAAGAGTGAAAGGGAACTGGAGTCCTTGATGTCACCCAAGGGTCAGGTCCTGCCTCCTGCAAGGATGGGTTCCTGTGCCTGAGTCCTCTCCCTTGGATAAAGCAAATGTGCTAGGCCAAGCATGGTGGGTTCTACCCACCATTCAGCCCTCTTTCTTGCAGATGACGGAAACCAGTTTCATTCAGGTGGCAACACATTTAGTCCCTAGGAATGAGAACTGGTTCAACTGAAATCATTCACTCACGGTCACTCCATTTTCTTGTCAGCATTGATGTGAGGCGCCACAAGACCCCACTCTGGTCCATGAGATGTTAGGGGAACTCTCTGGGTGTTTCTGGAAGACACTGTCCTGCCTGATTAGAGGTGAGGGCAGCATGAGGAAGAGTGCTTGTGCCCCACCCCTCACCCCTAGCCTCCTGCTCTAGAAGTCGTGTAGTGGAGCAGGGCATGGAGCCATGAAGGGGAGGCCCAGGGAATCAGACACACTGACTCTTGCATCCTGACACTGAACTCCCGTCAAACCCAGAACACCTGCCTCCAGACCTGCTGTGACAAAGTGGTAGGTAAGTGTAGACCCTGGGGTGACATCACCTTAGAACCAGTCAAATTCTGGCTCTACCACTCACATGAACTCAGGCAGAGTGCTTAATATGCTGAGGCTCAGTTTCTCCATCTGTAGTAGGAAGACCATAATAGGACCTCCCTCATAGGGATGATGTCAAGATTAACTATATGAATATATAGAAAGAAAGCATCTAGAACAAAGGCTGGCAGGTAGCGAATCCTCCACTGGGGTTCCCTGTGAGTATGTGAGATCATTAAATCTTTATTATTTAAACCACAAACACTTCCATTCTTCCATTCTTGCAACCCAAATACATCCTAATTGATACAAATGCCTAATGTCTATTAGTTTCTTGCTTCATTTCACAGTAGTCAGTTGAGCTGAAGCTGAAGATTCTTCCTTGGTAACAGAATCCTTTTAATTAATCAGTCAATAACTATTTATTGGGGGTCAGCAGACGCAAGAGTCTTTGAGAGGTATAAAGACACATCTCTGCCTTGGGCATACAATGATGAACATGCTGGCAAGATCCTGTCCTCTCTCTCACAGGGGAGACAGACCAAACAAGTCTGTGCACAAACAGGTAAAATAATGGCAAATTGCCCTAAGTGCACCAGAAGACCCAAACAGGACGTGCTGGTAGACAATTGAAAAAAAGGCCACTTTGGGAAGAAGCAAGGAAGGTCCGCATGAGGAGGGTGGCATCTACTGATGGTCTTACCAGGGTGCGACAGCTAGTCCTCCAGTAGGAAGAAGAGGTGGCCTTGGGTAGAAGGAAGCAAAAGTGTCATGGGAGAAAAGAAAAGGCTGAAAGAGCAAGTGGCATCATCTCCAAACGCTAACTAAGGAATTGCCTGTAGTGTTGCTTAGACCTCCAACCAGCACTGGGACTGCAGTGACTAAGCTATTTTAAAGCTTTCACTCTGTTCCAGAAAATCTTAGAAATCTTAAGCTGTAATAGAAAAGATGATGAGAAATTTTAGGAGACTTTAAACAGCTTACAGAATTAAAAACCACCCTCAAATCCAGCATGCACACATGCCCTGAGAAATGTCAGCTGGAAAGCAATTTACATTGAAGCTATGCGGGGTCAAAGTGGGAGGGGTTGGTTTAGCTTGAGGTGGCCATCCACAGACATCCCAACATGGCTAGTGACAGGGGCTGGCCGCTCAGAGAGTGTTACAGGAGGGCCAGTGCCTCTCCCCATCAAACAAGAATGCAAAATCCTCCACCTCATTGCACATGAAAAGTTCAGTGAGAGTTTGAAGATATTACGACAGGATTTCTGGAAGCCAAGTAAAAACGACCTTGAAAATAAACCACATGCTGATGCTAATTAATCTTAGTTCCTGGCTCTTTCCGATCAGACCCTGAACTATAATCCATCTTCATTACACTTCTTTTAAAGCAAAAATGGTGCATTTCCTCAAGTCTAATTAAGGAAGGAACATTATAAGGCCTAAGGTCATAACTCTCTTTCTGTCATAACTCTCTTTCTGTGCATGTTCACACACACACACACACACACACACACATACACACACAAATGCTTTAGAAAACTCTACATGACCTGTTTACTGGCAACCTTGGGTAAGCCACTTGACATCCCAAGGATGAATGAGATGGCCAAGTGGGGTGCCATCACAGTGCATGTCACTGTCAGCCAGTAGCCCTCCCCACTCAAGCTCCCCCACCTTGCACACATCCACCCACCATATTCTTCTGCATACAACTGGTGGGCAGCCAGGGGCTCAGGGAAGGGCTGCCTGGTCCCCAGCCTCAGAGAATGAAGCAGAAGTAGTCTAAGCTGGGTGTGGCCCCCAATTGCTCTTTGACAGTGATTGGTTTTAGGATGGCATTTGACCCAATTCCTCTGACCATTGAGACCAAAGGAAAGGTCTGTTGGGGGTTTCCAAGAGAGCTTCTCTTCCATGAAAAAAGTTATAATCCCTGAATGGTTGAGTTGTGTGAAGGTGAGATGCTTATCTCTGCAGCAGCAGGCAAGGTGCAGAACTAGTGACCACAGAGGGGAAAACTACCTGCCTGTGTGCACCCACCAAGATGTTCCTTGAGTTCAGGAGAACTTGCGAAGAAAGTGTTGGGATGGAGCTGTGTTATCTCTGAGGACTTGGCTGGTTGCCATAGTCTAACCGCAAGATTTTCACTTGGGATCCTGAGAAAAGCGTGGGATGGTTCAAGACCCATCTCTGAGTTGGACTTCACATTGTGGGTGGGGACATAGCTGGGGTGATATTTGAGAGTCTGTTGGTAGGTGTTTCCCACCTTGGGATGGGTCCTTGCCATGGGCACGCTCTTCACCCCCATTCCTAACACCACCCCACAACCCTAGATGAATCATGAGGTAGATATGCGTTTTCCCAATTGTTGATGATTGGAGGGTTCCTCCAAGCCTCCCAAAGATTTTGTTCCTCCAAGTCGATGAAGCTATTGACCATTAAGGGGCTTGTGTGAGATTGTCTGGAGTCTCATTCTCATTCACCCATGCCCTCTCTGCTCCTCACCCACCTACCCATCCCATTTCCCACTTATCACTGCAGTTCCTATCAGTCAAACCCTGGAAGGATTCTAATTCCAGTTCTAGCCTAAATAACACCAACAATTATACATCGTGGAGAGAGATATATCAGCCATTGAATTTCCTGCTTGGAATATGTAATAATCCATTCAGATGGTTCCTACTCATCACATGACCAGCTCAGTCCAAAGGCAGTGGTCTCAACCAGCCCTTCTCATTAAGAGAACACCACCATTGGAGTTTAGAATGTGTCCGAGTACATAAGCATGTGTGATGCCCTTAGAGACTATATTCACTCATGTATACTTGCATGTATTCACATGCATAGTGAGAGACCCAGTCAGGGAATAATGAACACTGGGGCAGGGGGCTGTTGAGCTGCCACAGCCAGAAGATATTAGAGGGTGAAAGGACTTCAAAGGTCAGCAAGACTAACTTCCTCTATATATAGATGAGAAGCTAAATTCAAGAAGGAAAGGGTCCTGGCCAGAGTCCCAAAGCTCTGGGCATAAAATAAGTAAAAACAAGTGAGTTAATAGTGGTGTTAAGGATGCTGGTTTCCTGCATAGTAAAGTGGTAGGAAAGACTCTGTACACTGTCCAAGGTGAAGCCTTGCTGGTGTGGTAGAAGTCCACGAGGTACTATAGACACTTCTTGGTTGGCTCACTGAAACTCCCCCTTTGGTGGTGGACACAGCCAGACATTTCAAGGTGGGCTCAAAGGCCATGTCTCTGCTACATGATCCTGCCACTGGCCACAGCTGGATGCACGACCCCAGGTGGGTCTGGCACATTCTGCTTCTTGGGAATTTGACATCTACTTGAACATCTATGGGCTGGAAATCTTTTGGGCTGTGTTGTGTTCATGGGAGCCCAGTGAAGAGAGGATCCGGACACTCCTGCTACTAAACTATCAGGGGTAACCCCATTTCATTCCAAATCTTAGTTGTTCAAGCCTTCCTTTGATTTCCGAGGTACTCCCATGGACCTTCTAACAAATTACTGTCCTTTTTTTCTTTGCCCAAGCTAGTCAAAGGGGTTTCTGTTGCATGTGACCAAAAATAAAACAAAAAAGCTAAACTAATGGACAAGACAGTTCTGGTGTTCCCTGGGTGCCCTAGTTTGCTGCTTCTTGGATAGCACATCTGAGAGGTCCATACTGAACTAAGTAGAGTCACATGGCCTTAAATCTATGACTCCTGTTTACAGGGACAGAATAAGTAAATGGATAAGGCTACAAAAGCATCATCAACCTAACATTTTGGAGAGCATGTTGAGTTTTATTGAGAATATTTAACAGTCCCAGAAAGACAACAGTCTATCCAGAAGATAAGCTCAGGGAGAAAGGACCAGGGAATGGGTCACCCATTCAGAGACCTCTGGCCAGATCTCCAGTCTCCAAATCCAGAATTCTCTCCATACCCCACGCACCACAGCTCCAAGCGTTAGGAGACTGGATCTTTAATCTTTATTCAGCCACAAACTCACCTGGTAGCCTTAAACAAGGCACTTTGTCTCTCTGGAAACAATTTTCTCCTCTGTAAAATGTAAATGTGGAAATAAATTACTCCCAAGTTCCTTCATAACTATAAATCCCCCAATCCTATTAAATCAGTCATCAGAAATCTGCTTATTCCTATTTGGGTACCAATTCCAAAAATGGCCCTTCTACAGTGGGTAACATTCCCAAACAGATTATTATCCTGCCCTTAGCTAAGGCCTCTGGTAGAGAGTCTGCAAGATGGGTGGAGACAAACCCCTGCATGTTATTGCATGACCAGGTTTGGGATTCATTGCTCTGGCTTTGGCCATGTTCTGCACATGCCCCTTGCAATATGAACTGGAGGAGGATTTGCACTTGAAAAGGAAATGACCTTTGTTTGACCTCCAAATGATCTTTGCTTCTTATTATTCACACCTTGTGTAGTTCTTTCTTCACTGAGTCAAAGCTGATGTGTGTGACCAAAAGAATACTATGGAAGTGGTGGTATGTGATTTCTGAAGCTAGGTTATAAGAGACATTGTGGTTCCACCCTTGTCCTCTTGGATCACTTACTCTGAGGAAAGTCAGCCACCATGTTGTGAGGACACTCAAGCATTCCTGAGGACAGGCTCATGTGAAGGAAGAACTGAAGCCTATCACCGACAGCCAGCACCAACTTGTCAACTAGGTGAATAAGTCGCCTTGGGAGCAGATCCTTCAGATGACTGCAACCCTGATCAACACCTTGACAGCATCCTCATGAAAGATTCCAACTCTCTCATGAGTTCTGCTCATGAGAGATGAGCAGAACTACCCAGCTCAGCCACCCTTGCATTTCTGACCCACGGGAACTGTGAAAGACGGTAAACGTTTATTGTCAGTTTAAGCCACTTAGTTTTGGGGTAATTGATCACACAGCAAAAGATAACTAATGCCATCTCTAAAAAGATTAACATGAAAATTAATCATTTAACATGAAAATTAGAAATTCTGATAAAAGTAACAAAAATCACAGGACTGTTATAGTATTTTTTTCTTCTAAAATCCCAAAATACTTTCAAATACTTGTCATGATTTTCCCTGAGAGATTATATGAGGTAAGGAGAAATCTACAAGAGACTCAGTCTCTCTTCTTGCTACCTGAGAAATTTGTACATTGTTTTTAAATTATAATAGGTTTGGCAAAACATTGGTAAGCTGGTGGGTGCTTAGCAGTTCACTCTGTTATTCTCTTTACTTTTGTGTACATGGGGAAAATGCTCTGTGCTCAAAAAGATTATCATCGTTAAGCCTTTCCTAAGGTGGGTGGGAGGGGGAGAGCTCCTGGGCTATAGGCCTTGCCTGTCTCTCCATCCTTACCCGCTAGCCCTTTACCCTAGTCTCACTTCACCCCAGTCACACTGGCTTCCTCGCTGCTCCTTGACACACCAAACTCACTCCCCCATACAGGTCTTTGTACCTGCTGTCCCCTCTGCCCCTGGCAGAGGACCCCTGCCTTTGGCTGTCCACCAAAATCCTGGACACATGACCAGAGTACATTTCCCAGGCTCGCTCGCAGGTGGGATGACCATGTGACCAAGTTCACGCCAATGGAACATGGGCATAAATGGTACCTGTCACATTCAGACTGGGCCATAGAAAACTCCCAAGAGACTCTTTCAAGCTCTTTTCCCTTCCAGCCAACCAGATGGTGATGCCGAGATGACCTTGGAAGCCAAAATTTAAAGATGGTAGAGCAGCCATCAGCCTGGGTCCCTGAATGTGTGCAGAGAGGACAGCTAGCCCGTCAGCCTAAACACCAGCTCTGAAGGATTGTTGATAAGTCACCATGTGCCTTATTTTTGAAGTCATTTGATTTTGAGGGTCTAGTTGATGCATTGGCTCAGCCTGTAACTAACACAAGCCACATTGCTCTTGTCATTCAGACCTGCCCAGATGCCACTTGCTCAAAGCAGCATTCTCTCTCTCAGCCCACCTGAGTTGGCCCCTCCCTACCCTCCATAACGTCACCCTGCTTCCTGTTGTTGCGTAGCCCTTCCCCCTGCCTGAAGTTACGTATGTGCATGCTTAGCTGTTCACGGCCTGTCTCCTCTACTAGAAAGTGCACTCCACGAAGGCAGGGATGTTGCCCATATCCCCAGCAGCACCCAGCACATAATAGGTGCTTGCCCAGTAAATATTTGTTAAAAAAAAAAACAATATTCATTTGTTTATGGCCAATCTGGGATGTCCTAAATCATAAATGGACTTAACAAACTGGTTTGGAAACCCAACGGGGGGGCCACGTCTTCTGGGGAGCTTAATAAAAACACCAGTGTCTGGGTTCTGTGCCCAGAGATTCTGAACCTGTCAAGTTTGGGTACTGGGTGGAGACCAAGCCCTGCGTGTTATTGCATGACCAGGTTTGGGATTCATTGCTCTGGCTTTGGCCATGATCTGCACAAGCCCCTTGCATATGAACTGGAGGAGGATTTGCACTTGAAAAGGAAATGACCTTTGTTCGATCTCCAACTGCCAAGAAAGATGGAGACCAGCTCCTAGATTAAGGCAATGCTCCACATGGGAGAGTGAGCATTTATTTAGGATATAGATTTGGGCATAATGGACATAGCCTTCAGCTGTCTGTAGCCTGAGCATGGTAGATGTTCCTTTCTCTTTGAAGTAGAAGTCTGAGCTGGGAGAGCAGCTGGACCTAATCTCCTCCCATCTTGCTTTCTGCCATCTGTAGAGCATGGCCACCACTCACATGGTCAAGGAAGCTCTTCACCATGTCCAACACCCAACCAAAAGGGCTGGGGAGAGGCATGTGCTCCTTCCCTCTATGGGCATGACCCAAACACTGCATATATCACTTCTCCCCATATTCCAGCAGCCAGAATTTCGTCACACGGATGCACCTGGCTGCAAAGAAGCCTGGGAAGTAGAATGTCTCTTCTGGGCAACACAAGCTCAGCTGAAAGTTCTCTGACAGGGGAAGAAGGAAAAATGGATATTAGGGGACAAGTCGCCACCTCTGCCACAGAGATCATGTGGCTGCTGCAGAGAAGAGAACAGAACCAAACGCTGGTACTTAATTACAGGCCTAGGAGTCAGACTGTTGATGCAGCCTTAAGCCTCTGCCCTCGGGCCTCACAGGGAGACAGCTGTTGTCTCTACAACTGAGTGTACCACAGTGATGGAACGGCCTCCAGAAGCACAGAGGACAGTTGACCAACTCATTCAGAGGATTGAGAAGGCTGTTCCCAACAGACACACATTTCCACTGGTCCCAGACAGGTGAGTGGGAACTTGGCAGGGAGGAGCTCAAGCAAACAGCCCGCCTCAGCAGAGGCCAAGCATGCAAATGTCAAGAAGCCTAGAAAAGCCTGCGGTCTTCACGACAGGGAGAGAAATCCTGGATTTAGGTTCCAGAGAACTTGGGGGAGGAGCAGGAGATGCAGCTGGTAAGGCAGGTGGGCCGACTCTCAGGAGCCAGGCTGCCTGGGTTCAAATCCCAGCTCCCTACTTCCTAGCTGTGTGAGCTTGGCCATGTCAACTGAAACTCTCTGAGCCTCAGTTTCCACCTCTACAAAATGGAAATGAATAACGCACCTCCACCAAAGGCTTCTGTGAGGGTTAAAGGGGTCTACAGAGGGGAAAACCTTGGGGGAGTGCCTGGCCCAGCATGCCTGTAAGTGCCGACTGCTTTCGTTATTGCCCAGCAAGGGGATTGGCTTGATCCTTGGTTTCTTAGGGAAGTTTCTCTAGAAAAGTCCAAGCTGTCTTCGCTGTACTAAGGAGGAAACAGAATCTCACCCCCACACCCGCTTATGTCTAGAAGGCAAAAGAGGGCAGTTGGCCGTGTGGGTTTGGGGAAGCCCAAGCAGGGAGAAAGGGGGACAGTGCCCATCTGCTCTTCCTTTTCTCCAGAGAGCTTGGTGACTTCTTGGGGGTTGGCTTCCTCATTGCCTCCAGCTGTCCTTACCAGTTTTACAAAAGAGAAAATATCAGCCTAGACCGAGTGTGGCCCCAACACCCAATGAGAGTAACCCTGGCCGGCTCTGCTGCTATTTGTAGAGCTCAAGACCTTCCCAGAAAGACGAATGGCTGGCACCTCTTCATTCATTTGCTGGCTTTCCTGCTCACACTCAGCCAAAACTGAAAGTCATGGAGCCCTGGCTTTTGGTGGTGTTTGCACTGGGTGTAAGGAACCTGCCACTGTAGGGTGGGCAAGAGGAGGGTAGTGCCTACTTTGTGATGCAGAAAGAACAAGGCCCTGGGGTGAGAAAGAGCCAGGTTCAAAGCCCACACTCCCTCATCGGCAGAGAGTGACTGAGCCTACATTAGGAGCCAGGCACAGGGCTTTAGGGCCTCACAGTTTGTTTTTAGGGAGAGAATGAGATGATATAACCTACAGATGATCAGTAAAGGGTATCGGTTGTCATTCAGCACCCAGAGAGGTGATTATCCAACTACTCCAAGAAGGAGAGCCATGCCTGGGTGCATCGTCATCTTCTGCCGTGAGTTTCCCAATACCCTACTGGATGGGGATTCAGGCCTTCATGACTCTACCTGACCAGATACAGCCTAAATGGCTATCCCCTGCATGGGCCACCCAAATGGGCACAGAGGAGGGGGAGAGAGGGAGCAATCAGGGCCAAGGAGACACTGTACACAATGACATTAAACAGCCCACAGGGCGCTTGTGTCCCAGCCAACTGCCATTGAATGCCAGCTCCTGCACTTTTCAGAGAGACCCTCTCCCGCCTGCTCCAGGGTGGGCAAAGACACAGCCCCCGAGAAACTCTATAACCAGGCTATTTCACTCCATTACCAAGTTTTACAGCAACTAAGGGAACAGGCTTTCCACATGCACATTCTCCCCAGTGAGCAATAAAGAACGCCCAAACACCAGAGCCAGTGTACAGTGTGTTAGAAGTTTTCTGTCCTCCTCAGACTCTGAGTGTCTGCCAAGTCCCATAAATTAGGCCAACGTCTCTGGGCTCAGGAGCCCGGCAAAATGAGTACCACGAGCAGCCAGGGCAACCAAGTCCAGAGAACAGAAAAAACCAATGCAGCATCAGCCTGGCCTTGGGGAAGGGGAGCTGCTGCTCCTGGAACTTCCCTGAGCCACCCTCAAGAGAGTTCTGGGCCACTCTGCAGGTCTCTATGCTAGTGGTTTTCAAAGGGCTGTCCCTGGACAGGCAGCATCAGCATCACCTAAGAACTCACTAGAAATGCACATTCTTGGGCTCCACCCCAGACCTATTCCATTAGTAGCTCTGGGGCTGAGACTGGCGATTTCTGTTTTGACAAACCCCGCTTTAACCAGCCCTCCAGGTGATTCTGATGCTCACTGAAGTTTGCGAACCACCGCATTAGAGGCTTTCTTAACTGAAATCAGCAACACATTGGCTGTGTGACAGCCAGGATAAGAGGAGGCAATAGAGGCGCCAAGACGGCAAAATCGAAGGAAGCGTTTTGTTTTGTTTTGTTTTTGAGACGGAGTCTCACTCTGTCACCCAGGCTGGAGTGCAGTGGCATGATCTTGGCTCATTGCAAGCTCCGCCTCCCAGGTTCATGCCATTCTCCTGCCTCAGCCTCCCAAGTATCTGGGACTACAGGCACCCGCCACCACACCCGGCTAATTTTTTGTATTTTTAGTAGAGACGGGGTTTCACCGTGTTAGCCAGGATGGTCTCGATCTCCTGACCTCGTGATCCACCCACCTCAGCCTCCCAAACTGCTGGGATTACAGGCGTGAGCCACCATGCCCGGCCTTTTTTGGGTCTTACTCTGTCATCCCAGCTGGAGTGCAGTGGCACAATCACAGCTCACTGCAGCCTCAAGAGACTTCCTTTTTGATAACAGGCCATAGCTACCATTTATTGGTGTTGAGAGATTGTAATGGTTGGTAGGTGGAGACACTTGGGGTGGGAGAGAGTTGGAACCTGGGAGAAGTTGTGATCCACAGAAACCAAACTCCATCTCGCTCACCTTGGGACAGGTGGGAGGCTGAGCAGGCAGATGAACAAGGCAGGGACGGCTGGGGAGGTCACACTGAGGAAGGGCAGTGACAGGGCTGGGCATGGACGCATTGCCTCAACCACCCGCTTTGGAGCATGCCCGTGCCAGGTGCTTCACACCCATGCTACCACTTGACACCCACGGCCAGCAGGGAGCAAGGTACCATAGCCTCATTTTGCCAAGGAGGAGGCTGAGGCCCTCAGAGGCTGAGTCATTTGGTCAAACTCGTCCAGCGGGCTCCTTCCCATCATCCCTGCCCTACTGCCCCCCTGGGTGGTGGCTGTGGGGAAATCAAGGAGGAGCAGGAAGGGAAAGGGGAGCTGCCCAGGCTGTTGTCATGGCAACAATTCTATGCTGCACCTTCCCTTGATGGTTTCAAGTGTCTTTTCTTCTCTCCACAAAACCCCGCATTCTCAACGACTGTTTTGGAAGCCAAAAGCTGGAACAGCAACTGTTTCTTTCCCTTCGTGTCCTGCTCAATCAATCCTCACCAATGAGGCTGGGTGGACTCACAGGAGAAGGTCCAGTGCCCGGCAGGAGGAAGGAAGTTCAGACCAAGAGCTCACAAGATGAACTCACCCTTCCTTTCCTGAAACAATTTTAGAGCTGGGAAGAACCTCAGAGGCTATCCTCTCTAACCCTCTCGTTTCATACGCGAGGCTCAGGGAGGGAAAGTGACTTGCTCAGGGTCACACAGAAGATTGGTGACTAAGCTGGGGCTGCGACCTGGCCCCAGCACTGCCCCAAAGTGAGAAACACACTTGACCTAGCATTGCTGCCTGTGGCTCTCTCCACAAGCTAGGTGGAGAGGGTCACTCTCTCTGCTGTGGGTTTTTTTTTTTTTTTTTTTTTTCATTATTCTATCATCTCATCTATGCTGCATCAATGTCAACGTCTTCATTCCTCCTTCTGAAACACGAGCTGTGTGTTGGTCAGCGTGGGCTTATTCTGTGGGAAAAAGCCACCCCCAAATCTCAGTGCTTTAGCCCCTACAAGATTATGCTTCTCTCCTAAATCCCTCCCAAGTGGGAAGTGAGTCTTCCATGAGCCATGTGTTTGAGTCCTGGTAATGTCTGCCACAGCCCATGACAGAGCCCGTGTCTTCACTGTGTGTGACATATAAAGTCACTTGGTAACTACTAGAACGTGCAAACAAACAAATGACACAAAACAAGAAAGGATCGGAGGGGACAAGGGAGGGATGAGATTTCTCCCTGGGCCTGACTCTCCTCTGCTTGGTGTTATTTAACCCTCAGGAATCGGGAGAGTAGAAAGAGCCAGAGACTCAGAGTCCAGAGGCATGTGGTAAGCCCCCACTCGGCCACCAACCCGGTTGTGTAGCTTTAGACATGTCATTTCCCTTAGCTGGACAGTTCTCCTACCAGTAGAGGACACTGTGGGGTTATTAGAAGATAAGTCCTAAGGTCTCTGACTGTTGTGACATTGTCCATCCCATACACCACCAGGAAGAACCCACAGGACCAGCCCTGGCTGTGTGAGTGAGCAGTTGCCACTTTAATGGAACAAATTCAAGTTCAAAGACACGCCTTAGAGAAAAACGACCCAAAGTCCATATATCGTAGACTCTGAGTTAATCACCATTATGACTCAAGAATTCCTAAAGGTAATGTCAAAAATATGTTCTTTGTCTCAAAAGGATAGGCATTATTTAAAGAGGCACTGGAAGTTGTACCCTCTCCGGGCCCAGCTCCTCGGGGCAATTCTGTACCAGGCCCAACACCATGTGCTTCATATAACTTTTATTATTTAGTCCTCACAACCCCTTGAAAGCAACTGTAATTTCTCTCATTTTGCAGTAAGAAACTGAGGCTCAGAAAAGTTAGGCTCACGCACTGGGCAAGTGTGATTTGAGCCCCTACTGGGTGCTGGCATTGTTCTAGGCTCTAGGGTTATTTCTGTAAACAAAACAGATCAAAGTCTCTGCCCCCTGGAGACAACATTCTAGCGAGAAGACAGTACTAAATATTCAGTTGGTGCAAAAGTAATTGCGGTTTTTGCCATTACTTTGAATTACTTTGAATACACCCCTATCACCCTTCCCTGCTTCTCCAAACGCTATTTTTCACTCGATCTTAGCCAAAAGGCCGAGAAGCCATCAAATGCTATTTTTCTTCATAGTATTTACCAACCAGTGGGTCAGGTTGCCAAGCTGCCACTGGTTGGCAAATGCTATGAAGAAAAATCGTTTGGAGAAGAAGGGAAGGGTGATAGGAGTGTATATAGCAAGGCAGGTGGGAACAAGAGGAGGGGCTTCACTCGGGTGTCACCTGCATCAGGACTGTGCAGGGGTGACAGTGAGAGCCATGCGGCCACGTAGAGAAGGGTGTTTCTGCAAAAATGTGCTGTAAATGCAGGGCCTGAGGCTGCACAGAGAAGCAACCATGAGGCAGGTGCCCCCAGAATAAAATGAGCAAGGGGGAGGACAGTAGGAAGTGACGTCAGAGAGGGACAAGGCTAGAGGGAGCAGGGCCTGAGTGCAACGGAGGCCTCTGGAGGGTTCTGAGCAGAGGAGAGGCACAGGCTAACTTGGTTTTTGTCAGGATCCTGCAGGCTGCCATATCTGTGTAGAAGCAAACTGAAGGGTGTGGTTAAGAGGGTGAGAAGGCCAGATGTGGTGGCTCATGCCTGTAACCCCAGCACTTTGGGAGGCTGAGGCGGGCGGATCACCTGAGGTTGGGAGTTCGAGACCAGCCTGACCAACACGGATGAACCCTGTCTCTACTAAAAATACAGAAATTAGCTGGGCATGGTGGCACATGCTTGTAATCTCAGCTACTCGGGAGGCTGAGGCAGGAGAATCACTTGAACCAGGGAGGCAGAGGTTGCAGTGAGCTGAGGTTGTTTCATTGCACTCTAGCCTGGGCAACAAGAGTGAAACACCATCTCAAAAAAAAAAAAAAAAAAAAGAGGGTGAGAAATAAAAGTGGGGGCTTAGGCTAGAGCAACAGCAGTGGAAGTAGGAGATACAGGGAGGAAAAAAGCCCAAGTGTTTCTCCTGCTCACTACTCTCATGCAACACAACACTCTGACACCAGATTCTCCAGCGGATGCCAGCAGGTGTCCTCTAATTCAATTCATTTTTGACACCATCTACCTGGGGGTAGCATCAGATCCCACAGGGTGAGTGCTCAGCCCTTCAAGACTGCCCCAACTTCAGACACCAGTCACAATTAGTATACTGTCACCCACACTTCTGACCAGCGAGTTATAAATTGCGGCTTTCCATGACCCCTTCCTTAGGTTCAATTAATTTGCTATAACAGCTCACAGAATGCAGAGAAACACAGTTGCCATCAAGAAAAAAAAAAAAGAATGCAGAGAAACACTTTACTTACTGTCTTAGTCCATTTGCATTGCTATAAAGGAATACCTGAGACTGGGTAATTTATAAAGAAAATAGATTTACTTTGGCTCATAGTTCTGCAAGCTGTTCCAGAAGCATGGTGCCATCATCTGCTTCTGGCGAGGGCTTCAGGAAGCTTCCAATCTTGGCAGAAGGAGAAAGGAGGTGGGCATCATATGGTGAGTGGGGAGGAGGTGCCAGGCCTTTTTAACAATCAGATTTTGGGGGAACTAACAGAGCAAGAAGTCACTCATTACTACGAGGGCGAGGAAGGCACGAAGCCATTTGTGAGGGATCCACCCCCATGATGCAAACGCCTCCGACCAGGCCCCGCCTCCAACATTGGGGATCAAATTTTAACAAAATGTGAAGGGGACAAATATCCAAACTCTATCACTTATGCTTACTGGTTTCTTAATAAAAGATACAGATGAACAGCCAGATGGAAGAGATGCACAGGGCAAGGCATGTGGGAAGGGGCACAGAGCCTCCATGCCCTCTCTGGGTGCACCATCCTCCAGGCACTTGGACATGTTCAGACCTCTGGAAGCTCTCCCAACCCGAGTTCTTTGGGGCTTTTTCAGGCTTCATTACACAGGCATTATTGATTGCTTCATTAGCCATTGCTGATCAACTCAACCATCAGCCCCTCTCCCTTCTCCAGAGATGGGGGTGGGGCTGAAAGTCCCAACCGTCTAATCCTGCCTTGGTCATTCTAGTGACCAGCTCCCATCCTGAGGCTATGCAGGGGCTGCCAGCCATGGGGGGTGGGGAGGACAAATATGTATATTATTAGAAATCACAATATCACAGGAAGTGATGAGGAGTGGATATATTCTGGATATAGTTTGAAGATAAATGCACAGCGTTTGCCTACAGATTGGATGTGAGTATTAGAGAAAGAGGAAAGTCAAAGATGACTTCAGGAAGTCTTTGGTCTGGCAACTGGGAAGATGGTGTTCTGGTTACCTCTTGCTGTTTACAAACTACCCCAAAACTTAGTGGCTTAAAACAAGCATTTATTTTGCTCATGATTTTGTGGGCCAGGAACTAGGAAAAAGCTTGGCTGGGTAATTTGTCTCTGCTCCATGTGACATTAGCTGGGGAGGCTGGGGTGAAGATTCTACTTCCAAAATGGCGCCCCCCACACACACACATGCAGCACCTGGGCGCTTCCTAGAATCTTAGTCTCTCTTTCTCTTTCTCCCTCCCCAGCCCCATCCCCTTCTCTACTGTCTCATCCTCTAGGGCTCCTCTATGTGGCTTGGGCTTCTCACAGCACGGTGGTCCTTGGATAGTCCCACCTCTTACATAGGGATGGCTGGCTTCCAGGTGGAAGTAGAAGCTGCCAGGCTGGTTAAGGGCTGTGCCCCAAACTGGCACCACATCACTTCTACCCTACTGTATTATTCAAAGCAGTCACAGGGCCTGGCCTGTTTCAAGAGGATGGAAAAATTACCTCTACTTCTTGATGGGAAAGTGGCAAGGTCACACTGCAGAAGGACATGTGAGATGAGGGATATTACTGTGGCCACTTTAGGAAAATACAATCTGGCACTGATGAAGTTAGCATTTTGTAAGATGGGGAAGACAGCAAGGGGTGGAAGAAGGGGAGATCAGAGCTCAGTTTTAGGCAGGTTGAGTCTAAGAAGCCCAAAGGTTACCTAACAGTGATGGAGAATGAGGTCCCAAACCTGCCTTCAGCTACCTACCAGCCCACCCACCCATCCGCGGGGCCTTTTTAGGACAATCAAGACCTCTGCAGTTGCCCTTTCAGTGGCTGAACTGTTTCAGAGAACGTTTATAGCTTTCTGCTGGGGAGGACAGGAGAATGGAAATAAAAGGGGAGATGAAGACAGCTTCCTCCCAGACAATGGCAGGCCATTTGTAGTTATCATAAACCCAGCTGCTGGCTCCATCCAAGGCCCCAGCACCAAGGTGTTGTGAGAAAGGCTCTGAGTCAATGAGAGGCAGCTGGTTGAAGCATTTCCCAGTTTTTCATATGACTCATAAATTTGTTACATGGTGAGGAAATTCCCTGAAAGCTTTTTGGCAGTCTCATCCAGTCTGACCAGTAGCTAAGAAACACATAACCTTCCAGTTAAGAAAAGGAAAGAAAACACATAAGGCTTTGACTCGGGGCTTAAATGGAGGGTCACTTTAAAAGCTTTCCTTCCACTGAGTTCACAACAGCTTTCTGGGAGAGATCAGGGATTTATTTGGAAGGTTTGTAGTTGCAACAGCCTCCAAGCTGGAGATAGATCATAGGGGTGTCTGTGTGTGTCTATGTGTATAGGCACACGCCTCGAAGACCAAGCCCCTGCCTGGGGCAGACAAAAAGAGACAGGCTCCCCTGGCAGGTCTTTCTCTGAGTGCTGAGAAACGCATGGCCTTCTCCCCAGACACACAGATGGTCAGGCCCACACCTAGCAAAGTCAGGGCCGGGATGCAGCAGAGCTGGGAAGTCAGCCCCATCTCTCCTGTCACTGCCACCGAACACTGTCCACCTTTGGGGCTCATGTGACAGAACAGAGGAGTACAGAAGCCACCGGTCCCTTTCCTCACAGCACAACTTTAGACAAACTGCCCACGGATTAGTTAGAAGCCAGGATGACGGTTACCTTTGAGGACAGTGGGACTAGTATCTAGGAGGGACACAGGGGCGTTTCTGGGGCACTGGTGACATTCTCTTTCTTGTTCTGGGCAGTGGTCAACAGACATGTTCACTTTGTACTAATCCATTGACGTGTTCACCAAATCTAGTGATTCTTTTTTCTTTTTCTTTCTTGTTTTTTGTTTTTGTTTTTTGAGACAGAGTCTCTCACTGTTGCCCAGGCTGTAGCGCAGTGGCATGATCATAGCTCACGACAGCCTCGACCTCCCAGACTCAAGCGATCCTCTTGTCTCAGCCTCCCAAGTAGTTAGGACCACAGGCATGCACCACCAAGCCTGGCTAATTTTTTAAAACATATTTTATAGAGACCGGGTCTCACTGTTGCCCAGACTGGTCTTAAACTCCTGGGTTCAAGCGATCCTCCCACCTTCGCCTCCCAAAGTGCTGGGATTACAGGTGTGAACCACCATACATGGTTCTCTTGTTCTTTTTTAGGCAAATTGCATGCTATTTAATATCTTGGCAGCATATGACTCTGTCAACCAATCTCTTCTCTCAGCTTGCAGGACATGGCTTTCTCTAGATGATGTGTTTACATTTCTATATGTGTGTGATACTTCAGTGAGCCTCAATTTGCTCATCTGTGAAATAGGGATGGTAGTAAACACCTCATGCGGGTGTGATAAGAATCAGAGACACAGATGGAAAGTGTCTGGGGCAATACCCCGACGTGGTAGACACTAGCACCGGCTGCAGCAACACATGACACCGCGTGTTTACATGTTGACCCCCTGTGATGTGACAAGATTGTCACAGTAAGCCATGGCTTCTTCCCTGCCCTCTCATCTACTCTTAACCATTATCCCCAGGGTCCTGCTAGTTATTTGGCATTTGTATGCTTTTGATGGGTTGGAGTTTCAGAATTAAAATTACTAGATCAAAGGGTTAGAAAAAGTAAAAATTTGTATATACTGGTAGCTTAAGTTGCATTAAAAACAGGAACCCTGAAGACCCAGTGAGTGATGCCAACGTCTAATAAAAAGCAGTAAGAACATCCCAGTGGAAGAAACTTCTTGTGCAAAGCAAGGAGGTCCAGAAGCAAGGAAGAGATAGAAAGGCACACAAGCAACAGGAGAACCTCAGTGAGAACAGAAGTGGTGGGACACGAGGGCAGACAGGTAACCCTACAGTTCCTGGTACAGGGTTTGGATTTTACCCGGAAGGCAGAGAGGAAGGCTCTGAGTTTTAAAATAAGTGTCAAGGCTGGAACTGCATTTCAGAAAGAAAGCAGTGTGGAGGGTGGGGATTGAGAGGAGGGGGCAAAATCAGGAAATATTTAGATCATTTTTTTAATTGTGGCAAAATATACATACAAAGTTTAACATTCTAACCATGTTCATGAGTACTGTTCAGCAGTGTTGAGAATATTCACATTGTTGTACAACCAATCTTCAGAACTTTTTCATCTTGCTAAACTGAAACACTATACTCATCAAACTCCAGTTTCCCATTTCCCCCCTTAGATCACTTTGATGGGTCTCATTGACCTAGTGGATGTAGGGTTGAAGCAGAGAGAGAAAAGAGGGGTGACTACCAGGTTTAGGGGTCAGATAGCAGTGCCATTAGATAGCAGTGGTTATATAACTGGTTAGATAGCAGCGCCGTTAACCAATTTAGGGGATACAGGATGTTTCCATTATCTATCGCACATCACAAACCATTCCAAAACTTAATGACTTAAATAGCAAAGCTTTAGGGGTCAGCTGGATGTCTCCTCCGCTGGTCATGCCTGGACTCACTCATTTGGCTGCATTCAGCTGGAGGATCAGCTGGGCTGGAAGGTCCAAGCTGGCCCCACTCTTGAGCCTGGAAGTTGGCACTGGCTGTCACCGGAGACACCTCAGTTCTTCTCCATCTCTCATCCTCCAACAGACTAGACAGCCTTCTTTACATGGCAGCTGGCTTCAGAACTCTCACAATGCCTCTTCTATCACATTCCATGGGTCAAAGTAAGCCACAAGCGCAGCCCAGATTCAGGGGGAGAGGAAGTCAATTTCATATGTCATAGGAACAGCTGCAAAGATGGTGTGGCCCATATGTAATCTGCCACATAAGAGGAGGACCAGGTTTAGCAGGAAAAAAATGAGTTTATGGTCATAGAGATGGAAGCAGAAGTTAAAATTAACTCCAGGGAAGAGATTTCCCCAACCCAAAGGGAACCATAACATTTAAAGGAATTGAAAGGAGAGGTAGGAGAGATGGACCAAAAGCTACAGAGATGGGGTATCCAGGGGTGTAGAAAGAGGACTGGGAGAAAGCTACATCCCAGAAGCTGAGAGAAGAGAGTGGTCAACAGAATCACACGCAGCCAAGATATCAAGTAGCATGCAACTTGCCTACAAAAAGAAAAAAGGATTATTAAATATGGTGATTGTAAAGACCCTAATGATCATGGGAAGAGGATTTTGGTAGAAGGCTAAGAATAGACACCAAAGTGCTCCAAATGGTGAGTCCAAAGGCACTGAATTGATCCTTGTATATCCAGGACATCTCACATGGGCACATGGTAAAAGGATGATTCTTCCCCACTGACATCAGGCTTGACCACATGACCTGCTTTGGCCAATAGGATGTGAATGGAGGTGATGTGTGCTACATCTGAGCAGAGTTTTTAAAGCCACACATGGTTTGATGATTGTCCTCTGTTTCCATCTACCTGGAGAATGGCATGTCCTAGACGGGGGCTGCTACTTCAGCCTGGATCCCAGAATGAATAGGCAGTGTCATGACCAGTGTGCAGCTGACATGGAAGGCTACTGCCATAAACCACTGAGTCATGGGGGTTGTTTTTTAACAAGTATAGCCTAGCAGCAGCTCATTGATATGGACTCAATAAGCATTTGTTGAATTCTATCAACCAGAGACAAAGTCATGGGAGCCCAGAACAAGGAGGGCTTAATTGTGACTGAGGCAATGGTCAGAGAGAGATTCCAGAGAAGGGACTATTTGCACTACCCCCTTGAAGTGTGGCTAGGATTTAGAGAGAAGGGAATTGGGGTAATGGCATATTGATGTCCTAATAATCAAGACCATGCACTTTTGGGTTCTTTTTTGATGTTATAAATTCTGCATAAAAACTTTCGAGTTCCTTGCTTAATGGTATGCTTTGGTTCTCTTTTGAAATATGCTTCAAAAACCTTCAAAAATGGCAAATAGGGTTGGCATATTAATGGCTTGGCCCAGCTTATGCACAGGAGGTCCAAATAAAATTGGAGTTTCACAGCAGAGAAAATAAAGAGGGATCTGAAAAGAGCTCCAGATTCTTGCCTGAAGAATGCTTCTCTCTTTAAGAGACAGACATCTGACACCCAAGAGAAGCTCATCCATAGAAGCTCAGCTCCCTTTGAAACACAGGCAACTAAGACCTTGCAGGAATGGGGGCTGGTTGGCAGGGCTTGATACAGCTCCACTAACAGCCTCCCTCTCCCTTCTCAGGACCTGGCTGGCTCTGAATTGCAGCAGGAAAAGGCATACCGTGAACAGGTTGGAAGCTAAACCCTCTGGAATTCAGAGGATGTGTTCCAGGGCCTTTGGTGAGCACATTTGGTGGGGGAGACTGTGTGCATGTGGGTATTCACACACACACAAGCGCACACGTTCAATTTAGCAGAGGAAGTCAAGGCAAATAGTTTAATCACAACCATCCCTTGAGGCAATTTGAAATAATTTTCTCATTAGAGAATATAACGTGCAGGATGACTAATGTTCAATCAGACGGTAGTTCCAGCCCCTCGCTCACCGCCATTACGCAGCCTCTGCCCTGATGAATGGAGAGGGCTTTCTGTCCTTCCTCTTCAGGGCTGGGATGGTGGCAAGAGTCCGGTGATGGGGAGGGCAGGGGGAAGGGAAGGCAAGGTCTTTTTTTCAAACATGAACATGAGAAATGAAATAATGAGAACCCTTAGGCCTGAGGTGGATTCAATTGAAGCTGGAGACAGCACCCCCTTTTGGGGGATCAGGATGCTGGGGCAGGGCTGTGGTCTGCAGGCTCCACTCTTGACAGAGACCCAGCTGGGAGTCTCCGTTTCTTCCTGTGCTCCCCCTGCCCCTCGTCTTTCTCCCTACTCCACCTCTGCTCTCCCCCTGTCCATCTGTCTCCCTGTCTGTCTCTACTCCAGTCTTTCCTATTCTCTGCATCCCTCACCGTGTCTGCCCCTGGCCACATGGGCCTCTGTTTCTTCTTCCATCTGCCTGTCTCTCCTGGTGTGATGCGTGTGTGACTTTTGGACTCAGAAATGATTTGGGTTTTTCTAAGAAAGCCCTTAAAAATGACCCTGGGCCGGGTGCAGTGGCTCACGCCTGTAATCCCACCTCTTTGGGAGGCCAACGCAAGAGGATTGTTTGAGCCCAGAAGTTCAAGGCCAGCCTGGGCAACATTATAGTGAGACCTGTCTCTACAAAATAAAATAAAATAAAATAAAATAAAACAATTAGCTGGGCATGGTGGCACGTGTCTGTAGTCCCAGCTACTTGGGAGGCAGAGGCAGGAGGATCACTTGAATCCAGGAGGTTGAGGCTGCAGTGAGCTATGATCCTGCCACTGCACTCCAGCCTGGGCAACAGAGTGAGACCCCACCCCAAAAAAAGTAAAAATAAATGAGAAGCCCAGCTTCTCTCATTCCAGTTCAAACCATACCCCAGGATGTTCACATTGAAAGGGCTCTCAGAGATTTCTTGGGGGCCAGGACCCAGGACATCCATGTGGGGCAGCCAGACCCCAGCATCCTGGGTCCCCTAGGTGGAAAGTCCTGGGTGGGGTCCCGTGGCATCTGGTGCAGCCCTGGCTCTCGGGGGCCTTGGGCAAGTCAGCTTCCTGATGGGCCCAGTCCTCTGAACTCACTGGTCTCTTAGAACCCTCCTTGTTCTAGGGTTTTGTGGTGCTGCAGGCACTTCTAACCTTGGTGCTTACAGTATTTGCGATCAAAGATTCGAGTTCAATGAAGGCACACACACCACGTGTCTCCCCTCGACCCCCCACTTCACCCCTTAAAAAACCTTCTATACACTTGTGATTTTAACTAAACTAAAGCCTCAGTGCTCAAGTGGGGTCCAGACCAGTAGCATGGGTGCCGCTGGAAGCTTAGAAATGCAGATTCTCAGGCCCCGCCCTCCAGCCACTCGATCAGAATCTGCACTTTAAGGGAATCCCCAGGGCATGTGTGTGCACATGGAAGAATGAGAGGTGCTGGTCTAAAACGCTCTCATTCCTGGAAGAGGCAGCCATGAGGATATAGAGAGGGCCTGAGATTGGGCCTCAAAAGCAAGCTGTTCCGCTCTGTGCTGGCTGTGTGGCCACAGGAACCTTTTGCCCTTCCCTGCTGGGTTTTTGCATCTGTAAAGTGGATGGCTAGTGCTTGACCTACACACACCAACTATCAGATGGAAGTGAGTTTCTCTAAGTTAATTGGGCACAGCTGGGTGCGCAGTTAACACAGAGGTGTTCACTGCTGCACTGCTTGTGACAGCGGAAAAACGAGACAAAATCTAGATGTCAACCAGTAGAAGATTAATACAAGAACTGGTATACACCCAAACAATACAGGACAGTGCAATTAAGAAGGAAAAAGAACTGTATGTTTGTGATCTATTGCTGAGTAAAAAGGCAGGATTACAGAGCAAAATGGGTAGTGTGATACCAGGCATGTAAGAAAAAGAAACCACACATATAGTTCACGTACGAATGGAAAAGTCTAGAAGGTTATAACCCAAACTGGGTTCACAGCAAACTGGAAGATAAAGGGAACTGAACTGGGAGCAGGGAAGAGGCTACTGCTTTCTCAATATTGTTTTAAATCTTATTAAAATGGATTAGAAAAAAATTAACATGCTATATAAATTTGAGATATTATTACCATCATTATTTATAAGGTAGACATAGTAGCGCTAGTGACTTTAGCCAGGAGAAATAATACATGCAAAACGTCGTGTCCCGCCATTTAGAGTTCCTAACCTCTGCCCAGAGCCAAGACACAGAGGCGTGAAGGCACTGCAACAGTGAGGCTCCAGGAGGTTCTCAAACTCAGCCCCGGAAGGAGGTGCGCTGCTACTTGAGGGAAGTACACGTACAGCGTAGAACATTTTCAGATGAAAGCATTCCCCTACTGTACACGTGTCTCTACTGAAATGCCACTGGCCCGTGGTATAATACAGGTTAAAATGGCATCTGATTTAGAACAAAATTACACCACGCTCAGACATTTTGAGTACAATGTATCTGCATCTCACGGTTGGGCGGGGAGGGCGGTGGGAGGCGGTGGGGGGAGCTCCACAAAGTCCCAACTCCCACTCCCCGGTGAAGGGCCAGGGTGAGGGGTGCCAGATGAGGCCCAGAGGGCACGCAGGAGAGCACCACACCCAGCAGCCTAGGAGGCAGCCCCAGAGAGAAAGGGCACCTCGCACACTCCTCTCTCTGCCTCTGCTCAGTGACGACCAGGAAAGGCAGTCTATGCAACTCACCAAAGAAGGGAGACAATGGCAGGGGTCCTGGGAACCGCAGATCACACCACCAATGCCACCCACTTAGACCCACATGGAACACTGAGCCTGGGTTCGAGGGACAGCAGAGGAGCCCCAGAGGAGGCTAGAGGGGTCAGTCCCCAGGGGATAGCAGGGTCTTTGGAGGAACTCGCCCCTTGCCCAGGGCCTCTGTGTCAGGCTGTCTGAGGGCACATGCAGGCAGGCAAGGGCTCAAGTCCAAGAAGCATATCTGAATATGCTGCCAGGTGAGGCAGGAATTGGGAATGGGTTCAGGCAGAGGAATGGGGGGCTGAGGACTGCGAGGGCATTAGAGTCAGGAGCAGGCTCAGCACCAACAAGCAGTTGGGCACACACAGAGACAGGGTGTTTACCAACAGCCTAGCATACTGTAGGTGCTCAGTAAATGATGGTGCACCCCCCCTTCCTCCCGCTGCTGAAGAGGCTCCTCCTTCCTGCCACTTGTCAGTGCTTGAGGGACTGTCTCAAGACCAAGGATGGACAAGCCCTGATCTCCCCTAAGATAAGGAGTCCTCTGTAACCAAAAGGAAGGAGCCAGCTGGGGCCCCGGGACGCTCTGCCAGAACCCATTTCAAAGTCCCTTCTACATGTTCATCTCAGGTAGGCTGCCAGATAAAATGCAGGTAAAATATTGTATGGGACATGTTAATACTCAAAAATCATTCATTATCTGAAATTCATATTTAACTAACTAGGCATCCTACTTGGTTTTGTTTGTTTCATTCTTGTTTTGTTTGTTTGCTACAGCTGGTTAATCAAATCTCAGAACAATCTTACCAACAAACAACAAAGATATCATTATGCCTACACTGCAAAGAGGAAAGCAAGGTCCAGGACATTTGTGCTCACCTTCTAGCGGGGCAGGGGCGGCTCTCAGGTTCTCAGGTTCCCAAGCTGTCCTTTCCCCCCAACACCAATAGTTCCCAGTCTGCCCATGCAGCATCTGGGAAATGTATGAAAAATAAAATGAAGGCTGAAGAGGAAGGTGCTCCAAGATACACCCCAAACTGATGGTGCCAGTCTCTGGGGGATAGTCAACGGCAGGGGAAACCAAAGACTGGGTGCTTTTGTTTCATACTTATTGCTTGATACTTGACTTCATACTTATTTCATCCTTATTGCTTGAGTATGCACTGCTTTTGTGATTCTAAAACTAAGAAAATAAATGAGCAAATGTTCCGTATTGGCAGGAGATGGGGTGGATACACTGGGGGGGAGTAGAATCCAGCACAAGGAAATGAGCTAAGCTAAGTGTTTAAAACTCTACTCTAGAGTTTTCTCACACACTTGGGAACCCATCTCGAGGAAATAATCAGACATGCAGACAAAGATTCCCTTATGCGCAGCCGGTACAAACCACGCTTTCAAAAAATATTAAATGTCATGGGAAAATACTCACGATGCTCAGAGGAAAATGACACCAAACTGAGTGTGCGGCACTAATCCGAATATAAATGTATGCACAATAAAAAAGCCTGGAAGGAAAGTCGCAAAAATGTTCAATGCGAGTATCTAAGGGAGGGAACCATGATGGTTGACATTTTCTTAATTTTCTAGAGGAACATACATACTGAAGATATTTTGAAAGAAAAATAAAGATGCTTGAGTCCCACATCAGATGGACTAAGCCAGAATCTCCGAAGGCTATGAATCCTAGAGATCTGTACAGCACTTTTGAAGTGTTTGGAACTCTTCTGTGTCTACACCATGCCAGTGCTTTATAACTAACTGCTAAGAATCCAAGGCCGAAAGAGGTCTTGCTCCCGCCTGTGCAAGACTCCGTCAACTTGATTCGCTTGGCCCCTGCAGGTGGTTCTAAGGGAGGGAGTGGCAGGGCAGAGGGCAGCCTGTGGGCAAAGCAGGGCACTTCACAGGCAAATGCTCCCTGGCATGTGACTTCCTCTGACTTGGAAACAAAGAGATCTCCATGGCTCTATGAAAATCGCTTTGCAAATGAAACGGAAAACAGGGCCTTGGAGATAGTCAACCCCAAAGCACACCCCTAGAGTCACTCACCTGGAAATACAGTTATAGCCAAACACACAGCACCACCAGGTGTAATTCGATCAGAGTGTCGCATCTGTGAGTTGACAAAGTAACAAAAACATTTCACACATCGCTCTGCCATGGGGCTGCCATTTTTAAATTTACAGTCCAGGAGGCCCTTGTGCTTCCCAAGAAAGATATTTGGGCGCAATACAACCGAGTTACTCATGAGGCCCTCTTTAATCACCGCAGTTAGGGCCCAAGGGGGGCCTTGACAGGCGGAGACAGAACAGGCAAATCTGAATGGCCCCGGGGCAAGCTGACCCTGGAGGTCTCCTCCAACCCCTACTCGGAATCTCTTCCCACTCCCTCACCTCCAACTGCCCAGATCCCTACCATAGGTTCCCCCAAGGCTGGGTCCCACTGAAGGTCTGTTTAGCAGAAACTCTCTCTTAATCAGTCCTTTCACCCACAGTGCTAGCCCCTCAGTGGAAAGGGCTTGAGTACATAAGCAGAAAAAATCAGATTAATTCATACTAAGGTGTGATTGACTGATGAACTGACCCCTGAGAGCCACAGGAAATTGGCTAGCCATGGAGAACATCTTGGCCCCAACCCACACTGGGCTTTGAGACTCCCACGTCCTCCTGAGAGGCTGGAAGACAGCAAGGTTCCTCTGGACAACTTCAGCCCTCGAGAAGGGAGGCTTCTTCCCGGGTCTCCTTGGTGAGCATCCGCAGGCCCAAAGCGCTGAGGAGAAACTCTTGGGGCAATTACATCAGCACAGGACGCCTTTGTTTTGAGCTAAGGCTGGTTTTCCCACAAGCGACTGAAATAAATTAGAGCGTTTTCAACGAGGGCGGTTGAAAGCGGTACTCTTGGAAAAATCTCAGCAGCTGCTCTTTATTGGATTATAACTAGGAGCAAAACACCCCAAACCACACAATCGCCTGCAAAGAAGGGGGGGAAATCAAATCAAATACAACATTGTTGTAGGCTCTGGAAAATGTTTCCCCAGGAAACCCAGCCTGGGAACCTAGTCAATGTTCTCTTGCTCGGCTGCGAGGGGAGACAGACACTGCTTCTCGGGGGTCAGATACAGTTTGTCTACTTACAGGCAGCCAGAGACACCGACAGACAGCCACACACAGGCAGGCTGGAGACAGGGGACAGACATCCCAGTGCAGGCTGCTGCCAGAGGGATGCACTGAAGCCCAAGGAGAATGTCCCGTCTGCTGGGGTGGCTCAGCCCAGAATGAGACACACCAGGCTCTCTGCTGAGAGGTCTTTAAAAATAGATAAAACCACCCTGCTTGTGGGGTGAGTGCAGCCCATCATGCCCTGGAGCCCAGAGGTGGGATATGTTCCTTAGGAAATCCATAGAGGCATTGATCCATTATTGGTATCTAATTCGGCAGACGGCCTGAGATGGAAAGAAGGAGCTAGAAGACCAGAAACCTGGCTGGGTCTAACACTGCTAATACTTAGCTCTGTGAGCTCAGACAAGCCATTTCTCTTTAGCTGAGCCTTCATTCCCTCATCCATAAAATGGCTATAATCTGAGAACACACAGACACATGGAGGGGAATGGCACACAATGGAGCCAATCAGAGGGTGGAGGCTGGGAGGAGGGAGAGGATCAGGAAAAATAACTAATGGATACCAGGCTTAATACCTGGGTGATGAAATAATCTGTACCACAGATCCCCATGACACAAGTTTACCTGTGTAAGAAACCTTCAGATGTACCCCCCTGAACTTAAAATAAACATTAGAAAAAAGAAAAGAAGAAATGGGTATCATCACATCGGTCTTCCCTCTTTCCATGGTGGAGGTGGGAGATTGATCAGAAGCCTCAAACGAGAAGCAAAAGGAGACCAAAGTCAGAACAGTGGTTGTTTGGTGGGGGTGGGAATGGCCTGGGAGAGGGGCAGAGGGAACCCTCTGGGCTGAACATAAAGGCACTAGATCTTGACTGGGGTTCCTCCGAGTTCCTCTGGCATATGTGTTGTCAAAATTGATCAAGCTATACATTTAAGATCAATGCATTCCACTGTATGTAAATTACACCCCGGTTTTTAAAAATGAGAAGTAAAACGAAAGCGCTGAACAAATGAAAGCTACTTCTGCCATAAAGGAGGCTTTATTGGCCTGCTGTGAACAGAACACTCTCAAGTAAATAAAGTCTCACTTTGCCCTCGGATAGGAGATTATTTTGAAGTTCAGGTTCAATAGTTTCAGAAAACACATATGTTTGTGTCTAGTTCGAACTGGTTTGGTAGGTATTTAAGAAAAAACATTAGTTCAATTCAGAGTTCAGTCAAAAAATAATAATACTTGGATTCGGTTTCGGGTTCAGTGAATCAGGGCAGTGTTTTCCAATTTGGGGGTCATGGTTCGGTTCAGTTCAAGTTCTTGTTAGAACAGCCCAGCATGGGGCTTGGCCCCTGGGACACGGCCAGCCTGGCCCACCAGCCATTGTCCACACACTCCCATCCCTTCCCAATCAGCAGCAGTCAAGGGGGCCCTTTCCAGCCTCTTTCCTGCACCTCCCAAAAGGAGAAACCAGAACTTAAGAGGAAAAGAAAATAGTTAAATTTTTTGGCAAATCAAACCTCGATCTGTACTCTTGCACACGTGGGTGAGGCAAGACTTGGCCCCTCAGATGCTGCCACCCACCAGGAGGAAGAGTAAATAATCAAGGCATTGGGGCAGTTTACGCCCTGGGCCCTGGGTGGGTGGGGGCTGCTATACCCTTTTGCAGGTGGAGGAACTAAGGGAGGGGGTGTGATTCATCCAGTGCCTCAGTCAGGGGTGGAGACTGTGCTCATACCCAGGTGTGCACAAGCAGTGGGCACGGTATGAGAAGTCCTCCCAGACCACCCCAAGCACAGTGGCAGCGGCTTACTCTTCCCAACCCCCCACTGCACCCTCTGTCCCCAGTTAGTCCCAGCAGACACATGTGTGTGGTCATGACTTCCCTTTTTAGCCTTGGCATTTCTGCTTAAGAGTAAGGCTCCAACTTCTGTTTCCAAGATTCCCAGCAGAAGCTGGCACAATGGGCAGAAGACAGAGCTCAGAACTATTGCTGGAGGCTTCTGGGAATATCATTGATGTGGTATGGAAATAAGCCTCTAGAGGAGCCTACGAAAAGGAAGGTTACCTCCCACCTGGCTCTCCCTTGCTGCCCTCTTCCCTCCAGCCTGGCACATAGATAGCTCCCTGAGCCTCAAATACAGAACAGCCTACAGAAGACCAGGCCTTTAACTCTGGCCCCTGCCCACCTCATCTCCTGCTGTCCCCACCTTGCACCCTACTCTCTAGTCAATGGGGAAGTTTTATGCCCCTGTGCATTTGCACGTTACATTTCTTCACGCAATGCACTTGTCCTCCTCCTTATCCTCCTGTATAGCTTCTCCTGGATGCTTCCTAGGAAGAGTTGACCACTCTGAGCACAGAAGGGACCAGA
The DNA here is from genome assembly GCF_000001405.40 of Homo sapiens. Classification (NCBI taxonomy): domain Eukaryota; kingdom Metazoa; phylum Chordata; class Mammalia; order Primates; family Hominidae; genus Homo; species Homo sapiens. Next base: position 44,477,804 of record NC_000006.12, on the reverse strand, counting down.
TGGGGAGGGCATCACCCAGGTCTCAGGTACCTCCTGCTTCCCGCCTGCAAAAGAGTTATCAGTCCTTGATACAAACAGCCTCTGCTGGCAGGACCATCATGTACAGTTGTGCAGTTTATGCACTGCACAAATGTGTCCAGCTAAGAGGGTTAGCGGGGACTGAACTCCACTTGCAAAGCTGTGCTGCTGAAGGCTGTGCCCATCCAGAGAGGGCTCTTTTTCCTAATTCTCCCTGTCAAGGGAGCAGCAGCCTTGCCCAGCAGACATGTGCAGATCCTAGGAGGAGGCATTTGGTGCCTTGACCAGCCGTCTTGATAAGCTTGTCACTCATCCTCGCTGCAGTGACTTGCAGAAAGGCCTGTCTGCTGCTGGGCTGGTTGCTTTCTTCCACAGGCCCTGGAGGGCTGGGGCTTCTCTCTGTAATAGTAGCCCTGAGCACAGCATCTAGCCTGCCAGCTGCCTGGCTGCTACAAGAGCTGATTTTACCCAATGAATTGAGGACCTGGCGAATTCTTTCATTTTGGCTTCCATGCTTAGGCTGAATGTCCATCCAGCATCTGTCAGAAGCTGACACCATTTCATGGCCCCCTGTGGAAGTGGCCGATGCTGTCCCTGGCCACCTGGCAAAGGGGGCCTGGGTGAACTTCCACCAGCATCTGCTTCTGCCTACATAGCCCCCACCCCGGCCAGCCAGACACCGCCAGGTCCTCGGCTCACCAGGCTTAGGGGTTTGGTTCTTGTCCTAAAAGATATTTTAGATAAGCGTCTGGGCTGTGGAGGAGGCACGTGCAGGTATCGGGACCTTCTTGGCGGTGGTATCTCCCTTCCAGGCCCTGTCAGCCTGGCTGTGCCCCCTCGGCCTGGCCCAGTGTGTGCTTTTCTGCTACCTGTGCTCTGACCATGGGGTCCTAAAAGTCCCCACACCCTTGTTTCTGATGCGCTGCTCCCCTCAGACCTCCATGCCCTCAAGGGACTCCTGGGCTGCTGCCCCAGTTCAGGCGACCACCACAGCACACAGCATAATTGTCCATGCCCGTGGCCCACAGCTGCCTACCATTTGGGCATCACGGATTCACGCCTGTGAATGCCACTTCTCATCTCTCAACCTCAGAGGCATCCAGGAGAAACAGCACAGGTCAGGTGGTCCTAAATTCAAATGTCCACTCTTCCCTCCCCATCCAGAGAGTTTGGGCAGCTTGTTTAGCCTTTTCCAACCTTAGTTTCTCTTTACAATGGGGAGACAACACGACCAACAATGTGCGTTAGGCAAAGTGATGTCTGAAAAGTGGCTGGTACCTGGCCCGAATGACCAACTCGTTGGGTTGCCCAGGATTTTCTGAGTTTAGCACCAAAGCTGTGCATCCAGGAACTCCTCAGTGATGAGCAAACTAGAACAGCTGGTCCGCCTACAGCCCCACACACGGGAGCCGCTTCCTCTTCACCCACCACTCAGAGGAGCAACTGACAACCTGGAGCAAGACCATCCGCGAAGCCTTCGGAGTGAGGAGAGGCGGCCAGGAAGGAGGATTCACCGTGCCAGACCCAGGCTGGGCCTCGCTTTGTAACACCTACCAACACCCCTTCAAGTTGCCCCATGCCCCTGCAGAAGTATGAAGTCCATAGGGCTGTGGGCCCCACAGCTCCCAGGGCAAAGCCCGGCAGGCAGTGGGTGCCCAGGAGCCCCAGCTGCTGGGTGCTCCCACACGCCCTGGCCAGGCCAGTGAGGGGGGCGCAGCCCAGCAGGCCTCCATGGGGTCCTCTGGAGGGAAGGAGGAGAAGGGCTTTTACTCCTTTCCTTGGGCAGAAGTGCAGGTAAACAGGCTCCTAACCCTGCTGTAAGGTAAAGCCTGTGAAGCAGGAACAAAGCGGTTTGTTCCAGCTCACCGTGTCGCCACAGCCCGTGGCCGGCCGTCTCTGGGGCAGCAGTGACACCTGCTGGCCGCCGGATGCACCTTGCTCCAGATTCCCTGCGGGAGCCTCCTTGCCTGCAACCCTAAGGAAGCTCGGGGGACCTGGTCAGCCGCACAGGAGAGGCCAGTTCGCCCAACCCTGCAGCCCTGGGGGGCGTCGGCTACAGACAGGCAGCTGGCTGGAGATGCTGCTGGAGCTGCGGGCTCTGGGTCCTTGGGGAGGGGAGGACAAGTGGCCTCTGCATCTGTCCTCTTTGGAGCCTGGGCCCCGCACAGCCTTCAAGAACTTGGAGGAAGAGGGTTCCTGGACAGAGCTGAGGGTGCAGGGAGCTAGACCAGCTTGCAGTGGCAAGCACCCTCTCCTGGATTTACCTATTTCCTCCCCTAAATGCTCCAAGAACACATCGTTTCCCCCATAACACTTCTTGATTCTAAGAACAGTCACTTTCTCAGAATCTTCATTTTCTCTTTGTTTCAATCCTAGTACTAATAGCTGGTTTTCTCTTCAGTGCTTCCTCCAGAAGCAAATGTCTCTGCAGCTCATGAGCAGGATGGGACATGCCTGAAAGGTGGTACCATAAAAGTCTTATGGGGACAAGGGGACCCTGTCGTCAGCCACCTCCCTGGTAGCCAGCTGATCACTGCCCACACTCCAGCCTCAGACGAGCAGCTATTTAAAAACGAGGCCTCAGCAGAATCTCAGGCTCTCACATGCCTCAAAGTCCAAAGGTCTATGCTCTTCCTAGTAGACATCTGGGGAAATCGAGGCTGAGAGAAGCAGAACGGCTTGTCCCAGATCTGACAGCTGGCTCAGCCTCACCCTCTGTGCCTCCCACTGCTCTGTGCCTGCTTCAGGCTTCCAGAAGAAATCATGTATTGTGTTTGGGGATGCCTTGATATCAAGGAGAAAAACTGAATACAACATTAAATGTTTATCCATAGGGGGACTGATTACATGAATAATCTATACCCACCCACTGGAATGCTGTAAAATAGCACACTGGCCTTAGAATGGCCACTCCTCTGTTTATTTGGTGACTGTGAGCAGATTACTCACCCTCTCTGAGCCTCTGTTTCCTAATCAATAACGGGGTGATGCAGTAACATCCTTCTAAGGGTTTATCTGAGGCCCCCAGGACTTCATGACTTTACAGGATATTTATATATAATAACTCCTTTTTACACACACACACACACACACACACACACACAGATTACAAAACAATATATGTGCTTATTCTCAGTCAAGATTCTGAAAAACATGGGGTGAGGTGACTTGAAAAGAGTTTACTTATAGGGTTTAAGGAAATCAACAAGGGAAGAAGGGCCAGTAACCATCCGCAGGGCTGAAGGGTAAAGGGAAGAGGTCATTATGGGAATCCAGAGAGGGAAAATGTGTGAAGGGGCCACCTGACAGGAGCTACGACTCCCAGCAGAGGGCCGCCACTAGTCCCCTGACCATGAGGGCTGCTGCGACTAGTCCCCTGACCATGAGGGCTGCCGCCAGCCCTCTGACCCCAGGATCTGCCACCAGCCCTCTGACCCCGGGGTCTGCCACCAGCCCTCTGACACCAGGATCTGCCACCAGCCTTCTGACCACGGGGTCTGCCACCAGCCCTCTGACCCCGGGGTCTGCCACCAGCCCTCTGACCCCGGGGTCTGCCACCAGCCCTCTGACCCCAGGATCTGCCACCAGCCTTCTGACCACGGGGTCTGCCACCAGCCCTCTGACAACGGGGTCTGCCACCATCCCTCTGACAACGGAGTTTGCCACCATCCCTCTGACCACAAGGTCTGACCTGGCACAGAGGGAGCCAGCGACAGGAATATCCTAGCCACACCTCCTGTCCCTTGCAGAGGCTGAGCCCTTTGATGCAGTGCACACCGGTCAGCTTCTGCGCAGAGAGTACGGTGGAGGAGGCAGCCAGGGTACAGGCCCAGACAGCTTGTATGCATATGAGAATGTCCAAAAGAGACACCCCAACATATCCAACTGTGTTCATCTTGGGTTGGGGGCCAACTGCGGTTGCCAGGAGTAGGGGAAATGACACTTGGATCTTTTACTTCCTATTTCTCTATATTTGCATTTATAACAACTAGCAGATATAAAACGTGTCATCGGCAGCAGTAATTAAAATGTTCCATTTGGGGAACAGCACCTAGATTTCAGTGAGGTCCTGGTGGAAAGAGCACCATTCAGGGGTCCGCAGTCTCAGCAGCTGTTCACGCCTCCTTCAAGAAGTTAGCCTGCCCCCTACTCCAACCCACTTGCGGCAATGGCTGCACAGAGCTCCAGGTCAGCTTCAAGTTGAAGGACCGTACCTCATGCTGGGCTGCTCTGTACCATTCTACTTAAATGAGGCATGTGTATCCACAGCTAGACAGCGGCCACCTCAATGTCCTTTTCACAGCCCTGGGCTGGGCACAGAAGAGGTGCCCAGGAATATGTGGCCGCGACAGACTGATCGAATGCACCAGCTCCGTGTCTTACCAGTGGGATGACCTGCGGGGTAAGCCATTTAACTTCAGCGTCCTCATCTCTCAGGTGCAGAGATGGATGGAGGCCTTGCTCACCTCCCAAGGCTGCCAGGAAGTGAAAACATTCTGAAAAGGCAAAAGCACATGCAAAACCGATGTGTCAGGAGCAACACACTTGGATTCATGCACCTTTGCAAATGCTTTTCTTTTCAGTGTTTAAAAAAAAAAAGTGTGTTTAAAAAGAGAGATCACTTCTCTTCATTTCCTGCCCTCTCCCCTTCACAGGGGCATGAGACATTTCATTCAGGGTCACAGATTCTGTTTCTGTCTGGGGGAGGCCGGCCTCGGGGGATTGGCCCCCTTTAGGAATTTGTACCGGGGGAAATATAATCCAGTGTTTTCCAGCCACCATTTAGCAAAAAGTTGTCATCGGAGTAGTTTCCTCCCAGCGATGCTGCCTTCACCTTACCCCCACCCCGCCCCCCAAAGGACCGACTTGGTGACTCTCTTCATAGTTACGAACAAGCAAATCTGCAAAAACTTAGGAGGCCTCGGCTGAACCAAAACGTTTTTCAAAGAAACACTTTCCAGCCTAAGAAAGGTAATATCCTGGAGGGCTGCCCGCCTTCCTGCAATTAACTAGAATACCACCCAACGGCGCTTTTGTTGGCTACCATTTCCCATGGAAATACCTCAAATGCTTTTCCTCCTGGTGGTTCAGCAACTAGAGACATGGAAACAGGCTGCAGCTCTAAAATGGGACCTTTGTCTTTTCCTGTTCAAGTCACAGAAGGGTAGTCTGGACCAGAGAGCCCTTCCTCTGCCACCCACGGCAGCCTAGGCACGGGCAAGGAGCAAGGGTCCTGGCTCCCGTGTGGGCTCTGGGCCCAGGCCCTGAAGCAGGATGGGAGGGGAGGGGGCGATGTCATGAGGAGGGGCCTAGGGACTGAGACTCTACCAAAAGTGTATTCAAGTCCAGCCCCACCAGAAAGCCTCCAGCTCTGTGAACTTGACTGCTTGACTGTACCTCCCTAAACCCCCAGGCCTCCACTTTCCTATCTGTTAACTAGGGAAGCAAAACCTTGCAGGGTTGTAGTGAAGATTAAATGAGCAACACTTGTGCAAGCTCCTGATACCCAGTAGGTGCGTGTTACAGCATAGTTTTCATTTTACTATTTGAGTTAGAGTGTCTGCTCCACTGTCTCCTTTTAAAATATAAATGCTGCAGGAGGAATAATCTTTGAAGGTTTCTAGAAGCCCATCAGGAAGAGGAAAGGAGGTGGTGGTGCCAGGTGGAGGAGGCCAAAGGAGAGATGTCAGGAAAAGCAAGCCACAGAGCAGCTGATCTATCCTATCAGGGGCAATGGCAGAGAGATCTTCCAAAGAAAGTGTTAAGGCTTCTGAACCCCCCTGGAAACATAATGCAAGGGCTGTCCCCTGACCAGGTGGTCTGTACCATGCCATCAGTGACAAGGACACTCGGAGTTTCACCACTAACAGGATCCAGAAAAGGAATTGGTATGCAAAGTATGTCCCTCCAGCTTCAAGCCTGCCCTGCGCGTCCTCCATGACCTCAAGCCACGCCGCTGCCCTCCTTCCCGGCCAACGCCAACACCGGTCTGCAACTGCACTGATACTAGGTTATCAGCACCAGGCCTCTCACTTCCCAGAGGCACGCTCTTGTCCACCTAGAGCAGCCTGACCAGCCCTGGGAAGGACCTCCGGCCCCGATGACCTGTCCAACTGAGTGTCTGCACCTGAAATTCTACCAGCAGCTGTTCATTTCTTTAAGCAGGAACTGTACAGTTTTGAAAATGTTCAAACTATGGAGGAGACTAGATAAGTAAAAGGAAAAAATGGGGTGGGGAAAAGGGAGTTTGCTATCATTTACAAGGAGCACGAAGATAGAGGCGTGAAGTAATTTTGTAATTTTATATCTCGTGCTATCTTTTGCTCACTGAATCATCTCATTTGACATTATCTCTGATCCTTTTTGGACTGAGGCAATGTATTCATTTGTTATTTAATATCAAGTTGAATATTTTACATTTAAAGATATAACTTAGCAAATAATAAATTTGCCAATTGAATTTCATTTTTACTTCGTTTTAAAATGGGGCTACAAGCTGCTAATCCTCTATAAATCTGGCATCTTGACTTTATAAATCTGGCATCTTGACTTTTGTTTCTGAAAAGCAGTTTTTATAAAATCATAATCAAGAAGTCTATGCTATCACAGAGCAAAACTTTGGATGTGTGCATGTCCTTTGATCATCTTCAGGGAAGGAACAATTCTGAGCCCCAAATCAAGAATAAAACAGCTGAAGACCAGGTGAATGAGGAAGAGGTCACAGCACACCTTTTTGTACAGGAAACTCACAAGTGGCAGCATTTACACCACGGAGAACAGCAGCAGCCACTGGGACATGACAACAGGCAGGGCAGGGCAGGGCACAGGGACTAGAATGAGGAATTTGGAAGGTAAAATTTGTGTAACTTGCAATTTTGCTAAAGAATGCTGCTGTTGCCAAGTGACATTTTAGTAGTTTTCTTTGTTTATGCTGATTTTTTAAAGATATCCTCTAGTCTTTCAAAAACGCATTGGATGATCCAAATTGTCTCTGAGAATTTTTTTAATTTATTACAAAGGAGTATAAAGAGTAACAATGCTCATACCCACGCCACTTTGAGTTAAGCGTTATTCATTTTCGGAGGCCAAGGCAGGTGGATCATTTGAGGTCAGGAGTTCGAGACCAGCTTGGCCAACATGGTGAGACACCCCGTCTCGACTAAAAAAATACAAAAATTAGCCAGGCGTGGTGGTGCATGCCTGTAATCCCAGCTACTCAGGAGGCTGAAGTAGGAGAATCTCTTGAACCCAGGAGATGGAGATTGCAGTGAGCCGAGATCATGCCACTGCACTCCAGCCTGGGCGACAGAGTGAGAGTTCATCTCAAAAAAAAAAAAAAAAAGAGTTCTTCAATTTCACTGGGAACATTACTACGAGGCATGAACTGCTATAATCATGCCTATTCAGCTTTTGTTACACATCCATGACAAGGGATCTGTGTTTGTGTAGTGCCCAGCTGTATTAGTTGGCAAAAAATCAAAGTTCTTACGTACAGGTTGGTGAATGGCCCTCGCCACCTGAGCCTTTCCCCGGGGCTCCTGCACCTGGCTACAATCCAGCAACTAAAGAGTTGACATCTGTCACGGAGCCTCCAGCACCTAGGTTACTGTCCCAGAGGGCCTGGCTGGGGAGCCCCTGCACCCACTAAACCTCTGAAGCTCCTGCGCGAGATTCTATCCCAACATGCCTCTTTGGCCCAGCAGCCTGGACACTCCTTGGCAGTGGTGCAGCCATCCCCTGACCCCCACACCCAAAGGCTGTGGCTGCCCCATAAACCGGCACTCTCCTGGCATCGCCCTCACGTGGCCACGTGTGGAACTGCGGCCTCTGAGCTCTGCCAGGTGGGAGAGCAAGTAGCCAGGCAGTGACTTGGCCGGCGCTGGTTAATGCTGCTGGTTCTGACAGCAGAGGCACCCGTGCGACAGAAGGAGGGATGCGGGCCCAAGTCTGTAGGGGCATTGAGGGCCACGTCCCCTCAGGGGTAGGTCCCTCTTTCATCAGGGGTATGTCCCTGTTGAATTTCATCTTTTTTTTTCTTTTTTCTTTTTCTTTTTCTTTTCTTTTTTTTTTTTTTTTTTTTTTTTTTTGAGACGGAGTCTTGCTCTGTCGCCCAGGCTGGAGTGCAGTGGCGCGATCTCGGCTCACAGCAAGCTCCGCCTCCCGGGTTCACGCCATTCTCCTGCCTCAGCCTCCTGAGCAGCTGGGACTACAGGCGCCCGCCACCACACCGGGCTGATGTTGTTTTTGTATTTTTAGGAGAGACAGGGTTTCACTATGTTAGCCAGGATGGTCTCGATCTCCTGAACTCGTGATCCGCCCGCCTAGGCCTTCCAAAGTGCTGGGATTACAGGCGTCAGCCACCGTGCCCAGCTGAATTTCACCTTTTTTAAATAAAACACGTATTAAAACATTGAAACACCCGCCCATCACTGGCATTAAGAATCTAAACTTAATAAAAATGAGAGCTGACATTTATGTAGTGATGCTCACTGCCAGGTACCATTTTAAGTGTTTCCTGCCTCACTAAGTACCATCCATATCATCACCATCATCACTGCCCCCCTTTACAAATGAGGAACCTGAAGACAGAGGTAATCAAAACTGACGCAGGAGAATCAGAATTCAAAACCAGGCAATCTGGCAACAAAGCCCACACATTGAGCATCTTCTCTCATCCACCTGAAAGATTAGACTTGATCTAATTAAATATGACGTTTCAAGAAAGGAATGTCAATGATTTCATCACTCATGGAGGTATGGAATATATGGAAACTTCTGACGTTTTTATAGGCCTCGAAAATGTTTTATTTAGCTGCCGTTAGTTTAGCAGAAGCTGAGAAGAAATCAACACCACTTACAATATCTGATGTTCCAAAAGATTTTCTGCTTATTGAGACTAAAAGTTACCTCATGCCTATAATTTCGTGGGGAAATTCTTGGAAGAGTTTGCTGCCATCTCTTGTATCAAAGCATGGCCCAGACCAGTGCATCACTTACCGAGGGTCCACCACATCAAACAGAAGCTCACACCAGCAATTCCTGAAAATTAACAACTTGGAAATTATAAGATGTATTTGATAAACCATTTTTGCCAGAATTTAGGCAATAAAAGAGAATATTTTTAAATATTGGATGTATTTATTAAATTATGTAATTTACATTATCACTCCAGCTAAATATTTGCATATCAACTTCTGTCCCTACCAATAATAAGAAAGTTTCACCTGTGAATTAGATTGTCACAAATGCTCTCTTGCTAAGTATGTCATTCTGCATCCTCTTTTTTCTCAGTGGTCGCTTTTGATTGTTGCGCAGCAATTCCTCTTGAGACCCTCCCACATTTTATTTATTCTTTCCCTACCTTTGGATGTTCCATCCATCAGTAGGGAAAGAATAAATAAAATGTGGGAGGGTCTCAAGAGGATTTGCTGTGGAGCAATCAAGGGGGACCACTGAGTGGGGAAAAGTTAGAAAGGTTTAATTGTTTCTAACCTTGTACACTTCTCCTTGTGCACAAGTTGAAGAATTTATCTTGTGTATAAATGCTGAATCAGAGTTGTTGAACCATAGAATACACCCATTTCACTAGATTCTACCAAAGTACTTTCTTTCACCCTCAGTGGATGAGATTGCCAATTTTCTTCTTTATCCTCATCAATCCTTCATATTATTAGACTTCAATTTTTTCAAACTGATGAGTGCAAATGACAGCTCAATTTTTTCTTGTTTGTTTGTTTGTTTGTTTTTGTTTTTGTTTTTGAGACAGAGTCTCACTGTGTTGCCCAGGCTGGAGCGCAGTGGCACGATCTCGGCTAACTGAAACCTCTGCTTCCCAGGTTCAAGCAATTCTCCTGCCTTAGCCTCCTGAGTAGCTGGGACTGCAGGTGCGTGCCACAACCACTAGCTAATTTTTGTATTTTTACTAGAGACAAAGTTTTGCTGTGTTGGCTAGGCTGGTGGTGAACTCCTGACCTTAAGTGATCAGCCTGCCTCAGCTTCCCAAATTGCTGGTATTACAGGCATGCGCCACCACACCTGGCCTAAATTTTTAAAAGTTCTTAAAGCACCTGGAATTTATTCTTGTGAATGGTGTGAGGTGGGGAGATAAGGTAAGGAGACACACAGAAGGGAATTTAGGAGCAAGATGACAGCCACTAAAAATAATATTGCAGAAAAAAATGAATTCCATAAAAACTTACCATGTAACATTTTTTAAAAGCCAATCACAAACTGCGTGTCCATTACTAGTGCATTTTTATTAAACATTTCTGTGTATTTTCAAAGGCTATACCCAGGTCATTTTTAAATGTCTCCCTCCTGTTAGTCCTCCCTCTCCCATTAGAGTCACTATATCTCCCCCACGCACCTCTTCTCCCTCTTCTCTTCTGAGAAAGGAGGAAGAACTCTTTCCCCAAAAATCATCCTTTGACCTTTGGTCAGTAATGGAATGTCCTGGTTTGCCTGCGATAGCCCAGTTTTCCCAGATTTCCCGGTTGTTTAATCTGATGTGTCCCATACTATGGTATTGGTACCACCACCATGTACCACCAGTGGTATTGTTACCACCATTATAGCATTGGTACCACCAATACCACAGTATGGGATACATCAGATTAAACAACTGGGAACTAATACCCCGACTCAGCATATGTGATACCCAGAATAAATCTTAGTTTAATACATCCCATTTTTACATGTTGAAAATTTTTCAGTTATCAAATAAAAATATTACAATTCACAGTTTGCACTGTTTCAGTGTTTAAATTCTGAATACAAATAAAAATTCCAAGTGGTCACATAGAATGACAATTAAAGTAGCTCAATTCCTTTCATCTTTATGATAATCATTGCGTTATCATTGTTTATTTCAAATCTATTGTTTAAATGCAGGAGTAGGCTGGGCATGGTGGCTCACACCTGTAATCCCAGCACTTTGGGAGGCCGAGGTGGGCGGATCACCTGAGGTCAGGAGTTCGAGACCAGCCTGGCCAACAAGGTGAAACTCCATCTCTACTAAAAATACAAAATTAATCAGACATGGTGGTGCACACCTGTAATCCCAGCTACTCAGGAGGCTGAAGCAGGAGAATCACTTGAACCCGGGAGGCAGATGTTGCAGTGAGCAGAGATCACACCACTGCACTCCAGCCTGGGCAAAAAGCGAAACTCTGTCTCAAAAAATAAATAAATAAAAATAAATCCAGGAGTTCTCTGCCAGGGGTTGGAGACATGAGCTGTTCACTAAGCCTGATGACTTTGAATAATTATGAATTTATTCACAAAAAAAATGTGTATAGTGTATGCCAGGGGTCAACTGTGTAACTGGGTGTTTGTCTAATTAACTTCCATGTAAAATATGTTTATTTAGTAAAAGGTAAGAAATTAGGCCAGGCGCAGTGGTTCACGCTTGTAATCCCAGCACTTTGGGAGGCTGAGGTGGGCAGATCACCTGAGGTCAGGAGTTCGAGACCAGCCTGGCCAACATGATGAAACCCCGTCTCTACTAAAACTACAAAAATTATCCAGGCATGGTGGCGGGTGCCTGTAATCCCAGCTACTTGGGAGGCTGAGGCAGGAGAATCGCTTGAACCTGGGAGGTGGAGGTTGCAGTGAGCTGAGATTGTGCCACTGCAGTCCAGCCTGGGCGACAAAGCTAGAGTCCCTCTCAAAAAAAAAAAAAAGTAAGAAATTAAAACAAGCCAATTTTAAGCTTACATGTATATTAACACAATAGTAACCACAGCAATTGTTTAAGAGTTAAACCAATTAAAGATTTTTTTTTAAGGAGGGGGTAGGTTATCACTGATATAGTTCAGAATTGCTGATTACTGCTGCATGGTGATAATGAAAAGCAGACCAATTCTTACCCATTTATATAGTCTTTAGTGAATGTATGTCCCGCTGGACTGCTTTCACCACCTGCACTGTTACCACTCTCAGAAGTGTCCCAGTTTAGATGATAAATTATTAAATATATGGTCAGTGGTTTATTTGAATCTTTGTTTTTGCTTATATGGGGGCAGGAGGGGAAAAAATTGCTGTTGGGCACAACTGAGAGAGGAAAGAAGCCTGGAGCTACACAGCAAACAATGAATTAATACTTTGAGGTCTTCTTGCTGGACTGGAATCTGCTTCCATGGCCCTGCTTCTCTTCCTTGGGGTCACATGAAAGAAAATTAAGCCTCTTGCATGTTACAGCCCTTCAAATTGGGGAAGGGCTTGCTACAGGTTGAACTGTGTCTTCTCCAAAAAAGATGTTAGAGTCCTAACCCCAATACCTGTGAATGTGACCTTAACTGGAATAGGGTCTTTGCAGATGAGCAAGCTAAAATGAGGTCATTAGGGTGGGCCCTAATCCAATACACCTGGTGTCCTTACAAAAGAGGGAAGCATGGACAGAGGCAAGCACACAGGAAGAATGCCATGTGAAGATGAAAACAGAGACTGGGGTGATGGAGCTACAGTACAATGAATGCCAAAGATTGCCAGCAAACTGTCAGAAGCCAGGAGAGAGGCAAGGAACAGGTTCTCCCCCACAGCCCCCAGAAGAGCCAACCCTGATGACACCTTGACCTTGGACTTCTAGCCTCCAAAACGGAGAGACAGTAAAGTCTGTTGTTTCAGCCCGCAGTGTGCAGCACTGTGTTACGGCAGCCCGAGGCACCTAACACGGGGCTCTTACATCACTTTCCCACGCCCCACCAGCTCTCCGCCCAACCACGACTCCCATCTCTTCGCCCTGATGATTCTGTTTCCCCCAAAGTTCATAACTGAACACAATTCCCCTTCTAGTCTTATACAGAGGCCATTGGTATCTAGGCCCCAAATCTGTCAGATTCTTCTATTCATCGTTATCTCATTTCATACTGTTACATTCAGCTCATCATTCTGTTTGGTCAAAATACTTTTTGCATCCTGCAATATTTTTCAAATCATGAGCTCTCCTGACCAGCTTCAAATCATCCCGGAATGTAATAAGTGTGCTTTTTAGGCTTTCCTGCAAGTGAATGCTTGGAATGTTAAGCAGTCCTGGGTCAAGGGCAGAGTCTGGGGCACACCGCCAGATACCGCCCTTGGGGATGACACTATTCCCTTAATCAGCACAACTTTTTGTGCTGACCTTGTACCTTGGTGCTTTTATTTCTTTAAATATTGTCCTATCTTGACCATAGTTACATCAAGTTTTATAAAACAAAGTTTTATAAACACAAAGGTAGTAATTAAGTCTTTCTCTTGACTTTTACCATTATTTAATGAAAAGATTTACTTTACATGAAAAGTAATATTGGCCGGAGTGTTCCCTCTTCCTGTTTCTCTCCGTTATTCACAGTTGGCCCAACCGCATCAGGCGCTCCTGAAGGCCTGGTTCCACCACCAGCAATGTTAAGTTCTGCATTGGGGAAAATAATTATGCTCTTTAGGGATATCTTTGCACATTCAGAAAGTCCAGAGATGGTCAATCCGGGCTGGCGTGGCACTCCCTGGTGTATGTGGACCTGGGCCCCTGCTGTCTTGTCCTCCCTCATGCCTGGCCACCCTTCCCAGTGTCTCCTTGTGGCAGGTACAGTGGCCACAGGGCTGCGAGCCTCTAGTGTCTGCCTCTAGCTGGCAGAAGAGAATAAGGAGGGTACAGCCTCTCCCATCTTAAGAACACGTCTCTTGCACTCATCATTCCTGTTCTGTTCCACTGGCCAGGACTTAGACACACCACCTTCTTAATATGGGCTTTGAAGACTGACTGTTAAAGACTGCAGAGAATGTCCACTGAGAGAGTGCTGGTGATTTTGCTAAAATATGAAACACATTTGGAGACTAGGCCATGTATAGGAAATGTGGGGCTTGTAACTTTGGATTCCTTTCCAAAGTGTGGAATTTATCTGTAAAGTAAGTGTGTTCATTGGAATTTAGTTCAGCTGTAACAGAAAACCCCGCAGTAACAGTGGTTTGCTTCTGTTTCCCGTGTATGAATGTTTTAAATGACAGTAATGCCTACCACCGACTGAAGGCCTGCTGCGTGCCAGGAATGGGCCTAGATACTTTCCATTTCACCTTCTCGAGACCCAGTAAAGGAGGGCCCCCCTTTACAGGTGAAGAGCTAAAGCTTGGAGAAGGGAAGTAACCTGTCCAAGGTCACACAGCTCCTTCATGGTAGAGCCTGCAGGAACTCAAAGCTCTTTCCACTCCACTGACCACACCAGAGGATGACAAGTGCCACCCTCACTGCACCCAGGTCAACTAGGTGGAAAGGGACCTCGCCCAGCTGACTGTTTGGTGACAGAAGCATGTTTTCCTGGACATGTGTGCTAAATGGTGAAAACTAAAATTGAAATGTGCATCCACACTCATCACCCCACACAGGCTCTTCCTGTTAATTTTTTTAAATACCACAGAGTGACTTATTTGGGTTACGCTTCTGGTTCACCAAGCACAACTGTGAACCAGATATGAGACATAAACCAATGCCAAGGACGTCTGAGACGAGACCTCATGGAATGATGAGTCTCCAGGCGCTCAAGTCCTCTCTTCCTCCCCAAGTACCAAGTTTTGGTCAAAACAACCAAACTCGTGGCCCTGAATCCGGTGTGAGGCTCACCCATGGTATCTTTCTCTATGAACTACGGCCCAGTATCATGAAGGGCATGGGCGGTATTAAAGCTTTCCAGGTGCGGGCACTTGGGGGCTCAGAGGCAAACAACCTGACTCACGACCCCTTTTACTCAAGCAGTAACAGCTGCACTTCACACAGGGCAGTCAAGGTCAGAGACGCCAAGTAATTTGTCTCAAGTCACACAGCCTAAAAATAACAGAGTCAGGACTCAAACCCAGGACTTCTGACTCTGAGAATAGAGCTTGTTCTTGTTCCCAAGAAGTTCCTCCTCTATGTCTCCCCCTCTTCCCATCCCCTGCTGTGTGGAGCAGCAAAAGTGGTAATTTCCAGAGTTGAAGCCCATCCATTGTGTGGGCGCTGGGGATGGAGACTGCAGAGGGGGCCTGATGTTTTATGGCCAGACATGCTGGGGGACAAGAGGGAGAGAGAGACAGAGATGGAGAGAGAGGCTGAGCGAGCGGTCCCCTTTCTGGGCAGATAAGCAGAAGGCGTGATCTAAAGAAGCTTATGACCTAGCTAAGAAGCGAAGACATGACACAGGAAGAAACCACGACACGACGTGAAAGCCATGGACTGCCGGTCAGCAGACAGTAGGGCTGCCCTTCCACGGGGGTTCTGGGCAGAGGCTGGGCTGAAGCCGGCCCGGCCAGATTTGGACAAGGGAGAGAATGGAGAGGACCCAGTGAGAGAATGGAGAGGAGACTAGCCTGGAGTAGGGGATGACCCGGGAAGCACTCTCACCCTGAGGGCGGAGGCAGCACAGTCCTCCATCGCGTGGGTGTTATCATGAGTTTAATTCACTGAAGGACATTTAGGTTGTTTCAGTCTTTTGTAATCACAATGCAATAATGATGGATTTCCCTTCCAGATCAATCCCTAAATGTGGAATTGCTCACTTAAAGAGCAAAAGCAAACAGTGTTTTCCAGGTTTTTGTTTGTTTTGTTTTTGTTTTTGTTTTTGTTTTTTTGTTTTGTTTTGTTTTGTTTTGAGGCAGGGTCTCACTCCAGCCCAGGCTGGAGTGGCAATCATAAGCTCACTGCAACCTTGAAATCCTGGGCTCAAGCCATCCTCCCAGCTCAGCCGCCTGAGTAGCTGAGACCACAGGTGTGTACCACCACACCCAGCAAATGTTTTAATTATTTGTAGAGACAGGGTCACCCTATGTTGCCCAGGGTGTTCTCAAACTCCTAGACTCAAGCGATCCTCCCACCTCAACCTCCCCAGTAGCTGGGACTATAGGCGCATACCACCACACTTGGCTACTTTTTGTAATTTTGGTAGAGATGGGGTTTCCTCACGTTGTGCAAATTGGTCTCAAACTGCTGAGCTCAAGTGATCTGCCTATCTTGGCCTCTCAAAGTGCTGGGATTACAGGTGTGAGCCACCGTGCTGGCCTTTCCCAGGTGTTCTAATTGCATTCCGTGTTGCCGCATTTGATGGGTTTCTTCTGCCCTGCTCAGCTCTGTCTCTGCTGTGCTAAGACAGCCCCGAGCTGCTGTCCTGCTTCTTGCCAGCTCAGTGAGGTGTTAATGTGTGAACTGAATATCTACTTTTATTTAAATTTATCTAATTTAAATACGTTTTTTGTTTGTTTGTTTGTTTGTTTGTTTTTGAGACAGAGTCTCACTCTGTCACCCAGGCTGGAGTGCAGTGGCGCCATCTCGGCTCACTGCAAGCTCCGTCTCCTGGGTTCACGCCATTCTCCTGTCTCAGCCTCCCTAGTAGCTGGGACTACAGGCGCCCGCCACCACGCCCGGCTAATTTTTTGTATTTTTAGTAGAGACGGGGTTTCACCGTGTTAGCCAGGATGGTCTCGATCTCCTGACCTCGTGATCCACCCGCCTCAGCCTCCCAAAGTGCTGGGATTACAGGCGTGAGCCACCGCGCCCGGCCTAAATTCCAGTTTTAATAGCTGCACATAGCTAGTGGCTACCATATTGGACTGCAAACTTCTGGAAGAACCAGAACCTTTCTGAACTTTGATTTTTCCTTGGTTTTTTCTGACCCTTTGTCAAAGCACAAACATGGCAACTGTGGGTACAGCGAGAGTCCTTGTTCTCCCCTCCCTCACCCCAGCTCCCCTGCCCTTTCTACATTCCCCCTTCCACCCAACACCTTTAGAGCTTTCTAGGACAAAATATTATTTCTAATAACAGAACTTTCTCATTCAGTTATAATCACAAATCCCTCTGGGAAGAAAGTCTTATAGTGCAACAAATGGCCTATCCAAAGATTTCAGAAAATTACTTTTTAAAAACTCTTTGGAGTGGACTACGCAGGGAAATTAAATAAGTATCACGTTGGTTTGAGTAAGTTATCACATATGCCCCATGAGTTTCAGGGCATGTTTTGAGAAGGCTTTTTTCACTGGTTGCAAATAACGGACAAATTGTTAATATCATGAGTGATCGAAGGAAGGGCCAGTTGCTGCCTTCAGAACAGGAAGACCTCTGCAGGGAGGAGAATATTAATCAAGCCATCTGGAGAGCAGAGGACAGCCAGGAGAAAAACAAGCTTCTCCTTCATCATGTATAGGCAGCTCCTGGGTGAGGCTCCAACAGTGTTTCCCAAACTTCCATGTGCATGCACACCACCTGCATTAAAAGGCAAATTCCCGTTCAGCAGAGCTGGATGATGCTGACACCATGGCCCATAGTGACGCTGCAGGCCTCGATGCCCTGAAGTTCACAGTGTCCACATCTTCCAGCCCTGACTCTCGAGTCTACCCTGCCTGCTGAAGGCTAGCTTCTCTTGAAATGAGCATCTTGAAGCCTGTCTCCTTCTAGGAATTCAGCTCCGCTTTATAAACTCACCTGCTGCAACTACCAATCTGCAGATCTCCAGGAAGTTTCCAGAACCCATCCAAATTTATAGGATAGGGCTGGGCATGGTGGCTTATACCTGTAATCCCAGTGCTTTGGGAGGCTGAGGCCAGGAGTTCAAGACCAACATAGGCAATATAGCAAGACCCCATGTCTACAAAAAAATTAAAAATTAGCCAGGTGTGGTGGTGCACGCCTGCAGTTCCAGCTACTTCCCAGGCTGAGGAAGGAGGATTGCTTGAGCCCAGGAAGGTCGAGGCTGCAGCAAGCTATGATCATGCCACTGCAGCCTCGGTGACAGAGGGAGATCCATTCTCTAAAACAAACAAACAAACAAACAAACAAACTTGTAGTTCAGAAGCCCTGAGAGATTAGCTTTGGGAGATTTATATATACAGTCATCTTCCTGGATGCCCATGTAGGTGAGAAACCTGGAGGTCATCCCTGATGCTGCCTGTTCCTAACTCCCCACAAGTTGTTGCCCTCGCCTTAGTGCCTCTTAGACCTGTCAGCGTCTTGTTCACCACCACTGCTGCCCCCATGGCTCAGGTCTGCATTGCTCTCTGCTCACCTGTAAGCTGGCCTCCAGCAGTCTTTGCCCATGCTGACTCCTCCTCCTTACGCCTCTGCTGGAAACTCTCCTTGTCCTCTAAGTACAGTTTTCCACCATTTTTTTTTCAGCCTTTCATTTTGGCGCTAGCTGGAATGGTTTGGTTCCAAGTAACAGTAACCAATACAAGAGGCCAGGTGCGGTGGCTTATGCCTGTAATCCCAGCACTTTGGGAGGCCAAGGCCAGTGGATCACCTGAGGTCAGGAGTTCGAGACCAGACTGACCAATATGGTGAAACCCCCGTCTCTACTAAAAATACAAAATTAGCCAGGTGTGGTGGCACATGCCTGTAATCCCAGCTATTTGGGAGGCTGAGGCAGGAGAATGGCTCAAACCCAGGAGGTGGACATTGCCATGAGCCTAGATCACACCGCTGCACTCCAACATGGGCAACAAGAGCAAAACTCCATCTCAAAAAAGAAGAAACCAACACAAGTTAGCTGATGTGTAGGGGCTCTCGCAGGAACCAAGGGAGGTCTGCAGCTAGTTTTCAAGAAGATCCTGAAAGCAAGACTGAAGCCACTAGAATTCTCCCTAGGTCTCATCTCTGCCCCTTTCTGGAGACAGCTTTCTTTGTTCCTCTGTCCCCATGAGGAAACGTGGCAGCTCTTCTGCTCCTGGCTTTACACATTCATGCCACCATTAAGGGAAACTGAACTCTCTTTCAGCTCCAGATTCCCAGTAGAGAGGATTTTATTTGCCCAGATTAGGTCAAGAGTGTCAAATCAACTATGAAGAAATGGAAGAATAAAGAATTTTTGGGCCCTATTTCATTGTATGAAATTTTCATATAATGAAAATTTAGGGAAATAACTGATTGGAAATGAAGACATCAGGAAGGCTCCATGGAAGAAGTAGAGCTTACAGTATCTTTTAGGCACACACAAGGAAGCAGGGGGCCCGGTATCCCCATCACTCACTTGGCTTCACTACCTCCTGCATGTCCATCCCCACTGCCCCATATGGATCCATTACCGGCCTACCCACTGGAATTCTTGGTTGCAAGCCACAGAAACCACTACTGACCAGTCTCAGCACAAAGGGAGTTGATAGCTCACACTCTCTCAGGCAGGCCCAGAGAACCGGGCATGGTGGCTGTGTTGCCCGGAACAATGTCCAAAAGACACCCTGCAGAATCAGTCCTGTGCCCACTGGGTAGACACCCTGAGGCTCGCACCACCACCACCTCTGCCGGACATTCCTCCAGTGGTGATGGCTGTCTCTGAAACTGCATGCATGGGTCCTTCTGAGCTGGAAGGTGTGGATTCCACACAGCCTGGGCTCCTGTGCATCCCTGGTTCCTGAGCCAAAGTCCAGCAGCACCTGACTGGGGAGCTTTCACTGCCAGGAAGACGAGGAGAGCAAGTTTTCAGCTTCTATGGTAGGAAGCAAGGAGGGGATTCCACAAACGTACCAAGAGACTGTACATACTATGAGGCCGAAACGAATGATGAGCGTCAAGTCCAGCCCTGAAATCCTGAACTTCTCCCTGCCCTATCCACCCTAGGGAACCCACAGTGGCTGTTCACATCGCCATCCCTTTACTCATGCCTCAACCTAAATGAGCTTCTCTCCTCTTCTGCTGGTAAAAGCCCATCTGCCCTTTAGAACAACAAACGCAACCCCACATGCACCACCTGCCCAGTCCAGGCTGCAGCTCCCGCCTGTGTTCCATGGCCCATGACTCTTAGCTCTGTTTTACAACCTGCTACATGATATTGTCACCATGTTGCCACACCTGACCTCCCCTCCCCACCTGCGGAGCAGACCTAGTTCCTCTGAACCAGGAATCGCATCTTGTCTGTCTTCTGAATGCAGCGTCGGCAATCATGTGTGCCCTCTGCAAGTTACTGAATTGTATTGGGAAGGCATGGGGAACACTCCTTCTCCATTCCTCTGCTTTCTAAGAGAGGGGTTTTCCCTAAACTCTCCTGGCCTCCTGCCTAGAGACGTAGGAGTAACCAGACTGGCGGGTGACAGCCAAAAGCCAAGAGTCCCAGGCCTCTTTCTCCTTTTCTTCTCGTCCTAGACCAGAATGAGGCATCAGTCTGGGTGAAGGAGTCCACTCTGCAAATTCACCCTGGCCCATAAGGGGCAGCTCTGAGGCCCAACGGTGGTGGGCGCTCTAGGAAGCCACTGCTAGCATGAATCTAAGCCCTATCTGCTTTTATCAGTAACCATGTTGATTTTTCATCTGTTTCTTTCTTCTTGTTTCCTCCTCTCTCTTACTTAATTTAGTCTTTGGTAGGAAGGAAATGGGTGGAATTTGCCCTTTCAAACTTGATCTCCATCTATAAGAGGAAGACAATCGAGTACTGACACTTCTGTTTTGTGAGGATCATATCAGACAAGGAACAGGCGGGTTTAACCTCATCCCTAGTATGTCAGATGATTACTCAACACAAGCCATTAGAATTAGAGATACCTACAATGTTTGTTCTATGTACAGATCAGTCTCCAAAAACAACCTCCCTCTTAACCTCCAGATCCATATTTTCCAACACCTGCTTGACATTTCTACTAATAGCAAACCTTTCATCTTTTCTCCAAAATCAGTTTCTCATGCCCTTCTGTCAGAGGTATCATCATTGTCCATCAGAGACATATCCAGGCACCAACACCTTCCACTCTGCCTCCCCAAAGCTCTTGAATACACCCCGCTTCCTTCTCCATTACCCCACTCTCATCATCTGCTCGCAGACTCCTGCAATAACTTCTCACGGTCTTCCTGCCTCCGTCTCTCTTTTCTCCAAACCCATTACGGGCCCTGCCTACAGGTTAGTCTTCCGAGCACTGCTGGAGGCATTCAAAACAATCCCAGTAATCAGCTCCAAAGACGTGGCACTTTAAAGTCACGTCCCGGTGACTCATTGCCTCCTCCACACCCCTGGAGCCCCCACTAGGGCTGGACGCTCAGGCTTCAGCAGTAAATACGGTGAGCCCCACCCTACACGCTCAGTCTGTTTTCGGGAGGCTTAAATCCCAGGTCGAATGAACCTCTGTTTTTCAAAGAGCATTGGTTTAGTTTAGGTTTTTCCCTGCACTTATTTGCTATGGTTTTGTCATCAAGCAAAAGCATTGCTTTTGTTTCATAATCTGCTAGGGTTTTTAAGACCCGGTATTGTTTTGGAATTCATCTAGTTCAAAATAAATTTTTTTTTAAAAAAGCAAGTTTGCTTAAAAATAGTGATGACAGTTGAGAATGAACATGTTCTGCTTCTCGGATTTGAAGGTCAAAAAATCTTAACCCAGTTCTTGGTCCCTCGGTTAAAAGCCATTCCTCTGTTTAACCACCAGATGGCACTGGAGCCGCGGTGGGCTGGGCCAGCTGGCTCCAGAGTTTAGGACCACACCCCAAGAGGGCCTGGACAGAGAGGAGATGGGTGGAATTTGGAAGAGATGTCCCACCACTTCCTTAACCAACCATACAGGCATGTCACTTTTATTTTATTTTATTTTATTTTATTTTATTTTATTTTATTTTATTTTATTTTATTTTATTTTATTTTATTTTATTTATTTTATTTTATTTTATTTAAGACAGGGTCTTGCACTGCCAGTGATCTCAGCTCACTGCAACCTCCGCCTCCCAGGTTCAAGTAATTCTCCTGCCTCAGCCTCCTGAGTAGCTGGGACTTCAGGCGTGTGCCACCACACCCATCTAATTTTTGTATTTTGAGTAGAGACAGGGTTTCCCCACGTTGGCCAGGCTGATCTGGAACTCCTCGCCTCAAGTGACCTGCCCACTTCAGCCTCCCACCACGCCCAGCCAGCATGTCACTTTAGAACCGATTTTTATTAAAGACAAGAACAAATATTAATAATTGATTACCATCGAAGCAATAGTGGGAAAAAACCCCAAATATGTGATTTAGAAAATCCCAGTCTGTGGCTCACACAAGTCTGCATGTCATGATTCTCTTTAGTTCCACCTTCTTGTTCCATCTCACCCCCAGAAAATGACACCTTCTACAGAAGAAGCTGGAAAAAAAAATCCCTCTAGTTTACTGCCTGTCCCATCTGCATGCTTACCACTAAGATCCTGCCATCCCTGGGAGCTCAGTTCTCCAAGGCTCAATTCCCAAGGTGTAATCCCTGAAGCATTTAGTAACTGTTCATCCACATGGGCTCCTCCTAACTCAGCAAGCAGAGATGAGGTGGCTCGCTCCCGCCAAGCCTCTCGGTTCCCTGCCACTTGAACACTAAAATAAAACGTGACCTGGTGCCTGTAATCCCATCACTTTGGAAGGCCCAGGCCGGTGGATCACTTGAGGTCAGAAGCTCAAGACCACCCTGGACAACATGAGGAAACCCCTTCTCTACAAAAAATAATGTGGGCAGCTGCCATCCTCCTTTTTCTTCCACCAGATTTTCAGAACCAATTAAGAGAAGCTTGAGGGAAGACACTGGAAATTTCTATGGACGTTTGAAACTTCTAGCCTAGGCAGGGTGTGGTGGCTCACACCTATAATCCCAGCACTTTGGGAGACTGAGGCGGGAGAATCCTGTGAGGCCAGGAGTTCAAGACCAACCAGGGCAACACAGAGAGATCCTGTCACTACAAAAAAACTAACTTCTAGATTTCTCAAGCAAGCAAAGCCTACATCTGGGCAGGTTTTCTTGATCTCTCCTTCCTCAGATGAAGAGTTTTAAAACCCAAACTATAGTTGACAGACCTGACCATTTTTGTGGGGAAGCAGGAAGCTCACCTTGGAGTAATCAAATAACCATCTCCCACATATCCTTTCTTTTATAAATTTTGTGTTTAACATAGACAACGTGTTATGAAATACATGAAATACATATAGATAGTAAAAATCACTACTATAGTGAAGCAAGTTTGACATAGCCATCATCTCACAATTACCCTTCTTGTGTGGCAAGAGCAGCAAAAAGCTACCCATTTAGCAAAAATCCTGAGTACAATTCAGTATTAACTATAGTGCTCATATTGTACATTAGATGGCTAACTTGTCCATCCTACAGAGCTGCTACTTTGCATCCTTTGAATTAGAGCTCCACATTTCCTACTCCCCCAATCCCTGATAACCACCATTTTCATCTCTATGTGTTAGACTTTTTGTTTTTAGATTTCATGTGAGATGGTGCCATATTTTTCTGTGTCTGCCTTATTTCACTTAGCATAATGTCCTCCAAGTTCATCCATGTTACAGCACATGGCAGGATCTCCTTTTTTAAGGCAGAATATTACATCGTGTGTGTGCGCGTGCGTGTTTCCACATGAATCTGTCGATGGGCAGTTAGTTGTGCTTCTGTGTTTCCTATTGTGGATAATGCTGCAATGAACATGAGAGACCAGATATCTTTATGAAGCAGTGATTGCATTTCCTGTGAGTGTATACCCAGAAGAGGGATTGCTGAGTCATATGGTAGGTTTACCTTTTACTTTTTTAGGAACCTCTGTACTGTTTTCCATAATGGCTGCACTAATCTACACTCCCACCAACAGCATACAAGGATTCACTTTCTCCACACCTTCTAGTTCCACCTCACCCCCAGGCTGGTCTCAAACTCCTGACCTCAAGTGATTTTCCCACTACAGGCTCCCAAAACACTTGGATTACCGGCATGGGCCACCACACCAGCCAGAATATGTTATTTTAAAAATCGTTAAGGGAGACAAAATATATCTAGAATTCATTAAGTGGAAGTGGATCATCATGAAGGTCTTCATCTGCATCATCTTCACATTGAGTGGGCCGAGGAGGAGGTGGAAGGGAAGGGACTGGTCTTGCTGTATTAGGGATGGCAGAGGAAAAAGAAAATCCTTGTATAATTAAACTGCAGTTCAAACCCATGTTGTTCAAGGGTCAACCATACTGTCATTTCAACATGTAAGCAATATAAAAAAATTGAGCTATATTACATTTACTTTCATATTGTCTTCAAAACCCAGTATTTTACACTTAATAGCATACCTCAAATTTTACAACAGCCACGTTTCAGGCAGTCAGCAACCACGTGTGGCTAGTGGCTCCCATACGGGACAGCACAGCTCTACATGGTACATTAACAAGTCTCTTATAACTGGTAATTTTAATACACATATATTACTAAGTTATTGTCTTTTTTCAAAGAAAAAAATCTTGAGACAGGACAAAGCTTTTGAAATATTTAAGCCTATCTTTAAAATGTTAGTCTATTAACCATTGAGATTACTAACCTCTCTTCAATGTTTTAGTGAATAGACATGTATGACAACGTCCCCATGAAGTTACAGCAGAGTTGAAAAATTTGTATCACCTAGTGATGTCATAGCTGTCATAAAGTGTAACACAATTACTTTACTTTTCAAATTTAGTGTAGCCTAAGTGTGCAGTGTTTGTAAGTCTACAGTAGTGTAATGTCCTAGCCTTCACATTCACTCACCACTCATTCACTGACTCACCCAGGGCAACTTCCAGTCCTGCAAGCTCCACTCATGCTAAGTGCCCTATACAGGTGCACCATTTAATCTTTTATGCCATATTTTTACTGTATATTTTCTTTATATATATATATATTTGTATACCTAACATAGGTATATTTATGTATGTATACCTATGTTAGGTATACAAATAGTTGACTGTTACACTTGCCTACGGTATTCAGTACAGTAACGTGCTGTACAGATTTGTGGCCTAGGTGTGTGGCAGGCTGCATCATCTGGGTTTGTGTTAAGTACACTCTAAGATGCTCCCACAACAACAGAGTCACCTACCAACACATTCCTCAAAAGGTATCCTCCCCATCAAGTGATGAGTAACTGTACTTTCTGATCTGATAGCAGAGCTGGCTAATGAGCCAGTAGTATACACAACCCGGATACACTGGACAATGGGATGATTCGCCTCCTGGGCAGGATGGAGTGAGACCATGAGAGATTTCATCACACTACTCAGAACTGTGTGTAATTTTAAAAGCACGAATTACTTCTTTCTTTCTGGAATTTTTGAGTTAATATTTTGGGGCCATGCTGACTACAGATTATAAATCTCAGAAAGTGAAACCTCAAGGGGGGACCTACTGTAATATTGCCTGAACTCCCCTCCTTGGCCTTATCTCTGGCAGCAAATGTGCAGAGGAGACCCAAAGAAATAATGTAGGACTGCAGGAAAGATGAGGAACCAAGGAAACACTTTCAACAAATAATCCAAGCCCAAGAGGCCAGGCAGAGGTGAAAAACTTGGACCCAAACCAAGAGATTGGCCACCAGGGACAACCAGATGAAATAAACAGCCTTAAATAATGATGAATAGGATGCATACCCTGGAGATCCCCCAGAGACATATATAAGCCGTCCCCTGACCACAGTATAAAGGAGCTGCTAAAGGAATTAAAATTGGCTCAAACCACTGCTTCATTCTTTACTCAGAAGTCCAGAAAACTACAGGCTTGAGTGTGATTTTGAAAAACAACGGTTATTGTGCCAGCTCCAAATCCACCCTGCTTTATGATACAGGAGTTGTAACCTAGAAACGTTTCCGTTTTGCCAGTGGATCCAACAGCACAGCCACTGAGGGACACAACAAGTGGAAGCGGCTTCACTTCTGGTTCTGGCGCTTTTCCTTCTTGCTCCTACTGTGTCACTGTCAGCATGTGGCTTCCTTGCCACCAGTGGCACCTCTGCCGGGGAGGCATGGGAGACCCAGTGGTGTGGGCGCTCTGGAGTTCTGCTAACGCCCCAGGAGGCAGGTTTCCTCCAAGTATCAAGAGCACCCTCAGCAAGTGACTTCCTAGTGAGGTTCCCTGGCACCCTGGCACCTCAGCAAACTTCTCCACCCACACTCTCTTCAGTGAGATGTGAATCTCAGCCTTTGAGGAGGCGGGAAAGGGCTCTTCCAAGTCTTTCTTCGGTTACTCTGTCTGCAGGTAGCAGCTGCTCCCTACATCTGCCATTCCTGTATTATTTAGAGATGTCTTTGTCCCTCTTAGTAGTTAACTCCCTACTACTGGTCAGTAATCTTCATATTGAGTCTTCCTTGTTCAAATTACTGGTTTGCTTTCTTTCTCCTGAACAGATCCTAAACCCTGAATGATACCATAATTATTTGTAAGATTTAAAAGACGATGTATATTTTCTAAATCACTAAGAAAATTAAAACCAAGAAATTACAGTCCATTTACAGACATCAGTGAGAAAGTGTAAGACATGATTACAGAAGACTAAAGTCATTAATTAGCATGAAAAACAAAACAGACCCTATTAAAAGCCAAAGACTCTCCAAATGGTTTGAAATACAAAATTCAACAAGATATGCTGTTTAAGAGACAACTAAAAATTATATATGAAAGTTGAAAATAAAAGGATAGACAATTTATCATGCAAATATAAGCAAAGAAAGAAGAGAAATTCTAATAAAGAAAGTAAAATTCCAGGCAAAAGGCATAAACAAAACAAAAAGGATAGCTTTAGGCCATGAAGTCTTCCTTATGAATTGTATGTAACAGACACAAGTATTCTATACTAAATAACACTATCAAAATATACAAAGCAAAAGCTCTAGAGAAACAAATGAAATTGAGAGAAACAACTATAATCAGAGACTTTAAGAAAACACTATTCTAGGGTATCTATAACAACAATAAGAACATTAAATTTGAATAAATTGGTTGAATGAATACACATTCACCTCTGTCCTATATAAACTAAATAAATCTTCATTTATAACATCCATAGAACACTTTTTAAAGATGCTAGGCCCCCAAACCTCAATAAACAGAAACTACATAAACCACATTTTTTTCCCACAAGGTAAAAATCCCACAACTAGCAAAAAAAAAAAAAAAAAAAATTTAAGCCAACCATACAGATATTTTGAAAAACTTAATTATTGAACCAGAAATTTAAAACACAATGATATACTACTTAGAAAACAAGACTACTACATATCAAAATGGCTGGGATGTGAACATATTTGAACTCAAAGGACAGTTCAAAAGTCTTCAACACATTCATTTGTATACAAGCAAAAAATAAGCATCAGTCTCAAAAAGTCAAAAAACTACAGAAAACAAAATAATAAGCCTAAATTGAGAAATTAACATATTTTAAAACAAAATCACAATAGATAAGCCAATAAAAACACTAGTTTTCTGAACAGAAAATGTATACCCTTAACAAGTCTAGTCAAGTAAAAAGTGGTAGAATTAAGAGAAGGTAAATTTCCTATAACTTAGAAATGGCAAAGTTAATAGAAAAGAAATTGCTATTAGAATTTTCTGCTAACAACAGATGTTTAAATTTGAACAAAATAAAAATATTTCTTAAAAAGTATACATTACCTAAATTTACTAAATAAACATAAAAGGAAGAATATATTTTAAAAACAATTTTTTTAATTTAAAGTTGCTTAAATTTAAAAATAGGTAACATAATAGTCACAAAAGAAACTGACAGTTATAAAGAAATTATTTCCAGAAAGCACTGTGAACTCAAAAGTTCTGTAAGTACAGACTTTCAACCTTTCATGAACAAATCATTCCCATGTTATAACTGCTTAATGCACAGAAAAAGATATACAGTTATCCTATTTACTTTAGAGAGCTAGCAAAATCCCAATATCAAAATACAATAACCAGGCTGGGCATGGTGGCTCACACCTGTAATTCTAGCACTTTGGGAGGCCGAGGTAGGTGGATCACCTGAGGTCAGGAATTCAAGACCAGCCTGGCCAACATAGCAAAACCCCATCTCTACTAAAAACACAAAAATTAGCCAGGTGCGGTGGCACATGCCTGTAGTCCCAGCTACTTGGAAGGCTGAGGCAGAGAATCACTCGAGCCCAGGAGGCAGAGGTTGCAGTGGGCCAAGATTGCACTACTGCACTCCAGCCTGGGTGAGAGAGCAAGACTCCATCTCAAAAAAAAAAAAAAAAAAGTACAATAGCCCAAAAGACCAATCTCACTAATGTAAAAATGTAAATTTCCTAAATAAAAGATTAGTAAATCAAATTCAAATGCATTTCTAGGGAGGATGCATGGTTGGCCAACATTAAGTCTGCAGTCACTGTAGTGTAGTTTTTCTTTGATGTCGTTTTTTATTAGACAGCATTATGTCTCTAATATTTCAAAAAGGACTCTCCCTTGTGGTGGTTTCTTTCAGCTTTTTATCACATTTTATTTCTATCCCAAAGTTACTGAGACTTTAACATGCTTAACACAAGTTTTAACAATACCTTAATGAATGCCTTAACAACCAATACCTTAGTGAACAATACCAATGTGAATGTTATTTTTATTATTATTTTTTAATAGAGACAGGGTCTCACTATGTTACCCAGGCTAATCTTGAACTCCTGAGCTCAAATGATCCTCCCACCTTGGCCTCCCAAAGTGCTAGGATTACAGGCATGACTCACCACCCCTGGCCTCAGTGTGAATGTTAAAATAGTCACCAAAATCGCTGTATGGTGCTGGTAAAGAATCCTGGGCTTTACAGGATACTGACAAAGGATAACAGTGTGTCTGTTCACCATTTCAAGTGGCACCACTACCTGGCAAATGCATATGCAGTTTACAATGTGCCAGTTTTGAAATTTTGTAATTCCTGCCGATTTTTTTAGGCTATAAGTATGTGAATTACTTCAAATTTTGAAAACAAAGTGAGCCTTTATTAATATTAGATCAACTTTTAAATCCATATAATTCAAGTCTACAAAAAGTGCAAATAAACTATAAATCCTTTAAAATTTCTTTTAAAAATTAATCTACCTGATTCCAGGAGTGCAAAGATGATTTAATGTGGGAAAATCTATTAATATACCTCATCAAAACATCAAATGAGAACAATTATATGAATGCTTTAATAGATGCCCAAATGGTATACTGTTTAAAGTTCCAGAGCCATTTCTAATTCAAACTCTTTAAAAACTAAAAGAGAGACACTGTCTTTCAGATAAAGACTATCTAACTCCCAACAGCAAACTTAAAACTATGGACATTCCCATTAAAATAAGAAAAAAAAATGTCTAACATCATTATTGTTAACATTGTCCTAAACATTTCAGATAACAAAACATGCAATAAAAGTGAAATAAAACTATCAGAAGAAACACTATCATTATTCACTGATGATACTGAAGTTTTTCCTAGAAAACCCAGAACTTACTGAAAAAAGTATTTGAATTAAGTGACTACACACCAGGAAAATATCAATTTATCGTCTGATAAGACTATTAAGTATATACCTATCATGTCTCTCCACATATCTCCACTACTATTACCTGGACTCTAGTTAGAATCACTATTATTTTTTTGTCTGGATCACTGCATCAGGCTCCTAATTGGACTGGCTTCCCTATCTCCAGCCTGGTGAGATTTTACACACTAAGGAGATAGTGATGTTTCTAAAACCAAATCTGATCATGTCATTCCTTTGCTTAGATCTTCTCATCGATTCTTATCATATTTAAAGTAAGATCCAAATTCCTTATTATAGCCTTATTTATGTGGCTCTATACAACGAGGTCTTATATACAGAAATGCCATTCTTGACACTCTAGCTGCATTGTCCTTTTTGTTCCTCAAACATACAAAAGAGGCTTTATGTTTGCTATTCACTCCACCTAGGATGTTCTTTCCTTGAATCTCACAAGGATAGCCCATTCTAAAATGTCAATCACATGTTATCTTAAATGTTACTTCTTTAAGAGGTCTCTTTGGCCGTGCAGCTTATAGTGGTACGGTGCGGCACAGTGCAGTGGTATAGTGGTGAGCATAGCTGCCTTCCAAGAGGTCTCTTTGATCGTCCAGTCTAAAATAGCCACTCATTCACTATCTCATAATCACCCTACTTTAATTTCCTCCACAGAATCTAAAACTCATGGTCTGATACTTTCCCTGGACATACTTAGTATCTCCTCCCCACTAATGTCACCTCCATGAGAGCAAGAACTCTGTCTTAATAACTGCTTATCTCCCAACACTTAAGTGTCTGACACATAAGAATCACCAAATAAACATTTGGATTTTAATTGTCTGTCATTCTCAAAAGACTATAAGCTCTACTAAACAAGAACTAGGCCTATTTTGTTTGTTGTTCTCTCTCTAAGACTCTGGCACAGGGTATACATTCAATATCGAATGAATGAATGAATCCCTTCCCTTCCTATAGTCCCTAGTATTCTAAGACTGGGCAAACGTTTTTGGTGATGTCAAAACATTGCTAGTCTATAATGAGCTTGTAGCCAACTGATACTGTAACTAAATCAATTTATATGAATTATATAAAATTAAATATCTCCACCTCTATCCATTCCCCAAATTCTACACTGATGTAACTGACTTCTTAGGCTAAACATAGAGCTTTAAGTTTGATGGCCTTCTTGAAATTAACTTTTAAAATGCCTTTGTCAAAAAATACTTATAAGAAAATAATGGGGCAAGGAAGTTAAATCTTTTAAGCCCTGACCCATAAATTATTTAAGTAGCTGGCAGACAAGAGACCTTCTTTAAAGTGATATTAACAAAAAAAAAATTTGAGGTACTAAAAAGTTAATCTAACTTGTCAGTGTATACAGAAATGACCACTCTTTGCTGAAACTAACAAAGCCACAAAGAACTGCCTCTTAAGTGTTTAAGATACTGCATCACCATTTTGATTACCCAAGAGTTACTCATTAAATATGACACAGAGTACATAGCTGCTGGTTTGCAGGCACTCTTAAGTATCTAATTACTTCAAACAAAAGGCTACATTCTCAATTTTTTATATTTTGTTTTTATTCAAGAGTTACTCACAGGCAGCACTTTAAAATTAGGCTTTTTAAATTAAAGGCCAAAACTAAAAAAGTTTGCAAATATGACATTACTAAAAGAATGATAGCCTTAATAATTTAAACTCTAAAATGTCCGTCCTGTGGAGTTAAGGTCTTTATACACAGAATGTGTAAGATCGATATCATTTAAAATAAACAACTGAAAAACCACAGATGGTGGGTAAATTTGTCAATGAAGATAAACATCAGTTTCAGCCTTCTAGAGTATGAAAACCGGCAATTAATTAATCCTGTGACAGAATATAAACTGTACTTCAGAATTTTGACTTTAAAGTCTCTTTCTCCAGCAGCAAATCAGCATATCTATGTTGAAGTTCCTTTTCTCTTTCTTGTTGTCGCTGAACGTCTTCTTTTAGACACTTAAAGAAAAAAAATTAAGTAATTATTTTAGATGTAACTATACTGAAAAAAATCTACAGTACTTTATTATCTTAAAAACCAGCTGAGTTAAATCATGATTCTTAAGAGTTAAATATTTCTCAAAGAGAAACAAACATATCAAATACTTTTGCTATAAAACCAGTATCACAGCCATTCTTTGATTTGGTCATATGAAATCCTGCTGCTACTTCAAATAAACAAACCACTACTGTCTTATCAATACCCACAAATGCACTTCAAGAAGCCCTGACTGCCCTTTAGCTGGACAGGAGCTATTATGCACATTTGGGAGATAAATTCAATCCAAACCTGGTCATAGGAATTTGATGGTTTGGAAGGACTAGCTATGTTCCCAGCAACATAAGGTATAAAACAAAAAGATACTGGTTTAGTTTCCCCTCACTGAGCTACATGAATGGGATGCAATTAAGTTTCAAGGGGACAAATCACAAGGGCTAAGTATTCCATTTCACAGTGTATCTACATATTGGAAACAGAAAATGAGTAAGGGAAGGCCTTTGTATCTACAACTTGCCTGGTCTATCCATCTACACAGAGGCAATTCTAGATTAGAAAGTCAAACACTTTAGGCTCTCATTTTTAAAAGCCTGACAGTACCAACTTCAGAGACAGTCTACATAGGAGAAGTAAAAGAGGACAGCCCTGATAATTCTTTGCAGCACTCTTTTTAAACAACAGTTCAATATATAACGTTACCTCTAGCCTCCGGGGAATAGCAGAATCTTCATGTTTCTTGAGTTCTTCAAAAGTGCGTAACTCCAAGTGAGCCTGTTCAATTTGGTCCCATAAGTCATTCAACTGTTTCATGAGCCCCATAGCACGAGACTGGTAACCCCCAAGCAAAATTTTCATCTTCTTTTCCATCTTTGCAGCCCTCTTGGCTTCTGTCGTCATGTGACCCCTGTTTATCTGGAGAGCAGGGGAAGATCACATCAGCATACATGAGAAAAGCAGGCTATTAAATAACAGGGCTAAAAAGGTACCATGCGTTCATGTATGTGTCTCAAAGCAAAAATACACTAGAACTCCTTATAGCTCAATTACTGTAACAAAATATCAAGCTTAAGAAGGATTTATCTTGCACCTAAAGGGTTTTATAGGTGAGTCCTAAATAATCTATAATCTATTTATAATAATTTGACCCACGATTGAACTTCAAAGAGGGCTTGAATGTCACAGTATGGGAAAAACTAATGTCTACTTTCTGAAAATGACTTCTGCTATCATTCAACGTATTTATTTTGGGACTAGCTGCAAGCCACCTTCATCATCTATATCCCAAAAATTTATTTCTGGGAGTCTGTTCACACATCAAGACCCCAACTTTTATAATTTCCATCCAAGTGCCTGCATCCTAAATCTCCTGGCTCTGGGAGCTGAGGGATCTAGTGCAAGTCTTCCTAGATCACTAAATCCCTAGAACAAGAGAGATACTTTTAATCAAGCATGCAAGTACTTTCAGGGACTGCACCCTTTGGGGGCAGTGCAGAGAAGCAGCTAAGAATGTGAAGCTCCACATTTCTCCCTGGAAGGGGCTCATGGCACAGTCTACCAGTGGCTACTCGACAGCCTGGCTTTTAACTTGCATGGGGGAGTTAATGGGACAGTGCAAAAGTAGCCTTCTGGCAGCCTAAGCAGCAGCTGGACACTTTCCAAGCCTTTCCCCCTGGCCTGCCCCAGCAGTAACTTTAGGCCTACCAATTCCTCCTAGAAGGAGTCTGTCCACACATCAAATGCCTCAATTTGCACAGCATCCACCCAAAGGACTATATCCTAAATCTCCTAGATGTGGTAATGGAAGAGACTAGGCATATGCATGTCTCTCTAGATCAAAAAAACAAGGAGGTGGTTTTAAACAGGTGTGCAAATACTTTCTAGGGCTACACTCCCTGGGAGCAGTGAAGAAAAGAGTCTGGAACATGCAGCTCTCATTTTCTCTCCAAAAAGGGTTTATAACTGCATACTCTTCCAGTCGCTACTTGACAGCCTGGCCTCTAACTTGCATCAGAGAGCTAATGGGGGAGACAAACAGTACCCCTCAGGCAGCCTGAGCAGGAACTTGGCATATCCTGAGCCTTTCCCCCAGCACATCCCACTGATAATTCCAGGCCTACTCATTCTTCCTAAAAGGAGTTTGTCCACAGACTGAGTGCCACACTTTTATAGCTCCACACAGACAAGGGACTGTACCCTTCACAACCTAAGCTCTGGAAGTGACAGGGCTTTGCATTCCTGAATCTCCCTAAACCACAGAAAACAGAGGTGGACATACTACAAGCCCACTTCCAGCAGATATCTCCCCAGGATCGTAGAGTGCAGCCACAACACAAGCATAGGCATTTGCCACAGAGATGGCTTAGTGTAGAAAGAGTGGAAGAATCAAGCACTTGACTTCAACATGATGACAGAAGGAACTAGGACACATACCCAACACCTCAACCTTCCCAGCTACATCTATGCATCTGGCTTCTGCCTTACTGATCACAGGGTACTAATGGAATATGGCACCAAGAATAGAGACAACAGTCTGAACAAATACAAAGATTTAAAAGGTATCTTAAAATCTCTAGCTGGATGGATTGGTGAGATCCTTCTGCTACACAAGGCTAAGAAGACTGAGAGAGGCAGTTGTCTCACGTAATGCACAGAAACCAACACAGAGAGAGTCAAGAACAATTAAGAAATAGGAAAATATATTCCAAAAAAAAAAAAGCAACAAAATAAATCAACAGAAACCAACTCAAGTGAACTGGAGATATATGATTTACCCAACAGGAAATTCCAAATAATGGTCACAAAGATGCTCACCGAGGTCAAGAGAGCAATGCAAGAACAAACTAAGAACTTCCACAAAGAGACAGAAAATATTAAAAAGTATCAATGAGAAAACATAGATCTGAAAAATACCAAAACTGAACTGAAAAATTCAATATAGGGGTTTGACAGCAGACTAGATCAAGCAGATGAAAGGATCAGTAAACTACAAGACAGGTCACTGGAAACCATCTAATCTCAGGAGCAAAAAGAAAAAATAATGAAAAAGAGTGACTTAAGAGACTTATGGGACACCATCATGGAGAACAACTTATGCATTATCAGGTGCCAGAAGGAGAAAAGAACAACTAACATATTCAAATAAATAATGGCAGAAAAATTCCCAAGGCTGGGGAAGGAAATGGAAAGCTAGATCCAGGAAGCCCAAAAGACACCAAATAAGATAAATTCAAAGAGACCCACCAAGACACATCACAATTAAAATGTCAAAAACTAATGGCAGAGTATTGAAAACTGCAAGAAAAAAGCATATCACCATGTATAAAGGAACCTCCATAAGACTATCAGATAGCTTCTCAGCAGAAACCTTTCAGGCCAGAAGGGAGTGGGATGATATATTTAAAAATAGAAAAAAAAGAAAAGAAAAGAAAAGGAAGGAAGGAAAAGAAAAGAAAAGAAGGAAGGAAGGAAAAGAAAAGAAAGAGAGACAGGGACAGGACAGGGCAGGAGAGGAGAGAGAAGAAAGAAAAAGAAAGAGAAGAAAGAGAGAGAAAAAAAAACTGCCAACCAAGAATACTATACCCAGCAACCCTGTATTTCAAAACCAAATGGATGATAAAGACTTTTTCAATCAATAGCTAACTTTATCACCACTAGACCTGCATTACAGGAAATGCTAAAAGGAGTTCTTCAAGCTGAAGGAAGAGAACACTAATTAATAACATGAAAATTTATTAAAGTATAAAACTTTTTTTGTATATTTTGGATATTAACCCCTTATCCAGGCCAGGGC
Source organism: Homo sapiens (assembly GCF_000001405.40). Classification (NCBI taxonomy): domain Eukaryota; kingdom Metazoa; phylum Chordata; class Mammalia; order Primates; family Hominidae; genus Homo; species Homo sapiens. Next base: position 44,442,776 of record NC_000006.12, on the reverse strand, counting down.
ATGGTATATACATTGTCATATCCAAACATTCTAATACTCTAATGGCAGTGAGTAAATCAATTATATCTCTAGTATAAAGGTTAAAAGGCAAAACTATTAACAACTGAAGTGCAACAATTTGTTAAGGGAATAAATATTATATAAAAATTTTAAGTATAACATCAGAAATACAAAATATGGGAGAAAGGGGTGTAAAAGTGTATAGTTTGTGTATGCAATTAAAATTAAGTTGTTATCAACTTAAAATACCGTTATATAAGCTGTTTTATGTAAGCCTCAAGTTAACCACAAAGCAAAAGTCTGTAACAGACAGACAAGAGATAAAAAGATAAAATCCAAAGCATACCACTACAGAAAGCCATTAAGACACACACACACACACACACACACACACACACACAACATACACACACACACAAGCAAGAGAGGAGGAATAGAACAAAGGATCTATAAACAGAAAACAATTGGCACTGGTTAAGTCCTCACCTATCAATAATTACTCTGTAAATGGATTACATTCCCCAATCAAAAGGCATAGAGTAGGCCAGGCATGGCGGCTCATGCCTGTAATCCCAGCACTTTGGGAGGCTGAGGTGGGTCTATCATGAGATCAAGAGATCAATACCATTCTGGCCAACACAGTGAAATCCCGTCTCTACTAAAAATATAAAAATTAGCCGGGCATGGTAGCGGGCGCCTGTAGTCCCAGCTACTCGGGAGGCTGAGGCAGCAGAATAGCTTGAACCCAGGAGGTAGAGGTTGCAGTGAGCACAGATCGCACCACTGCACTCCAGCCTGGCGACAGAAGGAGGCTCTGTCTCAAAAAAAAAAAAAAAAAAAAAAAGAACAAGACCTTACAAAGTGCTGGGATTACAGGTGTGAGCCACCACTCCCGGCCTGGATAAGGGGTTAATATCCAAAATATACAAACAAACAAAAAAATTCAAACTACTCAATAAAAAACAAGTAACCCTATTTTTAAAATGGGGAAAGGACCTGAATAGACATTTCTCAAAAGACGACATACAAGTGGTCAACAGGTACATGAAAAAAATGCTTAACATCTCTAATCATCAGAGAAATGCAAATCAAAACCACAATAAGGTATTACCTTACACCTGTTAGACTGGTTATTTAAAAAAATGAAAAACAGTATGTGTTGGCAAGGGATGTGGAGAAAAGAGAACCCCTGTTCACTGTTGGTGGTATTGTAAATTAGTACAGCCATTATGGAAAACAGTATGGAGGTTCCTCAAAAAACTGAAAACAGAATTATCATTCAATCCAGCCATTCCACTTCTGGCTATACATATCCAAAGGAATTGAAATCAGTATGTCAAAGAGATGTCTGCACTTCCACGTTCTTTACAGCATTATCCACAACAGCCAAGACACGGATTTTTAAAATATGGTATACACATAAAACGGAATACTATTCAGTCTTTAAAAAACAGGAAATCCTGTTATTTGCAACAACAGATGGACACAGAGGACATTCTGCTAACTATGATAAGCCAGGCACAGAAAGCCAAATATCATATGATGTTAACTTGTATATGGAATCTAGAAATGTTAATCTCATAGAAGTAGAGAGTACAATGGTGGCTACCAGAGGATACTGGGGTAAAGGGTAGATAGGGAAAGGGGAGATGTTGGTCAAAGGTACAAAGTTTCAGTTAGACGGAAGAATAGGTTCTGGTGATCTATTACATAGCATGGTAATCACAGAATCATGTTTATTTCAAAATAGCTAAAAGAAGGGATTTTTAGGCTGGGCATGGTGGCTCACACCTGTAATCCCAACACTTTGGGAGGCTGAGGTGGATGGATCACTTGAGGTTAGGAGTTCACGACCAGCCTTGCCAAGATGGTGAAACGCCATCTCTATTAAAAATACAAAAATTAGCTAGGCAAGGTGGCACACGCCTGTAGTCCCAGCTACTCCAGAGGCTGAGGTGGGAGAATCGCTTGAACCCAGGAGGCAGAGGTTGCAGTGAACCTAGATCACACCACTGCACTCCAGCCTGGACAACACAGCAAGACTCCATAGCAAAAAAAAAAAAAAAAAGGATTTTAAATATTCTCTCCACAAAGAAGTGGTATGTATTTGAGGGGATTAATATGTTAATTAGCTGATTTAATCACTTCACATATGTGTATGGAAAAAATCACATCTTACTCCATAAACATATGCAATTATTATTTGTCAATTAAAATAGAACTTTTAAAAATATGGCCAGGTGCAGTGGCTCACAACTGTAATCCCAGCACTTTGGAAGGCCACGGTGGGCAGATCACCTGAGGTCAGGAGTTCGAGACCAGCCTGGCCAACATGACAAAACCCCCATCTCTACTAAAAATACAAAATTTAGCCAGGCATGGTGGTGCATACCTGTAGTCCCAGCTACTCGGGAGGCTGAGACAGGAGAATCACTTACACCCAGGAGGCGGAGGTTGCAATGAGCCAAGATCAGGCGACTGCACTCCAGCCTGAGCAACAGAGCAAGATTCCATCTCAAAAAAAAAAAAAAAAAGTCTAAGTCAAGCCCATGGGAGGTGGAGGCAGGCGAGTAACACTGCATGTTATGTGCCTTACAAACATGAGATGGATCTAAAATTAATTTAAATGAAGAAGCTCCTTTAAAACCATTCATTTCTTCAGATTTTTATAAAAGTTAAGCTTTTATTCCTCTGCAATTTACTTGAACAATAAATTCATGAAAACTGTTAATTTCCTTTATAAATGAACCTCTGATAAATCAAACCAAGTTCCATGGCAATGATTATATGTCTCCTAAGGGAGTTAGGATATACTGGTTGAAGGCAGGCAGTACAGTACAGCGGGGTAAGAGTGAGTCACTCTTACAACCCAGCATTGCTGCCCAGCTGTTTTGAGCTGATGCAAGTTATTTAACCTATGTGTCTCCATTTCTCCATCAGTAAAATGGCAGTCATTGCTACAAGTTGTTATGAAGCTTAAATAAGATCATAGACATAAAAAGCCTCAGCTGTCCAGTGCCTGGCACAGAATAAGCAGTCAACAAATGTCAGGTCTGATTACCATTATTATTTTCCAGATACTAAGAGTTCAAACATTTTGCTCTTTTCCCTAACAACTAAGGGAGTAAAAGGATGAGGCTTTAAAAGCTTCATTAAAATTCCAACTTCAATATAAGTCTATGTGGACCCTTTCCTGGAAACACAGCAAGGAAAAACAGCTGGTCCTTCTTTTAAGTGAGGAGTTTGCCCCTTGTGGACCACAAGACCAAACAACACACACTGGACCTCTGTCCTACAGTGTAAAAATAGCGTTAGAACATGGACTCGCGGTGCTTCCCAACTCTATGGGAAGATTTTCTAACCCTGAAGTTCAAATGAGGTGAAGGAAGTATCTAAGTAATTCCACTCCCAGTATTTCCCAAGAGAAATGAAAACATGTCCACACGAAAACCTGTACACGAATGTTCATAGCAACATTATTCATAATAGGTAAAAGTAGAAGCAACCCAAATATCCATCAACTGATAAATGGATAAATAAAATGTGGTATTATCCACACAATGGAATGGTACTCAGCCATAAAAACAAATACTAATATATACTACTACATGGATGAACTTTGAAAACATTATGTTAAGTAAAAGAAGCCCATCACAAAAGACCACATATTACATGATTCCACTTATGTGAAATATCCAAAATAGGCAAATCTATTGATACAAAAAGTAGATTAATGGTTTCCTAGGGGTGAGCAGGTTGGGGGGAATGAGGAGTAACTGCTGATACAGAATCTCTTTCTGAGGTGATGTAAATGTTCCAATAATGGTTGCACAACTATGTCAATTTACTAAAAGCCACTGAACTATACACTTTAAATTGTCTTAACTTTATGGTATGTAATTTATATCTCAGTAAGGATATTATAAAAATAAGGTATACAAGGAGTAGAAACATTACCTCCACAGGAGAAAAAAAAATTCCTCATCTTCAATTCTTCTGGATACAAAATGCAAAAATACTTTTCCCCAGAAATCAAAAGCAGTACTTTCTAAGTTCTAGAAAGGCAGTAGTGGGATGGAGTTAGAGTTTAAAAAAAAAAAAAAAAAAAAAAGACAAAACTTCCACCACATAAATTTTACAACACCATCAAGGAAAGAAGACAATAATTTGTACTCACTCTCTTCCACTTCAAATATTTCTGGAGTATGTCTTTTTACGCCAGTGGTTTTCAACCACAGCTAAACTTCAGAATTGCCAGTGGAGTTTTTAAAATCTACCAGCACCAGTGCCCTAACTCCAGAGACTCTGATTTAAATGGTCTCAGATCTTTGTGTCCTTAAAAACTCCCAAATGATTCTAACAGGCAATTAGGATGTCAAACTCTGTTTCAGCCAGAGTCATTACACAAGCTAGGTATCAGTTGTTTTCTCAACTATATCTACCAAAAAGTCCTCATTTCCAATAAGATATGAACAACTAAATCCATCAAGTTACATTCAAGTTCCTTCTTCTATAATTTAACATGTTCAGCCAGGCAACAGTGGTTCACACCTGTAATCCTAGCACTTTGGGAGGCCAAGGCAGGTGGATCGCTTGAGCCCAGGAGTTCGAGACCAACCTGGACAATAGAGTGAAACACTGTCTCTCAAAAAATACAAAAATTAGCCAGACATAGTGGCACATGCCTGTGGTTCCAGCTACTTGGGAGACTGAGGCGGGAATCACCCAAGCCTGAGAGGTTGGAGGCAGCAGTGAGCCATGATCGCGCCACTGCACTCCAGCCTGGTCAACAGAGAAAGACCCTGTCTCCAAAAAAGTAAAACAATTCAGCATGTTCTAAGAATACCCATTATTACATACTCCAATCACATTTGGATTCAAACACACATTCCAAAACCTTAACAGCAAAGAATTTCAAATTAATACATATAATGCTTTTTAAAAATTAATCATACGAATTAACATTTTCATTGATAACTCAGCTATACACTATGCTCCATGGATAGTCCATTTCCAGTTTGGTTTTACAGCATAATACCTATACTCAGAAACTGCTTAATTAGTCATCAAGGTACGTTTAGTATTATCAGTACCCTGTATCTTGGAATTACCTCACCTCATCCAATGGAGTCATTTCTTATACTCAAACCATCAGAGATTTTAAAACTTCAAAGTTGTTAGCTTTCCTTTAATGCCAACAATTTTATTTCATTTAGCTCAAGCTTTGCAAGTCTTCTGGCTCAAATATTGCGCTAAGGTTCCAAGCAAATATGGACATAAATTGTACAAAAATTAACTTAAGCACAGAAAAAAATTAATTTAGCCAAATAACTATATAGTCATTAAACATATAAAGAAGAAATGGACTACAGCTTTTAATATTCAAGTTGAACTTAGTTATCTTACGCCTGTCATTTGATTATTAAAACACAAAGGAGGGTATCTGCATGCTTTGTAAAATGCTCAACCTATGACTGCTCAATATGCTTTAAGAGGAAAAATCCTAACCTACAGTTTCTGGTCTTTTTCAAGCCAATAAACCTCAAGCATGAAATGTACATGCATACAGGGACAGGACTAGCTTAAATCAGCCCAGCTCCTCCCAACACCCATCCACACACAGAAACAACACTGAGGTACAAGAGAGTATAAAACTTTATTTCCTAAAATTCAAAGAAAAAGGGAAAATCAGACTCAGATTTAACCAGTCAGATTTCTAAATTAATTTTTTAAAACAAGCACTAGCAACTGCCCTGATGGACACCTTACTTTAGAAGCCACCACACTGTGCTTTAAATATGTACTGACAAAAAATTTCTAATAGTCTTAAATAAAATGAAGTTCACTATCACTGATAGGAATTTAAAGTAGACCGACACTTGATACAATTAAAGCTGACTTGATCAAATATGAAAGGGTAAACTTCAATTCAAAGCAGGAAATTAAGAATATATCCACATACAAATCGGTAGGAAGGCCAAGCTGACAAATTTCACGCACCGTAATTCTATTTCATAATACGGTATCTAAAATTTGCTTCAAAATAATAGTGGAAGGGGGGATAACAGGGGAAACAAGAGTGGCTATGATTGATGACTGTCATAGCTGGGTGAGAATACATGAGGATTTATTATACCAGTATACTCTGGGGTACATTTGAAAATTCTTATAAGATTTTTTAAAAGTCAAATTCAATATTGTATCTACTCTAAAGGCTACTTTCTCAAGACCATACACCACAAATCATGAAACATCAATGTAGTGAAATATAATGAGACATTAAAATTTACAAATATGTCAACTATTTCAACACACCAAAATGTATACATGAAATGTTAGATTAAAATCCACGATGTAAAATCTATTTACGCTAACCAAAATCTGAGTTTTAAGCTTCACTCAGTACAACAATCTCTCTCCTAAAATCAGCCCATGTCTAAAACTTCAGACATTCCTCAAAATTTACAGAATATAAAAACTTAGCCACCCGATTGTTTAAAGTGAGGTTAGTTCCTAATACCTCATAGTATCAAACCAAGTATAATCCAATTTAGGTAACTCTAAGGGTGATATAGACTTGAAGACACATGGGAGGAGAATTCCCATTTACTAACACCTGCTATTTGCTAATCATACAGTATCTCATTTAATCTTATATTATCTCAAACTCATGCTTCCATCAAATAAAAACAATTACTCGGCTGGGCACGGTGGCTCACACCTGTAATCCCAGCACTTTGGGAGGCCAAGGTGGGTGGATCACTTGAGGTCAGGAGTTCAAGACCAGCCTGACCCATGGTGAAACCCGTCTCTACTAAAATACAAAAATTAGCCGAGCGTGGTGGCAGGCACCTGTAATCTCAGCTACTTGGGAGGCTGAGGCAAGAGAATTGCTTGAACCCTGGAGGCAGAGGTTGCAGCGAGCCAAGATCGTGCCATTGCACTCAGCCTGGGCAACAGGAACAAAATTCCATCTCAAAAAAAAAAAACAAAAACTATTACTCACCCAATTTTACAGATAAGGAAATGTGAGACCCAGAGAGGTTAAGTAGGGCACAACTGCTGGCATCATCACTGAGTGGCTTTGTGGCTTGCCCTAGGCCACAGCCACCAGGGGACGATGCCATGCAGTTGTGCCCTATTTGAAAGTCCAATACACTGGTCACACCACTGCTAATAAACTGACTGTCCCCCTCCTTGGCTCAGCCCCCTGAAATGCAAACATGCCTGAAAAAATTTAAGCTGTGGAAATGAATGGCTTAAATTTCACCAGACAGCTCCCTGAAAAATAAATTATTCTAGACACATGTAAACAAGAAATAAGACCTTAATTAGCAATTCTGCCCATCATTCTTACCCTGATTTAGACTCTCACCTACATGTACCCACTTATAAGAATTTTGACACCTGAGAAAAGCTTTTACTTTCCTCAGTTTGTATTTTAAAATTCTAAATTCTTTTATTAACAAGCTATAAAACTATAAGAAAACAAATATCTCTCAAAAAAATTATACAGAAAAAAAGGTTCCACTTACCACCTTTTTAGAAGTAGGGTGGAATATAACTAGTGTTTAATCATATTTACAACTATTAAATGAAAAATGTAGAATATGATCCCAGTTTAGTTTTAAACACCTTCATCCAAACATTTAAAAAAAAAAAAAAGATATATGGGAGTATGTGGGGGCAGGGGGGGCGGGGTGCATATATACACCACAATGTTTAAGGTGATTATGTCTGGATAGTAGGTTCCTTTTCTTATGTTTTCTACTTCTTTTAAAACTTCTACAAAGCACAGGTATTATTTATAGAAAGACGCCTAGAAATGTTATTTTTTTAAATGCATAGAAGAGAAACTGTCTAAAAAAGACTGGCCAGAGACCAATGGAAAACTGATGGTCCCCAGGAGATGAATCAGTGGAACCATAAGTGTTTCCTCGGGTCATTACAAAAGGGAGCTGTATGGGACTTATGAAAGTGTAACTGTTACTTTCAAGCTAAGTTTGTTAAGGTTACTAAGCTTAAGTAATTCCAAAATAAACACATTATCCTTGGGTCTCCAATACTGTCTTCAGTAAAAGTCCGTTACAGTGAGGTTCAGAAACATTAAGAGCACCCCTCACTGAAACTCTTGCTTGGGGGCCCAGAATATAACCTTATACCACTGGAAAAACAGGTTTAAGGATACCCAAAATAAACAGGCAGTCAATGGGAGCTCCACTTCCCAGTCCATCAATCAGCAATATGATCCCATATAATAGTCAAGATGTGGTTCAATCACCAAAACATTTGCAAACAACAGGAGTCTATGAGTGATTCTCCTTTAATCTCTATACCAATTACCAGCATTTTTATCAGTGAACCTTCTCTACTCTGATGAGACGCAGGTCCAAGAAAGTAATTATTGTTTGCATCTATGAGTTAGCAACCATCAGATTGCATCCCTGAAAAGCATGCTAACCAGGAAGGCAAAACCTTACTAAAAACCTTTATAAGGACAGTAATACATGAACAAAGCAATACAAGAGCACTGTACATCTGCATACATTAGGAAGTGAAATACGTAAACTGCATAAAACAAATTCAATTCATGTTGAGGCATAACAGAAGCAACCTGGTTGTATCAGGATGTCTGTTCCAGCTCATAAAGTTCTTACCAGAGACAACTACGAAATCTGTCAGTGCCTATAAGGGTCATAGCAAAGAACAGAATTTGGGAAAGAGAGAGTATTCCAAAGTACTGTGAATTCCTCTCCTGTACCACAAGTCACTTCCCCCACCTCTACACAAGGCAACATAAGCATAAACCTGCTGATATCTGACAACATATAGCACTCTACCCAGAACTGTCTACTAACTAAATCCTTGCCCTAAGTTTTCCCTCTTTAAAGTATTAAGGAAATTTTTTCCTGTGTAAAAATATCTGACTTTATAATGAAAATCACTGAGAAAATGAGATCTACTGTGCAGCCAATTTTGCAGAAATATAACCTTCAGACAAGTCAGGGGTCCTCATAAGAGCTACAAGTACACTGAGAAGGATTTTAAGTGTGTTATCTGTGTTCTTTAAGTTACTTTACTTCTAAGAAGTCTATGTTATATAATATTTCTTGACTACAGTTGACTGTGCCAGTAAATTACAGGGAGAAGTAGTATTACTTCTGGACCTATTTTCTATCTCTAAGGAAAGCCTTTCCATTTTTACAGCTAACGTGACAAAATCCACTTTTCAGCCAAACTTCCTCAACACAGCAGTTTAGATACTATTTCAAATACTATTAAATTTAACGGCATGCCTAAATTCAGACTTCTCATTTCACTTTTGCACCCACTGGAAATTATTTCACTCAAAATAATTATGTCTTCAGATGATTTCCTATTTCCACTTAAAGTAGAAACAAATTAGAACACTTAAAATTCTATTTGCACTTCCCAAATACAGTAATGACTCATTTATCTGGCATCATCAGAAAACGAGGTTCTCCACACATTAAGCATTTTCCAGGTAACTGAAGCCCACAAACACAGAGAACTTGTCTGCCTTGTTCCTTGCTGTTATCCCCAGGACCTAGAACAGTATCCAGTACGTGGTAGATAGGCAGTAATAATTACTGAATGTGTGAATAAATAAAAGTACTAAAGCTCTTTTATTTTTAACCATTTGTGAAAATGTTTCCTACACTGAATTATAGCCATCCCGCCCTTTTAAAAAAACATGACACTGAAAAGAAATAAAGTTTTTCTTATTAATTTGGGATACCACTATAAATAGCAATCACTTTACTCCCCTGCAATGTATCTTAGTGTCTTTAAAGCTATTAAAATACACTGGGCTTTTTGCCACCATGTAAAAATGGACACAGCATGGTATGCTCTCATAACTTTTCCTTTCCTTATATTAACTGTCATTGCTGTGTTTGCTCTTGCTGTCTTATTTTACACACAAAAGTCTGGCAAGGTTCTAAACTCAATTCTGCCTCCAAAGCAGAATAAAATACATGGACTTGGTTACAATTCAGAAGTCTTTTCCACTTATTTCTGACCTGTAACTGCATTCTGATTCTATTTATTTAACAAACTCCTTGCACACACACATCCTCTACCACATTCTACATAAAATCTGAGATGGTTCTATTAGTTTTAAATGAGTATCTTAAGGATTTTCACTTAAGTGCTAAGTTTCAAATATTAATCATGAGTAATGAATGGCTCAAAGACTACCTCCAATATAAACCTCAGGGCATTTTTTTTTTTTAATCCATTCAGGAGACACCAGCCACGACAAAGCTGGACTTCATCTTGCTTGATAGGCAGTGATAGGGCCATAATTTAGATTCACGGTTCCAAAGTTCATGGCAGCAAAAATCAAACACACTGGCAGCCATGGCATACAGTGCTTACAGAGAAGGGCTTATCTCCTGAACCTAAGAGTGGAAAGGATAATTTAAGTATAGCATTTAGTTTATACAATATAACTGGAGTTCCTTCCCCACAACAAACTTTGAATAATGTTTATAATTTAGCAATCAACTGAAATGAAAGAATTACCACAATTGAAATAAAATATTTATGTATTTCAAACCAATAGAACTGTGTCTTCAAAAACTAAAACAAGCTAAAAGAAACCTAGTTCTGAATTAGTGATGGATACAAATAAAATGGGGGTTTGTTTATTCAAGTCTTTGAGCTGCTTTTCTTTTTTTAAAAGATTTCATGAACTTTCATTTGAAATAAGCACAGTTTACCAAATTAAAGGACTTGATTAAGTATTCTTTAAAAGTAACTAGCTGGGTAAACAATAAAGTAAGTTATCCAAGAGTCAAGAAAAGAAAAATGACTTCAGACTGCTTTATGAATATTCTCCAAAATCACCAATCCTTCAACAAAAATAGTTCAACGGAAGATTTCAGTTCCTGGTACTGAACTGAACAAAGAGAACCACATGTTTTTAATGGTTGCTCATAAACGACCCAAATAAATCTCCAAAAGAACAGGAGTGGCTCTTTCTGTATTTTTCCCTTTAAAATTCATAAGACCAATTCAACACAGAAATAAAAATTACTGTACTTTATGGCACCACTCACTGTGTGACACATTTATTTGCTGTCATGAAAGTTAGTACCTCAACAAAGTAAATGAGATTTAGGGAGAAAAAAATTTTCTACCATTTAAAAAAGCACAAAATGTTCTTGCCATTTGCGGCAAAAAGAGTTTACCCACCTCAAATGAGAAGATTTTCATACTAAGTAAGAAACCTAAGTATTTATATATAAATAATACAAAGAAGCTTTCCAAATAGCTTTTCAATCAGTGATGATGCTGATATTAGATCACAATTACACTGCTAACTACCATTTATAAGAAATGAAGCCTACACAACAAAAAAATGTAACTTACAATTTAACCACTGATGTTCTATTTTCCCTGGCTTTAACACTGAACCACAACACAGAGCAACAGCACACCCTGCTGGAAGTTGGTAATACAAATAATTAGCAGCACTGAACTAAGATTTTACCCAAGATGAGAATTACTTCAGAACCAGTCATTTCTCACTGAGAAAAAAAGAGGTTCACAGGCATTAACCATCAGCTACCTATATATATGTGATCTTAATGGTTAAATTAAAACTCAGAATAACTCAAATTAAAAGATACTGCTTTTTCCTGCTCATTTCCTCAGCCCCATACAGCCCCAACCACCCCAAGTGATTTTACTACTTCTGGCTTTAACCCTAAATAAAAATATTTTCAAATGCACTTTTTGTAAAGAGAAACTGGTAATCACATAAAAGAGGAAACCAAGACGATTTTCTGTATATGACTGCCTGAAGTACCCCTTCTCTCCCATCCCACCTTGGCCTTAGAAATGCCCCTAAAGATTACCATTAAAAATGCACAAGGCATAGCCGGGCATGGTGGCTCACGCCTGTAATCCCAGCACTTTGGGAGGCTGAGATGGGTGGATCACGAGGTCAAGAGATCAAGACCATCCTGGCCAACATGGTGAAACTCTGTCTCTACTAAAAATACAAAAATTAACTGGGCGTGGTGGGGCGTGCCTGTAGTCCCAGCTACTAGGGAGGCTGAGGCAGGAGAATCGCTTGAAACCAGGAGGTAGAGGTTGGAGTGAGCCAAGATTGCACCACTGCACTGCAGCCTGGCAACAGACTGAGACTAGGTCTCAAAAAAAAAAAAAAAGAATGCACAAGGCAGCCTGGTGGTCTGTGAACCACAATTTACATGCCATTGGCAAAATGCCTACACAGATTCTGGAATTCAAAATATGCAAACTATATTAAGAAACCACATGTCCTGAAACTGCATCTAGTATGTTTTCAACATTTTCACAGACATGAAAAATCATGGAAGCCACTAACTAGATAATCCAGCTCTGCCCTCCCTAACTCAAACTCACAGTAATCCAAGGATGAACAGAATTGTATTTAAGTTTTGTAAATGTACTCTCTTTGTTATAAAAAGAAAACTCCTCGTTACTGCTGAGATTCCTCTTCAGAGAAAACAGGCTATGCTAGCAATGACCTGCCTGTTCTGAGTGACTAGTATTGGCTTCTTGGCTCCTTGCTCCCACATCTAAAGGTTCTGATTGACCTCTGGTCAACTTGCAGGGCACTCTTTAGTCATGAAGGCCAACAATTCTTTAAAAAAAAAACAAAAACAAAACAAACAAAAAAAAACAATGAACAAGGCCAAGAAGATCCAACACTTAAGTGTAGTTTTCTCCAACAACTAAAAAGGCAATAAGCACCTCAGGTGTGTTTTTCTGACATTGTCTCCAGTGGCATTATTTAGTTCATTATCTCAATCAAAGTACATTTAAAATTAAAATTTTAAAAGGATACCAACCTCGAGCCTCTTTTCAAGTGATTCAATTCTGTCCTTTTTACTAGCCAGATTGGCCCGTGTGTAGCGGCTCTGCCCAGGAAGATATAAAACTTGACTGTAGCATTCTTCCCACACCTGGTTATAAGCTTCACTTGAGAGCTCTCCATGGCTCATTCCTTGTTTAACCACTTCCATCTCCTGCACCAAAACATCCTGGGCCTGTTTACAATAATAATTTCAATAAGTTTAAGTACTACAAACACTTGCCATATCCAGAGAGCTTTAGAAGACTAATTTTTTCCCTCATGCCTTGAGTCAAATCCAAGATGTGGTTGGTTGTTTTTTGGAAGGGTGGATAACAATACCTAGGAAAAATAGCTTAAGAAGCCTTTGAGTCAATGCAGACTGCTTTTTAAAAATCAAGCATCCATGTTTCCTCAAAAGTATAAACATCCTTTGCTTTCACTCACTATAACAGCAGCTATCATTTCTCAGGTACCTATTGTGTGTGTGAGAAACTAGGTTTAAAAGTTTTACCTACATTATATCCAAAGATCATAATCACCTTACAAATTAGCCAATATTAACCTCATTTAAAAGCTAATGAAATTTGGCCAGGCACGGTGGCTCCCTCCTATGATCCCAGCACTTCGGGAGGCTGAGGTGGGCGGATAACGAGGCCAGGAGTTCAAGACTAGCCTGGTTAACACAGCAAAACCTCGTGTCTACTAAAAATGTAAAAATTAGTAGGACGTAGTGGCACATGCCTGTAATCCTAGCTACTCAGGAGGCTGAGGCACAAGAATCCCTTGAACCCAGGAGGTGGAGGCTGCAGTGAGCTGGGATCGTGCCACTGCACCCCAGCCTGTGCAACAGAGTGAGACTCAGTCTCAAAAAAAAAAAAAAAAAAAAAAAAGCTAATGAAACTAAGGCTCATAGAGATTCAACCACTTGTTAAGACCACATCGTTAGTAGGCAGATGAGGCAGAATACAAATGGCACCACTGGGTGTGCCCCTTCCACTCTCCCACTCCACCATGTGTGCAGGACCTCACGTGATGGTAAAGGGGAGCTAGGCATCTTTTTGTCACATGGCATTTTTCTCATCCTGAAGGAATGCCCTGACATTGCCAGATAATGAGACTGGGGCACGAATTAGATGATAGATCATAAACCAGTTTAGTTCACTACTAAAGAAAATAGTGTAAAATGACAGAATGAGAGGGAAAGCTGGACAGGCCTGGGTTCAGATCACAGCTTTACCATTGAAGCAGCTCTTTGAGCTTGCTTAATTTATCTGAGCCCATTTCTCAGGGCTTTTTCAGCCTGGAAAGCTGAAAAACAGCTTTCCAAGCAATGATGATGCTGACCTTAGATCAGATGTGTTTGTTATTAGGATTAAGTGAACAATATACTATAGAGCCTAGCCCAATGCCAGACACACAGAATTCCATAAGCATATGAATTTTTTCCCAGCCCTTTGCTTCATGGCTTATGAAAAACTGGGAACCACCTTCTGTGCCTTACAGAAGGCTTTCAATCTTTCCAGTAATAATGAAAATAAACACATCAAAATCTACAAAATCAAGAGAAATGATTGATAAACAAAAAATTTTAACAAAAGAAACGGAAAATCATCTCTATAGAAGAAAAAATGGACACTTAATACCTTAAGGGAAATAATGGAAACAAATCAATGTTAACATATCTTAAAGTATATTAAAGAAAAAGAAAATCTGACAGTTTATTAAAAGAGAAATGCTATTTCACTCTGAAACTGCACAGAGTAAAAATTTACAAGTTCAGATCTTATAATCATTACGAGAGAATATGGCTAAGTTATCTTTAAACTATCCATAAATAATCTGCTAACTAAATAGCTGCTTCAAATTCTTTTTGGAACAAAGAGAGATATACACAGATAAAATATGAGAGAATATTTAAGCTACTTTGTTTCAAACAATTACAAACCAATACTTAGAATTATTATTTTTCAAAAATTGTGTTAGGGTTTACCCTCTACAGAATCTCCAAAAGCAACAATGTGATCCTTGTTTTAGGTTTCCATACATACAATTTAGGAAAATTTATTTCCTAAATTCCTCTTCCCCTCATATTTTCACTTTCAAAAGAGGAAACTGTGCAAGTATCAATTTCGTAGCCTGATTCTCAATCCCAGTTCAATGATTAAATGTGCTCGACAGAGTAGGCAACTCAACAGATGTTAGTTTCCCTACTGCACTTACTAAAAAATGAGTGACTCAGTTATTCTGAAATCAGGGACAAGTTATTGAAATATAAATCGAAACCCTCCTTCCTTTCTCTATTTTCTAAAAATCCTATAATAAATAATGTATTACTTATGCAATAAAGAAAACACAAAGTAAGAAATTGTGAAAAGCGAAGAAAGAGGAAGAATGCAGGAGAGAAGACAGGAGAGTTTGTAAGAATCTTGTTTGTTTTATCCTAAGTATACAGCAGCTCATTCCAAATCCATAGGTCTATCACTGCTCCTCAGGGCTGAAGGCTAAAGAAAAAAAGACTTTTAAGCTAATGACCACTCTGCTTCCAACGATGAGACCCACTGTATCTTCTTATACAATTATGGAGATTTCTATTTACAATCACAGTTGTTTGCTCTGTCAAAACAGAAGGAATAAAATGCATGTAGAAGAAAAGACCAGATACAGACTTCATATAAGAAATCATTTCTTCATGTCCTTATCCAAAAGAGTAGGGGGAAATCATGTGAGGGGAATATATTCAGTAAAAAAAATACTTCCTTCCTTTCAATAGCTAAAAGGTTTAATCTATAAACATTTTTATATTAGTCTCTCTCACCTCTTCATATTATTCTAAATAAGTGATGTTTAAGTACTAAAGGCATCTAATTTTTATTCAGAGATAGCAGAGCTGAATACAGAAAACGGCAACTGTAACAACTGTCAACGAAGCCATTAATACCCATGAACCAAAAACACCCTGGCGGTGTTTATTTGCTAAAGGTCTATCACACTGAACACGGGGGATGGAGGTATTTAAAGCATGTCCTTTTCATAACACTTAATCTAAACATGCATCTCCTAATCATACATTTCAGTTGTTTATGAATACCAACAGGGAAAAATAAGTTCATTATTTGTCCATGATACACAGCACCTAACAACTACCTAAATCTCAAGAAGAAATATTCCAGCTCAATCATACCTTTTTCAGCTCTTCTTTGGAGAACTTTTCATAAGGATTATGTTCCAGATAGGTAATGTGCTCTGAATTATTGGTACCAAACCCTACAGTTTTGCCTTTTTTATTTCCAGATGGTTCATAAGGGTGATGTAGAAGGTCATAATGAAGCATTGTGATCATTTCTTTTTTGATTAGTTCTTCACTTTTCTGTAAATCTGTTAAAGGCGGTTCTACATTTAAGGGTCTTAGAATAGTTTCATTTACCTAAAATTTTAAAACAAATACAATTACCAAACATATCACTATAATATATTAATGTTATTACCTGTTACAGCATGAATTAAACAGCGGTTTTACATTTTCAAAAGCAATTTCCATTTTTTTCCTTCTAAATTCTTTCTGGTACTACTGAAACATTTTAAAGATTGGATTTGAGAACTACTTTGCTATATTCCAGAAAGTAGATGAAATTTTGTTTTATAGTCTTTATGAATGATGTAAAACGCAGCAATCATATAAAAAGAAACTTAAAACTTCCTAAACCAGAAATTCTAACACTTACTTCTGATGGTCTTGGCAGATCTTTCTGGACAGCTTTATGCATTCGTTTCATTTCCTTTACACGCTCTGCATCTCGTATGGCCTAAAAAATGATTTTTATATCCTTTATTGCAGCTATAGCGTATTTGATATCTCTCAGTAAAGCTAAAAACACTTTGGTATGTAAGATCATGTGTGTTCAATAGCTAAAGTTTAGAAATCGGTTTAAGTTTGTAGAAAGGCAATGCTAAGGCAACAGAAATGAATCAGTCTATTCACTCTCATTATAATAGAAACTAAGAGCTTCCAATGTCTACTAGAGCATTCTCCAAACTTGCATGGATCCATATCACGTAACAAACTTTTCTCATCTAAATGGAAAACCTAAACTCCAAAGAGACTCCCACGACAAAACTCTTTCTTCCCTTTCACTCCAAAATTACTGACTTTTAACTCAAAAAGCCAGCCAAAAAATGTATTGTTTCCTGATTCTTATGAATAATGTGGGATAACACATTAAAATTTCATGCCATTTCTGAAGGAGTAAATGTAACTCAAAGTAGCTGAGAACTAAACACAAAAAGTATCATCCTCTGTTCCCCACTGAAAAGCACATTTACATGGGTCCCCTCTAAAATATTGTTTCCACTGATGTCATTCTCACTCCAATCCCCTGAGATTCAAGGTCCCTAAAATCATCCAGCAATGGACTGCAGCTACTGAAAGGGGTCATAAAATATCAGTTCTAGTTTAGGATTCACCACTTACCCACCATGAGACCTGAGAAAGTTGAGACCATGAGACCTCAATTCATCTGAGCTTGTTGAGTATTCCTTACTAGAAATATCTGGGCCCAGAGTATCTTGGATTTCTGATTTTTTCAGATTCTGGAACATCTGCATTATACTAACTCTAATCCAAAAAGCTTCAATGAGCATTTCTTTTGAGCTTCATGTCGGCACTCAAAAAGTTTTGAATTTTGGAGCATTTCAGGTGTTGGATTTTTGGATTAGCAATGTTCAACCTGTAATACCGATCCTATTTATATCACTGTGCTGTTACGTGCAAATGAGAAAGTAATTACGTATAAGATATATTAGTACAAAGTGTTACTAATATTATTTTGACACACTCTATCTAAATTTCCAACTCCAGTTTAGATAGAGGTCTTACTATGTTCCCCGGACTGGATTCAAACTCCTGGGCCCAAAGAATCCTCCCACCTCAGCCTCTCGAGCAGCTGAGACTACAGGCTCGTACATCGCACCACCCAGGAACCAAGATGTATTTGTTTTTAAGACTAACCAATAACATCTTTTCTTTGCTAGATTGAAGCAATGTCTAAAAGACTACCTATGTGTATTTTAGAGAAGCATAATGAATTTGACAGAATGTATTTAAATTTCCATATATATATTTTTAAGAATGCTCATCAAAATATTGTGAGTATGTTAATTATGTGAGGATACATTATTAATGACATAAGTTATTTACTTTAGAAGTTTTTTCAATATTAAAAAGGACTAGGTAGAGATCTTGGGACATTTAATGGCTATTCTTCATTCTTCCAGCCTACTGACACATTCAGCCAAACTCACGCTTCTTTCAGTACAGTTACCCACCTGCTTTCGAGCATCCACATCAGCAGCATCTTCAATGTAAGTATCATCTATTTCACGTTCTTCCAGCTCCTTCTCGGCATTTTCTGGTAGAACAATTTCAAAATCATTCTTAGGGGCAGGAAGGCCCAACAACCCTAAACGGAGATGTTCTCGGGATTCTCTTTCCTGTAGAAAAGAAGTGGTCCTTCTCAATTCATGCATATTAAACATTCCACCAGTATTTTATGAGTCTCTTAAAAATTGATAGCACAACAGGGTGACTCTAGTCAAAATAACTGTACATTTTAAAATAACTAAGAATAATTGGATGGTTTCAAACACAAAGGTTAAATGCTTGAGGGGATGAATACCCCATTTTCCACGATATGATTATTACACATGCATGCCTGTATCAAGATATCTCATGTACCCCATAAATATACACACCTACTATGTATCCACAAAAATTAAAAATTACAGAAAGAGAAAAAAAGTCTCAAAAAAAATCAGCCTAATATTAATTCTAGAAAAATAATCCTGACTTCAGAGCTAAGACAAGTCTTATGTTTATTTTCTATCCCCCCTTCTTCCCAACATTAAGACCAACCAAAAACTTTCACTTGTGATCACTGAAGATACTCTGGGATATTCCAACAGGAGGTCTGAGGCCAGGGCAGAAAAAAAGACCACTTTGAGGGAACACATTTCTGACACCGAAAGTTAACAGCAAATGAAAAGAACAGGTTCAAAAGTTAGTTTGTCCTTGGACTAATAAAATCCACTCTAAAAGATACTTGAATTTGTATGTATGTGTTTATTTTTAATGGAAATACTAAATCCCATGCAGAAGAAAGAAAGTAGAGTCCTGGTTCCCAAAAAAGCCTCCTGGTACCCAGAGTTTTCCCATCCATCCTCAGTGCTTACATGTACCAGGTGTGAGGAACAGATGAGTTGCTATATCTAAAACATCCTCCATGCTTACTCATATTGTAGTCTCCATCTGAGACAGCCCCCACCCTCCTTCAGAACATAGCTCCTCTAATAAGGCTTTCCTGTTACCCAACAAATGTGACTATTCCCTTCTTTAACTACCCTAAGCACACTGGTTTTACTCAAAGGGCTTATTCTGTTCTGATATTGCAATTATTTTTGGACTTAGTTTAGTACTGTCAATCTCCCCAGAATATAAATTTCCTTAGGACAAAGGACATCTTTATTCAACTTTAGATCCCCTCAAATGTCCAAATGCATGCTCTGCATGCATGAGGTTCTTAATCTATTTAATTCTTATGTATCCATTCAGAGTTGGCTTTAGTTGATATCAATTTGAACTTTAAAAAACATATATAAATCAACCAAATATATACATGAGGTTAGAATTAATTTTAAACTGAAGACAAGCCAGTATCATTAGAAGTTTTTTTTTTAATTTCACAATGATTTCTGTGGCATTAGATAATAAGGCCCAATAGCAAAGTAATAAACGCAGTAACACGGGCAGAAGCAAAACTTAACTTTTTACAGTTAGCTTTCTACCTCAGCTTGCTAAAGAAAACTTCAGTGAAATCAACAACGAACATCAATATTCACAAACCTAGTAAGCATAAAGAAAGGTGGGTTTTGAGCCCAAAATATTCCCTTTCATCAAGTCTTACAAATAATTCTTTTTCTGGCATCCACAGGTGTATAGATTCTTAAGGTATATGTGATATGCACTAACAGGAGAAATTTTAATTTGGCATCCATGAGATATTAAAAAAAAATTTAAGAGTATTAAAAGGGAATTGACATTTACCATCTGCTTCACGTAAGAGGGATCACTATAGTCTGCCATTCCATCCTCGGGATTAATGTTTAACTTGTCTCGAAGAGGAGTTCTACCCGGAGTAGAGTTAATAACTGGTTTGGGAGTTGTTCCACTCCGGGGAGTCAGCCCTTCAGCTCCATTAGAAGGAGTCCTAGAAAGACAGGAATCCCAATTAACAGAAGTGCCACTTACATTTGGATTGTGCTTTCAAATGTTTTTCACATAAATTATTTCACAGGAAATATAGAAAAAAAAAAGAATAAAGATTTCAAAATTCTGTCCAGCTGGTTTTGTTAGGATCTCTAGGTTAAAATCAATGTTTGGTCTAGCTAGCATGGTATTTTTATTTTACTGACTTACAATAATCACTACATTTGATATTTTCTTGCCTTCCTAAACTACGTCCACTAAACATTATTTCAACCTTTTCTTGGCACATTAGGGCGACTAAGAACATGCAGTGGGCAGGGAGGTGGGCCACCACACTCAATGACCCCAGATGACTCTTTGAGTTTTGTGTATATTTGTCTCCTCCCTCCCTATCAAGCTGTTGGTTCTCACATCACTATCACTGTCATTATTACAAATGTACACACTTTATTAAATAGTTCCTCCTTTTACATTTTGTTTGGAAACCAAACACCACACTTTTGAAATCACATCTAAACATGAGTAAGTTCCTGAGTGAGGCCTAAGAGATTCTCCTAGGAATAAGATCCACAGATTTTGCAGCAACCTATATTTTAATTATTCAAAGTCTTTTTTTTTCCTGGTTGCCTATTTCCTGTATATTGGTGTGTTGCAGAACGGTGATGCTGCCAGACAGCTATTCCTGATAGGTAAGGTGTTATCACATAAGACATGGTTCCCACCCCCAAGGATTTTACAATCTAGGTGAGAGACAAGACATACAGTTGTCCCTAAGTATCCACCGGGGATTGGTTCCAGGACCAATACTCAACTCCCTGCAGATACTCAACTCCCTGATATAAAACGGCATCGTATTTGCATATAACGTATGCACATCCTCCCATGTACTTTAAATCATCTCTAGGTTACTTATAATACCTAATACAATGTAAATGCTATATAAATAGTTGGTACATTGTATTTTTATTTGTGTTATTTGTTATTGTTGTACTGTTTGAGTTTTTTGGAATATTTTTTATCCACAGTTGGTTGAATTCACAGATGTGGAATCCTCAGATACAGAGAGCCGACTAAACATAGGAAATGAGGGATTATGCTCTCTTACAAGACTCTCAAGAAGTGTTAAATGTTTAAGACTGGCTGCCAATGCTTCTTGGTTCTGCTGTCATGATATGTGTAATAGCCTGAAGTGCTTTCTCTACTAAATAACCAGTAGGAAGACATATCTTAACACTTAAAATTCAAAGTAAACCCCAAATATTTCCAACCATTGTAAGTTCCAATTCCATTTTCCTACTACATGCTTCCATAACATTTGTATTTTAAAGATTCTTCTTAAAAAACAGCAGCTTAAAACTAAGCAAGAGTTATAAAGAAATACTGAATTCTAGTTAACGCATGTGGAAGTGTTTTGGGATCAAACAAACTGCTACCTGCAAGTTACTTCGAAATGCATTAAAAATTATGATGGATTGGTGGATGGATATGTGATAAAGCAAATATAGTAAAATATTAACGATCTTAGAATCTAAGTGGTGGGTATATGGATGTTCACTTTACCATTTGTCAACTTAAATGGGTGAGAGACCGGGTCTCCAAAACAAAGAGTTTATTCGGGAACGGCAAGGGATTACAGTGTGGGATATGTGTGCTATGACAGACCATAGGTACAACTGAGGGTGCTGGGGCAAGGAGAAGTTTTTAAAGATACAAGGGAGGAGTCTACGCAAACTGTTCTGAAACAAAGACCATTGGTTACAGGGACTTATCACAGGAGGTGGCATTTGTTTTCATTGCCGGTATAGATAAGAGTATCCCTTATCTGAAATGTGGGACCAGAAGAGTTTTAGATATGGGATTTTTTCAGATTTGGGGATAACTGCATTATACTTACTGGTTGAGCATGCCAAATCAGGAAATTCAAAATCTGAAACGTTTCAATGAGCGTTTCCTTTGAGTGTCATGTTGGTGCTCAAAAAGTTTGGATTTTGGCCAGGCGCAGTGGCTCACACCTGTAATACCAGCACTATGGGAGGCCAAGGCGGGTGGATTACCTGAGGTCAGGAGTTCGAGACCAGCCTGACCATCACTGAGAAACCCTGTCTCTACTAAAAATACAAAATTAGCCAGGCATGGCGGCGCATGCCTGTAATCCCAGCTACTCGGGAGGCCAAGGCAGAAGAATTGCTTGAACCTAGGAGGCGGAGGTTGTGATGAGCCGAGTTCGCGCCACTGCACTCCAGCCTGGGCAAGAAAAGCAAAAGTCCGTCTCAAAAAAAAAAAAAAAAGTTTGGATTTTGGAGCATTCTGGATTTTCAGATTTGGGATGCTCAACCTGTACTGGCTGTTGGTAGGGCAATGTCTTCACAGAAGCAACTTATCTGGAATTTGTGTGGTTTTCAGAAGGTCCCTGCAATAATTTCTGTCATAGGCATACGCGCATGAGGGTTCCTTTTTCATTAAAATGTAACATAAATGACTCCATTTCAATACTGATAACTTCCACACATTCTTTCAACCTTTCTAAATGCCTGAAATTTTCATAATAAAATGCTGGAGGGAAAGCAATAGTAATACATACATAAAAGGATTACATAATAAAATTCACAAAGTAATCATTAAAAATGAATCAATCTACTCTAAAATCAAATACAAAGTATTCAAAAATAACGTGATAGGATCCGAAGCTTTGCAAAAGAACACTCCAATTAGACAGGCATGGTGGCGGATGTCTGTAATCCCAGCTACTCAGAAGGCTGAGGCACGAGAATCGCTTGAACCCGGGAGGCAGAGGGGTTCCGTAAGCTGAGATCGCGCTACTGCACTCCAGCCTGGGTAACAGAGCGAGACTCCATCTTAAAGAAAGGGGGGGAGGCACTCCACAGTATTTAACCATTTCCTGGACACTATTATTTATTACTATGAAGAAGAAATCAAAGAGGAAAATCCAACACAATAAGTAGTCATTCTCCGTAAACATTACTAAAGCAAATATGCTAAGTCCTTGAATTCAAGTTTTTCTAAAATAAAAACGTGTTCATTTACAATACCTGAATGGAGTAGAGAGAACTGTGTTTGGAGTCTGTACAACTTGTCGCTGTGGAGTTACACCTGAGAAGTCACTCTCATGCAATGGGGTATTAAGTCCACCTTTCAATGGGGTGTCCACATTGGTGAGGGCCATGAGGTTCTGGGCTTCCTGATTAACAAGAAGACAAAGAAGCAAGTTTAAAAGTTTAGACAGACTTGCAGAATCTCTTCTGGTCCTACTATACCAATCTTGAAGCAGGCAGAATCCTTACTCATTTTCTCAATGAAAGCTAACAGAGAAAATGAATACCAGTCATGGCAGATTTCAATGTTTCCATTCCTTCTATCAATCTAACACATCACATTAGAAGTGTTATACATCATGGGAAAACTGGCTAGCCATATGTAGAAAGCTGAAACTGGATCCCTTCCTTACACCTTATACAAAAATTAATTCAAGATGGATTAAAGACTTAAATGTTAGACCTAAAACCATAAAAACCCTAGAAGAAAACCTAGGCAATACCATTCAGGACATAGGCATGGGCAAGGACTTCATGTCTAAAACACCAAAAGCAATGGCAACAAAAGACAAAACTGACAAATGGGATCTAATTAAACTAAAGAGCTTCTGCACAGCAAAAGAAACTACCATCAGAGTGAACAGGCAACCTACAAAATGGGAGAAAATTTTCGCAACCTACTCATCTGACAAAGAGCTAATACCCAGAATCTACAATGAACTCAAACAAATTTACAAAAAAAAAAAAAACAAACAACCACATCAAAAAGTGGGCGAAGGATATGAACAGACACTTCTCAAAAGAAGACATTTATGCAGCCAAAAAACACATGAAAAAATGCTCATCATCACTGGCCATCAGAGAAATGCAAATCAAAACCACAAGGAGATACCATCTCACACCAGTTAGAATGGCAATCATTAAAAAGTCAGGAAACAGGTGCTGGAGAGGATGTGGAGAAATAGGAACACTTTTACACTGCTGGTGGGACTGTAAACTAGTTCAACCATTGTGGAAGTCAGTGTGGCGATTCCTCAGGGATCTAGAACTAGAAATACCATTTGACCCAGCCATCCCATTACTGGCTATATACCCAAAGGATTATAAATCATGCTGCTATAAAGACACATGCACACGTATGTTTACTGTGGCACTATTCACAATAGCAAAGACTTGGAACCAACCCAAATGTCCAACAATGATAGACTGGATTAAGAAAATGTAGCACATATACACCATGGAATACTATGCAGCCATAAAAAATGATGAGTTCATGTCCTTTGTAGGGACATGGATGAAATTGGAAACCATCATTCTCAGCAAACTATCACAAGGACAAAAAAACCAAACACCGCATGTTCTCACTCATAGGTGGGAACTGAACAATGAGAACACATGGACACAGGAAGGGGAACATCACACTCCGGGGACTGTTGGAGGGTGGGGGGAGAGGGGAGGGATAGCATTAGGAGATATACCTAATGTTAAATGAGGAGTTAATGGGTGCAGCACAGCAACATGGCACATGTATACATATGTAACAGACCTGCACATTGTGCACATGTACCCTAAAACTTAAAGTATAATAATAATAAAATTTAAAAAGAAGTTTTATACATCAAATAAAGTTTTATGTGTAGAGGTGTGCTTTTGTGGCCTCACATATGAAATTACTATTACAAGAATTCAAATTTCCCAGCTTAGGCCAAATGTCTGAATGCCTGGGTTTTAGTCTGGCTTCACCACTGAATTCTCTATCCAGTCTTCATTAGTATCTCTGAGGTCTGTTTCTTCTACTGGGAACTTAAGATACTCCCAAGCAACCTTTCCACTGCACAAGAAAACAACTTGTGGGGGTCAGGTCCCTTTCAGAAGTCTTGCTGATCTCTTTAGGCAGAACTGACCATGTTCTCTTTAGTCCCTTCACTGTAACCCTGTCCTCAGTGCTATCTTTGTACCCATAAATCTCTTTATGTCCAACTTAGGGCCTGTGGCAAAGTTTATTTTCCAAAGATGGTCACAACCTTCTCTCTCATGTTTCATGTTCTTAAAATCCAACTGTGATACTCCTTCCATCAAGAGGTAGGGTCTATGTTCCCTCCCCATAAATCTAGGTGGGCTTGTGATTCACCTGAAACCAACAGAACACAACAAAAGTGACAATGCTTGACCTCCCAGGTTAGTTTAGAAAAAATAACGCAGCTTCCCACCGCACTCACAGTGGAGCCCTGAGATACCACGTGAGAAGTTCAACTGTTCTGAGACCACTACACTATGAGAAAGCCCAAGCCTCATGGAAAGACCACATGCAGATTCACTCCACATTCCCAGCTGAGGACCCACCCCACCAACAGCCAGCATCAACCACCAGACATGGAAAGACAACACCTCCAAATGACTCTATCCCCTATCCATCAAATCACACAGAACCGCTGAGTCCTCCTTACTAAGGCCCTAGACATCATGGAGCACAGACTAACCACTCCTTCTGTGCCCTGTCTGAATTCCTGACTCACAGAAGTCATAAGCATAGTAAAATGCACTAAATCACTAAATTTTGAGGCAAAATGAAAATAACCAGAGCAAGACTTATTCCATTATTCTGTATATCTTTATTCATGAAAAAAAATCTTGAATTTCACATTATCAAAGGCCCTGTGTGTGTCCTTTTTGCTATTCCAAATATAAAGCATTTACTAGAAAGAAACGTATGTAGGCTTAGATCTTCTGCATAGGAAAGAGGAGAAATAAGAATCAAATGGCAAAAGTATATATTCCTGGAAGAGTGGGTGACGTGAAATATCATATGTGCCAAAATTACAAATAGGCAACACTCCCAAAAATGGTGTGGCTAAAGGAGTGGGGGAGTTTGGCCCAGTATGAGATTGGCCCAGTAAAATGCCGGTGCATCTGAGAGCTGTCTCCTATGTGGTGAATTATCCTTTGTTGACGTGGTTACACTGGGATGTTTCCCAGAATCCTCTTCCATCTTGGTACTGAGTAGAGTTCATCAAAAGTAAAACAGAGGTAGAGGCAGAAGGAGAAGCAGAGGTGACAGAGGTGAAGTAGCAACCACTACACTCTGAAGGCCATCATTGGTCAGAGGTAGTGACAGACTTGCAGAGGAGCTGGCAAGTTTCAGTGTGTCCTTGCACCCCACTGCTCCATATATCCAATTCTCCTCCTTTACAGGCAGCCCTGGTGACCAGACTTCTGCTTCAAACTCACAGAAACAGTAGTGACAAAGAGTCAACAACCCTCCAGACTTCCATGCCTGGCCTCCAGATTTCCCTGTAAGCTATGACTCACTCCACACCAGGGCTGGTGACCTTTCTCCAATCTTTAACACTCCTTTTCAGACCTTTAATGCCCTGCTTTTCCCATAACTGTATATGGGACTAATTCCTCTAACAAATTCCTTATTCCATGATTTTCCTAGTGGTTCTGTTTCCTTAATTAAATCTTGACTGATATACCCTAGACTACATCAGAGGAGGCCAAGAGACAGAAGCAAAACTCCTCTTACCCCTAGCTACACACAACAGCAGCCAGAGGTACCGCCTTTATCACACATAGAACAGACACTGAACCAATAAAAGCTCACAAAGTGAAAACAAAATTTATCAAAATTTTACAAAAAAATATGTCACAGACTAGACTAAATCTCAACTTCTGTCAGTTCATCTTAGAGGTTCCAAAGGGCTTCAACCAATCATAATCATTTTCATTAGTAGACATTTATTTTACTGTGGCAGAGACTTCTTGTCACCAAGCACCCATTCTCTTCCTCCATAGTAACAGAAGCCTCAATTCTTAACCACCACCTGGCTACCCAGAACAAATATCACATGCCCCAGTAGCTAGGACATGTGTGCCTAAGTTCTGGCCAGCAGGACAGACAGAATGATGTGTGCAAGAGATGTGTTCTTAAGAAGGGAAAGGGTGTGCCCTTTTTCCTCCTTCTTGCAGGCTATATGCAAACATGACGGCTGGCCCTGCAGCGACTGTACCTGCCACAAGGAGAAACTAAGAAGAGAAACCTGACATGGGGGAGGACAAAAAAGCAGGTGCCCAGGTCCCTGACACCAGGGAGTGCCACACAAGCCCCAGTTTGATTTATCTCTCAACACTTAGAACATGAAACAGAAATAAACCTCTATTCTATTTAGGCCACTGTTAGAGGTTTTCTGTTACAGCTAAACCCAATTCCAACAAATATATAACTTCCCCCACATCTTTTAGAAGAGAAATCCAAAGTTACAAGCCCCAAACTTACTGCATATGGCTCAGGTTCTAAACCTGTTTTGTGCTTTTTCAAAATAACTACTACGCTCCCAGTTAACATTCACTCATTACTTCAATATTCTTTAACAATCAGTTAAAAAGCCTATTAAAAACACAAAAGGATACTACAAGGCTATAGGAATTAAGACAGTGTGGTACTGGCACAGGATAGATAATAGATCAATGAGACAGAATTGAAAGTCCAGAAATAAACCCTTACATTAATGGTCAATTGATTTTTTTAAGGGCTGCTAAGAACATACAACGGGAAAAGAACAGTCTTTACAACAAATTGTGTTAGGAAAACTGGATATCCACATGCCCAAGAATGAAGGTAGATCCATACCTAACAGTACATAAAAAACTAACTCAAAGTGGATCACAGACCTAAATGTAAGCACTAAAACTATAAAATCTGAGGAAAAAACATGGGAATAACTCTTCATGACCCAGGGTTGGAAAGAATTTCTTGGATAAGATTAAATGCATAAGCAAAAAAGAAAAAGATAGCTAAACTATACTTCATGAAAATATAAGCCTTCTGTACTGCAAATGAGAACATCAAGAAAGTGAAAACACAACCTACAAAATGAGAGGAAACATCTGCAAGTTATATATCAGATAAGGAACTTATATCCAGAATATACAAAGAACTCTTACAATTATAAAAAACCCAGTCAGGTGCAATGGTTCACGTATATAATTCTAGCACTTTGGGAGACTCGGGTGGGAGAATCTTGAAGCCAGGAGTTCAAAACCAGCCTACGTAACACCAGCAAGACCCTGTCTCTACAAAAAAAATTTTTAAATTAAAAAAAAAAAAGATAACCCAATTTAAAAATGAGTAAAGAAGATGAATAGCTATTTCTAAAAAAAAATACACACACACACACACACACACACACACACACACACACACACACACACAGGCCAGGCCAGGCACAGTGGCTCACGCCTGTAATCCCAACACTTTGGGAGGCCAAGGTGGGAGGATCGCTTGAACCCAGGTCTTCAAGACTAGCCTGGACAACATAGTGAGATCCCATCTCTACAAAAATAAAAAATTAGCCAGGCACAGTGGTGCACACCTGTAGTCCCAGCAACTTGAGAGGCTGTGGTGGGAGGGCTGCTTGAACCAGAGAAGTTGAGTCTGCAGTGAGCCATAATGGTGCCACTGCACTCCAGCCTGTGTGACAGAGCAAGACCCTGTCTCAATAACAACAACAACAAAGATATAAAAATAACCAATAAGCACATGAAATGTCATTAGCTATTAGGGAAATGCAAATCAAAAACACAAGATATCACTTCACAACTAGGATCTGTTTGATTACAAGATGGCTATAATCAAAAAGACAGAAAACAAGTGTTGGTGAGGATGTAAAGAATTAGAACCCTTCCACATTCCTAATAAAAACGTACAATGTGCTAGGCACGGTGGCTGATGCCTGTAATCCCAGCGTTTTGGGAGGCTGAGGCAGAAGGATCACTTGAGGTCAGGAGTTCAAGACCAGCCTGGGCGACACAGTGAGACCCCCATCTCTACAAAAAATTAGAAAATTAATTGGGCCTGGTAGTGCATGCCTGTAGTACCAGCTACTCGGGAGGCCAAGTTGGGAGGATCACTTGAGCCCAAGAGGTCAAGGCTTCGGTGAGCCATGACTGCACCACTGCACTCCAGCCTGGGCAACAGAGCAAGACCATGTCTCAAAAATAAACAAATAAAATGGTGCAGCGACTTTGGAAAACAGTCTGGCAGTTCCTCATAAAGTTAAACATAGTCACCATAGGACCCAGTAATTCCATTCCTAGGTATCTATGCAAGAGTAAGGAAAAAAACATGTCCACACAAACATCTGTTCAAAGCAGCATTATTCCTAACAGTCAAAAGGTAGAAACAACTCAAGTGTCTATCAGCTGATAAGTGGATAAACAAAACATGGTATATTCATACAATGGAATATTATGCAATGACAAAAAGGAATAAAGTACTGATAAAAGCTACAACATGGATGAACCTTGACGATATAATGCAAAGTGAAAAAAGCCAGTCACAAAACATCATATATTATATGATTTCATTTACATATATGTGCAGAATAGGGAACTCTATAGAGACACAAAGTAGATTAATGGGTGCCTAAAAACTTGGCAGGTTTGAGGGGAATGGGGAATAACTGCTAATGGGTATGGGTTTTCTTTCTGGATGATGAAATTATTCTAAAATTGGGCCGGGCGCGGTGGCTCACGCCTGTAATCCCAGCACTTTGGGAGGCCGAGGCGGGCGGATCACGAGGTCAGGAGATCGAGACCATCCCAGCTAAAACGGTGAAACCCCGTCTCTACTAAAAATACAAAAAATTAGCCGGGCGTAGTGGCGGGCGCCTGTAGTCCCAGCTACTTGGGAGGCTGAGGCAGGAGAATGGCGTGAACCCGGGAGGCGGAGCTTGCAGTGAGCCGAGATCCCGCCACTGCACTCCAGCCTGGGCGACAGAGCGAGACTCCGTCTCAAAAAAAAAAAAAAAAAAAGAAATTATTCTAAAATTGACTGTGGTGATGGTTATACAACTCGGTAAATACAGTAAAAATGGGTGAATTCTGTAAGAATGGTATCTCAATAAAACTGTTTAAAAACCATGAAAGGAGTTCCATTAAATGTCCCTTATATTGTCCTATAATGTAATTTTTTCCCAAAATTAAAAAAAAAACTATTTTTTTTAATTTCAAGTGTGAATATTCACACTTGCAAACTTCTTCAAACAGCACCACTGAAAAAAGTGGGGGGTCAGGTGCAGTGGTTCATGCCTGTAATCCCCAGCACTCTGAGAGGCCAAGGCGGGCAGATCACTTGAACCCAGGAATTCGAGACCAGCCTGGGGCAATATGGCGAAACCCTGTCTCTACTAAAAGTAAAAAAACTGTCTGGGCACAGTGGCCGTGATCATGCCACTGCACTCCAGCCTGGGTAATGGGAGTGAGACCCTGTCTGAAAAAAAAAAAAAGTGGGGGACAGGTTATTCCTATCTGTCACAGAAGTGGAGACATCTGAAAGGCTGAGGCATGGATAAAGTGACAGAACCAGGAAAGCATGCTCTGTATTTTAATGAAAGGGCTGGATAAGTGCTGCACATGCACGAGCAATACTAAGCCATGTAACACTGACAGAGCCTCTATCAGAAGCATCTCCATCACTTCAGGGCCACCAGGAGAAGATGGCTAGTGGGATTCTTACAATACCTATAGCCATTATTGCCCCCTGTTATTAACAGGTCTATACAGTTTAAGTGGATTCCTGTCTGTATTCTGGACTGTTTAGGTCCCTCCATATTTCCTCTGTGAGTGGTTAGGTTTTCTCTTTCCCAGTCTGTCCGAACAGGCTTATCTGACACTTTATCTGGCCTTGAACACCCTGAAACACATTCCTTACTTGTGTTCAGAATCCAAGGAAATAAATGCAAGATCACATTATTGTTTTTAAAGCTTCTGATATGCTAGATATTTTACTTATTTACTTGAGAAACCCTATGTTCAGACCTCCTCAAAGCCTTGAGCTGGCTAATAACTAGTGTGCCATAATTTTGTAAACTTTCACGAAACAATATAAAATGAGAAGAAAAAGAGTGATAATAAAAAACAAAGTCTATAGGATTTTTAGTCACACACACACACACACTCTCTCTCTCTCTCTCTCTCTCTCTCTCTGTCTCTCACAGGATTTACAAAAAACAGAGGGGCTTTACTCTCTGAAGAGAGTACAAAAAAGATTTCTAAACCAGAGAATACCAGGAAGAGTTAAGAGCAAAATTATCACTATGAAAATAGAGAAATGAAGCAGAAGTTTTTAATTTTAGATTGGAGACATCCAGCCTTTTTCCCCAACTAGGTTCCCAGAGACTGGCCAACTTTATACCCTGTAGATAGGAGACTGGAAATTACTTCTCTGAGGAATATGACTAACCTAAGCAAAAACAACTAACACTGACCCAAAAGAACTAACACTGACATCAAGAACTCTCCCAGTGAAACATCCCAGCCAGATCAGCCTCCAGGGAAGCCAGGAGTCAAGGAGCCCTACCCACACCTAAGGAGCTTCCAATCAGCTTGTGATTGCCCCCCACCCACTTCTAGACACAGGCAAAGAGCACCGGACATTTGAGGAAATACCCATAAGGAAAGACAGAAAGGAAACAAAACAAAAAACTTAGAAACTATGCAAGGAAAAGAAAACTTATAAAAACAAAACCATCATTAACAGCCTCAGAGAAATAAGATACTCATGAAATAAGAGATGGTAAAAAAAAAAAATACTGAACAAAATTTTAAAAAGCTCTTAAACATTACATATATGATAGTAAATTAAAAACTGAATAAAGATAAAATTGAGAAAACCTCCTACAAATAAATCAAAATCAGTAAGATAGAAAACTGCAGAGGAATTAATAGAAAACCTGGAGGTTCATAAAGAGATCAATGAAAGGGAGAAAAACAATTTTAATTCAAAATAATTTTACAAAATTGAAGGCCATGAGTCTCTGGAATGAAAAGATCCACAGTGGTTGAAAAAGACCTTCACCAAGAAACATGCATCATAAATCATGTAAGATAATGTAAGCTTCAAGAAAAGAAAAAAC
The DNA here is from genome assembly GCF_000001405.40 of Homo sapiens. Classification (NCBI taxonomy): domain Eukaryota; kingdom Metazoa; phylum Chordata; class Mammalia; order Primates; family Hominidae; genus Homo; species Homo sapiens. The sequence goes on along the minus strand of NC_000006.12, from coordinate 44,410,679 downwards.
GAGGTTTACTTTTAACAAACTCAACAGTATAGGAGGTCTCAAGAGCAACAGTGGAAGCCAGAAGACCTTGCAGTGCTACCTTCAACACTGTGAACAAAAACCACTGCAATCTGGGATTCTATACCCAGTTATACTATCAACCAAGAGGGTAGATTAGTAATTAACAGATATGCAAGATCTTGAAAAATTCTACCTCTGGAAACAACCTAAGGGTCCACCAGTGGAGAAATGAATTTAAAAATATGTGATACATAAACACAATAAAATACTATTCAGCCTTAAAAAAGAAATCCTGTCATTTGTGACAACATGGATGAAACTGAAGGACATTACATCAAGTAAGCCAGATACAGAAAGACAAATTCCCCATGATTTTACTTATTTGTGGGATCTAAAAAAGTCAAACTCACAGAAAAAGAGTAAAATGGTGGTTACTAGAGGCTGAGGGGTGAGGGAACCAGGGAGATATCTGTCAAAGGACACAAAATTTCAGTAAGACAGGAGAAATAAGTTCAAGATATTATACATTACAGTGATTATAGTGAATAACAGTACACTGTACATTTGAACATTGCTAAGGGTAGATTTTAAGTGTTCTTACCACAAAAAAATGATAAATATGTGAAGTAATGCCCATGTTAACCAGCTTGACTTAGCCATTCCATAAGGTATACATATATCAAAACATCATACTGTACACCATAAATAGATACAATTTTTCCTTATCAATGAAAAAAAACTAAAAAAAAAAAAATTCTACCTCCTATGAACCCTTTCTCTGAAAGCTACTGAATGATATTCTTCATTGAACAAGGGAGTAAACCAAGAAAGCCAAAGACATGGGAGCCTGGAAAGAGGGGATCCAAGGGACTCTCTAGGGTGACAGTGAAGGGAAATCAAAAGAACAAGCTATAAACAAGCCCTGAAGAATAATGAGTCCAGGCAAGAACATTCGGAAGTTCTAAGAAAGATTTCTTCAAAAAGATGAGACTATCTAAAGTCAGCACAGGTTAGAGAAAACAGACACAGCCAGCGTAGTCTAGAGTTGAATTACTGCTTAGTCAAAAAACTTAGCAACTGAATAAAACAAGTATTAGCTCCAAGAAAAACAAAATACTATACCACAAAGTACAATGGTATGCTATGGATTACAAACTATATGTACGAATATTACATATTTGTATAACTTACACAAATTATAAGGTAATTCATGGTTTAGCAATGAATAGGATTTACAGAGTCATAAGATAAACCAAGAATATAAAGCTAACCAAATTATAACAGACAATAGGGGAATAGAAAATGTATGCATGACGGACACAGAGGGTGTGAAAGCCAAATGTCAAATTCTACGTAGAAAAACAACAGATAATGCCTAAAACTGAAAATGGTCAATGAGTAACAAAGATCTTTTAGCGGTAAGTAAAACAAAGAGTTGTAACAGGCACCTCTACGGATGAGGGGCACAAGTGTTTTTCTTGCTAAGCCTTACACAACTGTTTGCCGCGAATCAAAGCCTTAAAATTATATTCCTGACTATTAGAGATGAGGAAATGAGATGTAAGTGTACCAAAAGACCCAACTATGTTTTGTAGGTTTGGATATTCTCTGGTATACAGACACCCTGGGAACACACAAAGCTGTGTCTACCCCACGTGTTAGAGAGAGGGAAGAAAGTAGAACTGCGGGCACACTATGTGAAGCTAAGTACAGAAATGCAAGGAAGTATTTCTTTCTTTCTAGGATTGGCAGGCAATGTGAAATTTTACAAAACTATGCTTTACTGACAGGTACAAAAGACTAATGAAGGTAGAAGGGCTGGCTTCAAAAAATTACGAATTTTAATAAATGTGAAAATAAAACTACCTGATTGCTGAATCTATTTAGCTTCTCTACTACAGAAATATTGCAAGATCTATGCATTCAGGACTCAGTTTCAAACCATTTACACTAAAAGAAACACAACCAAACCGCTTAGTTCTCCTGCATGATACTTCTAAGGACAATAAACAAAGTAAAAGCCTCATTCTACTACGTGACACGTTACCTGCAGAATTCTGTCCTGGGAAGCTGGTGTTCGTGGTGTTCTAAGAGCAACGCTGTTGTTGGTGACATTGTACTCAGACAAAAGTGTACTGGAAGCAGAATTTGTTATGCCAGATTCCTCGGCAGTTTGACGTGCAATTTCACTCGCTTGGCCTACTTTTACAACTTCCTGGAGTTCTGCATCTGAAATCTAAAAGGACACAATTATCATAGTAAGCAACATTTTAACTGAGGCCGGGCACAGTGGCTCACACTTGTAATCCCAACACTCTGGGAGGCCGAGGAGGGCAAACTGTTTGAGCCCAGGAGTTCGGGACCTACCTGGGCAACACAGCAAAACTGTCTCTATTGAAAAAAAAAAAAAAACCAACATTTTAACTGAGAGCTGACACAGCTTTAAATTTCCATATTCCAGAAAAATGAATTGCTGAAGCTGTGTGATTAATATCACAAGTTCACAGTAGTACTCATCTTTTTTGTGGCTTTGAAAGTTTCCATAATATAGCTTTAGAAAGCCTTCCCTACAGAATGTGAGGGGAAAATTCACATATGATATAGAATCAAGCTACAAAGGCTGTATCTCTATACTGAAATTCTTTCAAATCAACATATTAACGTACCAAGAATGTAAAATAGCAGTATTTATACAAAATTGGAGGAGGAAGACTGAAAACCAATTAAAATATCACACAGAAAGGGTCCAGCGAGCCACAAGATCCCTAAGAAAATCTAAAGGTGTTGTGTTAGTAATTTTACCAAAATAAATATCCTAAGGTGTACTAAGAAAAAAATTAAAGACAAAATTTCAGTTTAATAAATATCCCCACTAGGAATGTCAGGATATGACAAAACTCGTTTATGCCCAAGAATCTTGTGTTGATGCAGCCAATGTGCTCATGTGGGAAAAGAGTTCTTCTGGTCTCCTAAGTCCTTTCTTCTGCACCATTAAATCTGTCCAATTCTACAAAGCTGTACTACTCAAAACAGACAAAAAAAAGGGTTAGCTGGGCACGGTGGCTCATGCCTATAATCCCAGCACTTTGGGAGGCCGAGGTGGGTAGATGGTAGCTCACGAAGTCAAGAAATCAAGACCATCCTGGCCAACATGGTGAAACCCTGTCTCTAGTAAATATACAAAAATTAGCGGGGCATGGTGGCGCACGCCTACAGTTCCAGCTATTTGGAAGGCTGAGGCAGGAGAATCGCTTGAACGCGGAAGGCGGAGGTTGCAGTGAGCCTAGATGGCACCACGGTACTCCAGCCTGGCGACAGAGCAAGACTCCGTCTCAAAAAAAAAAAAAAAGGTTACCCTAAGGTCCCATGTTTCTGACCAACTATAGTAAGTCAAAAGAATACAGCCTGTAATAAGCTGAATGAAAGAATGTTTGTATCGCTTTTCTCCACAACTCCCACATTGACTTTCACAACTGTTGTCTCAAAAAAGAAAAGCATAACACAACAAAACATTCCCTGGGAGAAGGCAGCTTAAAGTCCACAAAGCCAAACCACACCTTTACCCTCATCAGCTACAAAAAGAAGCCTAAAGCCCTACCCTGTTGACAAAATGTTAAGAGCTGATAATTACTTACCAAACCATCATATGAGCAGTTTAAGATCTGATACAATAATTTATACAGAGAAGCTGAAGCTATCTTATCATACTATATCACAATTACTTGTGGGGTTTTTTTTGTTTTTTTTTGTTATTGTTGTTGTTTTTTGAGACAGAGTCTCACTCTGTCACCCAAGCTGGAGTGCAATGGCACCATCTTGGCTCACTGCAACCTCCACCTCCCGGGTTCCAGTGATTCTCCTGCCTCAGCCTCCCAAGTAGCTGCGATTACAGGTGTGTGCCACCATCCCGCCTAATTTTTGTATTTTCAGTAGAGACAGGGTTTCACCATGCTGGGCAGGAACTCCTTCTGTCTTGAACTCCTGACCTCAGGTGATCCGCCCGTCCTGGTCTCCCAAAGTGCTGAAATAACAGGTGTGGGCCACCACAGCCAGCCCACAATTACTTGTTTTTATGTGTGTCTCACCCATTAAACTGTGAATTTCTTAAGAGCATCCAGCACAAACCTGGTACACAGGCCTTCAAACATTTGCTGAATAAATGATATAAGCATATAAATTCACATAGTGAAAAATTTGCTTTTATCAGATTACCTGAGGGGCAGGAAGTACTAGTTTGCTTCTCTTTTTAGTAAATTCAGAAACACCACTAGTTTGAAGAATAGCTGATGGTAAATCAGATTCTTTTTTCCTTTTCAAATGCTGTTTGTCTTTTTTTCTATCTCTTCCTTCTTTTTCACTGTCATGGATCAAAGTAGAAAAGAGATTTTTAAGTTACATATAGCCAAAAACATTAAAATCCATACAAATACTCAAACCCTTTGAACAAACAACCTCATTTCTAAGAAAATAACTGAAAAGGCCAGGTGCAATGGCTCACGCCTGTAATCCCAGCACTTTGGGAGGCCAAGGTGGGTGGATTACCTGAGGTCAGGAGTTCAAGACCAGCCTGGCCAACGTGGCGAAACCCCATCTCTACTAAAAATACAAAAATTAGCCAGGCATAGTGGTGCGTGCCTGTAATCCCAGCTACTCGGGAGGCTGAGGCAGGAGAATCATTAGAGCCCGGGAGACAGAGGTTGCAGTGAGCTGAGATCGCACCACTATACTCCAGCCTGGGCAATAGAGAAAGACTCCATCTCAAAAAAAAAAAGAAAATAGCTAAAAAAAGGTAAAAACAATATACATTAAGTAGTCCCCTACACCATTACTTACCATATTCAAGATAAAAGCAAACTCAGAATAGCAACAAAATTATCAATAAGGTACCCTAATTGAAGTACTAAATATTAAAACATGTAAGTATGAAGATTGTGATAAACAAAACATTCCACATAATGTCAAAAACTATTCCTATATTATGAATACATTCAATAAAAACGTGTGCACATAGGAAAAAGTATGACAAGTATGTAAAAAGGAAAATGTGTATGAAAGAAATAAAATTAAAACATAATTAAATTTCCCTTTAAAACTTGTTATTAAATTCTCATGATTCTTAAAATTCACAACTTTTTTAAAAAGGCTGTCTTAATACTGACAAGTGACATCTAAACATGGTTAGGAAGCCTAAAGACAGGCTCAAAGCAGTCTTTCAAAGCTCCAGGAATACCTCCTCCCCTTCTGTGTGTCTTTCTTGCCTCCCCCACTTAGTACTCCTTCCAAATGAATAGTTTTCCTGTTCAATCTCTTTATTTGTAGAGCCTACCTAAAGCAAAGTCCTAATCTGAGGAATAAATACAATGGAGTACATCTAAGAAAATCCTATTTTACAATGGCTGATAGCTGTTGTTTTGTAACAATTCATGTCAACAGAAATGAAAGGTCAACGGAGTAGAAAACTTTAAAAAACCCTTGACAACCATAAAATACTCTCCCTACAATATTCAGATATGAGATTTAAAGAAACTAAAAATCTCAAGAAATAGGGAAAATCTGCTATGCCCTAAAACATAAAGATTTTATAAATGTATATTTATCCCATCAAGTGAAAGGATCAGTAAGTTTTTTCTTTTAATTTCATCTTAATAAAAACAAGGTAAAATTTTTCACTAGAAAAGACTAAAAGGGCCAGGAGTGGTGACTCATGCCTGTAATCCCAACACTTTGTGAGGGACGCAAAGGGAGGGTAGCTTGAGCCTAGGAGTTCAAGGCCAGCATGGATAACATGGCAAGACCCACCTCTCTACAAAAAATAAAAAATTAGCCAGTCATGGTGGCACACATCTGTACTCCCAGCTACTTGAGAGGTTGAGGTGGAAGGACTGCTTGAGCCTGGGAGGTGGATACAGTGAGCTGTGATCATGCCACTGCACTCCAGCCTGGGTGATAAGAGTGAGACCTTGTCTTAAAAAAAAAAATTGTTTTTTAAGGCTAAAAATACCAGACTCAATTTTGACAGATTCCTCAGCCACTAGTAAAACTAATCTACTCATAAATGTACATAAAAGTTAAGATGTGATTCAAAGAGTAAACAGTCAATTGAGAGCCATGCATTTCAACTCAAGAGCCATAAACAGCATTCTGTGCTAAAAACGTGATAGCCACAGTCCCTGATTTTCTCAGAAAGATGAATCCATTAAATAAATAAAACCATATGTAGGCCACATTGTACTAATAAAAATCTAGGCCAGGCACAGTAACTGATGCCTATAATCCCAACACTTTAAGAAGGATCGCTTGAGCCCAGGAGTTTGAGACCAGTCTGCACAACAAAAGGAGATCCCACCCTACAAAACAATAAAAAAAAATTAGCTAGGTGTGGTGGTGTGCACCTGAAGGCCTAGCTACTCAGGAGGCTGAGGTGGGAGGATTGCTTGAGCCCAGGAGGTCAAGGCTTCAGTAAGCCGTGTTTGTGCCACTGTACTCCAGCCTGGGCAACACAGCAAGACCCTGTCTCAAAAAAAAAATTGATTTTAAAAAATGTAAAATAAATAAATAATAAAAATCTGGCTCTGACAAGGATAATACTTGGCCCTTCGTAAGACTCCTCCTACTATTCCTTTCCATTTCCAAAATCAGAAAGGCAACTTACGATCTTAGCTCCCCATCAAGATCCTGTTGTCTTAATTTCCTGAAATCTGCGTCAAGAGCTTGGTAGTTTTCCTCAGAAGTATCATAAAAACCAAGGGCAGGCTTTTTTTCAAATGGGATTTCGGCATTATAATCAACTCCTCTCTTCCTTTTTCTTTTCTTCTGAATTTCTATGCCAGCTGCTCGAAGTTCTCTTCTTTTTTGGAGGGCAGCAAGACGTCTGAAAAGAATGCAAAATCACTTTGAAAATCATATGCCATGTGACAGGGATAAATTATCCCATACAGTTAAAAAAAAAGTATCTATTTATTTGGGGAAGAAATAGTTATTTAAATCCTTACCTCACACCATTCACCAAAACAAATCCTAGTTTTAATTTAAAGGTGCACACACACATACACATAATAAGGCAAAAAGAAAAACCAAAAGGAACTACAAGTAAATACATATCTTATCTCTGGATGGAAATGTACTTACTAAATATAAATTAAATAAATGGCAAATGAAAAAAATCAACAGCTTTTTTTTCCTTTTAATCCACTCATCTATACATTGAATAGCTTTGAGATATAAAACTTCTAACTGTAACACTATGAAAATTTATAAATGAAATTAAAAGGCAAATAGTAGGAAAAAATATTTGCAACTAGTATGATGGTTAAATATAAACAGTCTAAGCAAAGTTTTTTTTTTTTTTTAATGCACTCAAAGGGTGTAAAAAGAGCAAAAGGAAACAATTCACAAAGCAAAAAATGCAGGTAACTAAAATGACAAAAGTTTTATTTAACAATTAAAGAATCACAAATTAAATTAACAAGTACCATTTGTGCATATCTAATTAACACCATTCAGTTTTTTGTTTTGTTTTAACGGCAAGGCTGCAAAAAATGGACAGTCTGCTGCACTGGTAATGAAAAAGTATATTGGTGCATCTCTTCCCAAAGAGAAGTTAGAAATACACATTCATAGTCTAAAGATTTTCATATTTTTTGAGCAGCAATTTCACTCCTTAGCCTTTAGCCTGAGGAAATAAGTTACACCATGAACAAGGACTTAATTACAAAGCTGTTCACTAAGCACTGTTTATGATAGTAGATAGCTGGATACAATCTAAACAACTATCAGTAAGAAATTAAATGAATTTATAAGATATTATACAGACATTTACATAAACTTTTAAAAGGCTATAAATCTACTCTGATATGGAAAGAGGCCCAAGACATACCACTGTGTAAAAAATGTTAGAAAGTTTACATGTTACAGGGCAACACATAAGAACTGTATGCATATCTATCAATGAATATGTGCCTGAGGAGATATGAAGGATGTCCATCAAAATATTAATAACGATAGTCATTGGAGGGTGGAATTCCATTTAATTTTTACTTTTTTTCTTTGCATCTTCCTATGTTGCTATAACTGTAATGATTTCGTGATAAGAAAAGCTATTCACAATATGAAAGATGGAAAACAAGTTACAAAACAGTATCTATGAGTAACTTCCAGCATGACAGCATGAGGAACTCCATAAACTCACTACCCAGGGAGAATGGTGAAAATTACATATATTTTAAAAACAACCAATTAAAGTCTCTGAAGAGGATCTGAAGCAGATACAGCAAATATATAAACATTAAATCAAGAAAATCTACTTTAACTCGGTAAGAAACACAAGAATATAATATTTAAATCATTAAAAAGTCAGGAAACAACAGGTGCTGGAGAGGATGTGGAGAAATAGGAACACTTTTACACTGTTGGTGGGACTGTAAACTAGTTCAACCATTGTGGAAGTCAGTGTGGCGATTCCTCAGGGATCTAGAACTAGAAATACCATTTGACCCAGCCATCCCATTACTGGGTATATACCCAAAGGACTATAAATCATGCTGCTATAAAGACACATGCACACGTATGTTTACTGCGGCACTATTCACAATAGCAAAGACTTGGAACCAACCCAAATGTCCAACAATGATAGACTGGATTAAGAAAATGTGGCACATATACACCATGGAATACTATGCAGCCATAAAAAATGATGAGTTCATGTCCTTTGTAGGGACATGGATGAAATTGGAAATCATCATTCTCAGTAAACTATCGCAAGAACAAAAAACCAAACACCGCATATTCTCACTCATAGGTGGGAACTGAACAATGAGAACACATGGACACAGGAAGGGGAACATCACGCTCTGGGGACTGTTGTGGGGTGGGGGGAGAGGGGAGGGATAGCTTTAGGAGATATACCTAATGCTAAATGATGAGTTAATGGGTGCAGCACACCAGCATGGCACATGTATACATATGTAACTAACCTGCACATTGTGCACATGTACCCTAAAACTTAAAGTATAATAATAATAAAATTAAATTAAATTTAAAAAAGAGAAAAATATATATATTTAAACCAAGACCCACTCCCTCCTTCCCCCCAGCTCAGAGGAATGGAGATTCCACTCCACACAAGTGCAGCCAAGAACCCAGGACTCCTTCTCCCCTCCAGCTCCCAGTAGTAGGGCTTTCATTCCAGGAGGATTAGGACATCAGTATTTCTGGTGGCAAAGTTCCATCAAGAGTGGCTGAAAAGTGGGCTTCCTTCCTCCATCCAAACAGAAGTCCTAGCTTTGGACACAGTGCTGCTGAGAATACTGGAGCCCTGATAGCCTTTGCCCTGGCTTATGAGATGAGGGCTCCACGCTGCGGGCGGACGGACGGGGAGGGCAAGCCAAGGAAACCTTGGGCTGCTGTCCATCCCCTACTTCCCACCAAACACTCAGCTAATAAAGTAGGGCTGTCACTTGGAGACATGTCCTGTCAGAGCCCTGGGGAAGAAGCAGGACACAGAACTGAGAGATCCACATCTCTCCTCAAACAAAAGGACTTCATTGCAACAGAGTATAGAGAAGTTCTAGCCTAAGGGTACTATCAAAAACAGTGGAAGTTCTGGTAAAAGGCAAGTTGGGAAAAAGCTTGACAGACTTAATGGAGATACCAAATCTGTAGGCCTACTAGTTTGCCAGAGAGAAACAGGGAATAAGAGCTGGGAGGAGCCCTTCTGGGGTGAGAATAAATCTCAAACACTGATATCAGGAAGCATCCCTTCAAAGGAGCCCAAATTTGACTGGATCACTTTGTAGTGCAACTTATGCCCCAGGACATTGTTGAAAACAACACAGTAAACAGCTGGCAATCAGTGAAACTTAACAGGGAAAGGAATGTCAAAGAGAGCGCTGCCCAAACCATGCTATCCCAGGGTGACTGTGAGCATACCCTGTGAGGAGCAACATCAGATGCTTCACATTTCTCACAGGAGGTAAGGGAAGAATAGACTGACTAAAATTGGCCAGACACGCTGGCTCATGTCTGTAATCCCAGGACTTTGGGAGGCCAAGGCAGGTGGATCATCTGAGGTCACAAGACCAGCCTGGCCAACATGGGGAAACCCTGTCTTTATTAAAAATACAAAAATTAGCCAGGCACGGTAGACAGTGCCTGTAATCCCAGCTACTCTGGAGGCTGAAGCAAGAGAACTACTTGAACCCAGGAGGTAGAAGTTGCAGTGAGCCGAGATCATGCCACTGCACTCCAGCCTGGGTGACAGAGCGAGACTCCGTCTCAAAAACATAAAATAAAATAAACCAGTCATCAAACAAGTAAACAAGCAAATAATAAATGAAGGCTGGGGGAGTACCCAAAATTGCTACAGTATATCATCTAAAATGTCTAGTTTCCAACAAAAAATTATAAGACATGCAAAGAAACAGGAAAGAATGACCCATATGCTAGAAAAAATGCAAGCAACGGAAACTGCCTGAGAGTGCAACCAGATGTCAGATTAACAAACTTGAAAGTAGCCATTATGTTCCAAGAACAAAAGGAAACCAAGAAGTAAAGGAAGGTATGATAACAACGTTGCATCAAACAGAGAATATCAGTAAAGAGACAGAAATGCTTAAAAAGAACCAAATGGAAATTCTCAAATTCAAAAGCACAAAGCTTATCAGCTAACTTAGAAAAGGAATGGAATAACAAAAATGAAAAAAAATATTTATTTAATTAAAAAAAAATAAAGTAGCCAGGTGTGGTGGCTCACACTGTAATCCCAGCACTTTGGAAGGCCGAGGCAGGCAGATCACGAGGTCAAGAGATCAAGACCATCCTGGCCAACATGGTGAAACCGTCTCTACTAAAAATACAAAAAATTAGCCGGGTGTGGTGGCGGGCACCTGTAGTCCCAGCTACTCAGGAGGCTGAGGCAGGAAAATGGCGTGAACCCGGGAGGTGGAGCTTGCAGTGAGCCTAGATCGCACCACTGCACTCCAGCCTGGCAACAGAGCAAGACCCCGTCTCAAAAAACAAAACAAAACAAAGTACAAAGCTGAAATGTAAACTTCACTAGAGAGGCTCAACAGTAGATGTTAACTGGCAGAAGAATTAACAAACTTTAAAACAGAGCAGTAACAATTATGCAATCTAAACAGAGAAAAAGAATGAAGAACATGAATAGAGCCTCAGAGAAATATGTGGCACTATTAAATACACCAACATAAGCAGAACAGGGGTACCAAAAGGAGAGAAGTGAAAGGAGCAGAATTAAATATTTGAAGATATATAATGGCTGAAATTTTGAAAAATTTATTGAAAAACATTAATCTACACATCCAGTAAGCTCAATGAACTCCAAGTAAGATAAACAAAAAGAAATCTACAGACACATCATATTAAAAATGTTGAAAGCCAAAGACGAGAAGATTTAAAACCAGTAAGACAGGCCAGTCACAGTGGCTCACACCTGCAATCCCAGCACTTTGGGAGGCCAAGAAAGGAGGATAGCTTGAGGTCAGGAGTTCAAGACCAGCCTGGGCAACATAGCGAGACTCCGTCTCAACAAAAAAAATTTTAATTAGGTGGGAATGGTGGTGTGCATCTGTAGATCCAGCTACTCAGGGGGCTAAGGCAGAGGACTGCTTGAGCCCAGGTGTGCAGGGCTGCAGTGAACTCTGCACTAAAGCCTAGGCAACAGAGAAAGACCCTCTCTTAAAAAAAATTAAAATTAACATTAAAAGCAGTATGACAAAAATGATTCAACACTTACAAGGAAATCTCAGTAAGATTTACAGCTGACTTCTCATTAAAACCGTACAGTATGATCCAACTTTGTATAAACGTTAGTGTACATATATACACATAAATGCACATCTATGTTGAGAGAGAGAAAAGTTTAGAAAAATGTATTTCAAATTTTAAAGTAATTTCATTCTTTAAATAATGGAAATAAGGACTTCAATCCACATTAGAAAACCTTTACACAATAATGCTAAATGAATATAACCAAGCCATATAGCATTATATTACCTATGTCCCAAAATGAGAACATTAACAATACTAGAAGGAAAAATGTGTTACTTTTATAATCAATAAAAAACTGCTTTAAGTTACAAGGTAGATTTGTAATTTAACATTTAAAAGCAAATAGCCCTGCCCTGCACTTTGCATAGAGGCCATTCCAGCCTGTTAGAATATAACTTACAAAGATGTGTAGATTCTACAAGAATGCCTACAAGAAATTACAGGGTAAATTAAAATCTGCAAATTTTATTTAAAGCAATCAATGCTAGCCACACTTGGAGATTTTTCACATATGCATTTGCTGTGTCCCTGGCCCAATCCACACGGTTAAAGGGCTCTAAAAATTTGGTCCCCTACAACCATGGATAAAAATGGAAAAGTGATTTTTTTTCAACCTTACTCACAGTACTTAACTCTGAAGAGTATACAGAATAGAGAGGTGGCCAAGAATGGTGGAAAAGTTAGTACCTCCTCTTGGTTTCTGTTTACTGTCCCCGGCAGCTAATACCCCCAAATAAGCTAACCATTCTAGGCTAGCAATTGGCCAGCTCTGCCAACATGCATCCTCAGACATTAAAAAACCCTCCATCCCAGGATCTGGCACTTCAAAGCCATTAATTACAACATAATGCTGGTCATCAGGTCAAGAAGAATCAGCAGGCCAACCTGGGGGCCACAAGGGGCACTGTACAGGATAGGGAGGTTATTCTAGGGCCTGAATCCCAGAAGCTAATAAGCTGTGACACAGTCCAGATTTGCCCTTTAGTGACATCATCTTGGTTTCTGGGCTATTAGAACTGATATCAATCATGGACTTAACCAAAAGGAAAAAAGGGGAAAGTGAAGAAAATCCTGAGTGAAAGACAATGTGTAATATATATTCGTTTACTTTTTAAATAAAGATTTCTATGAGGGCCTAAAATTTGGTTCTAAGCTCATTAATTCCCTCTTTGTTCAGCCAAGTTTCCTGTTTCACAGCCAGTGCCTTCCCAATACCAATCAAGGAAAGTAACTAATTGGCAGTCATACAAAAGACACATAATCTTGTGTGTCCTACAGTCATCTGACTCCAAAATAGCTACAACAAATGAAGCTCTCATATGCCAACAGAACACACTCAACATACTGGATAAACTGGGCATTACCTCTGCCATAGCTTCAATTTTTTTTAAATATGGTTTTCTATAAATATTCTGAAATGGTTGGGGGAAAAAAATACAAGATAGTTTCAGAGAAATAAAGAAGGTAAAGAATACTAGCGAAATAGGAACTGGACAATTCCAATTATTATTCACCCAACGGGTTAATAAATCATGCAGTTTTATTGGTCCTAAGGATGCCTAGACTAATTATTGAACTATGAATGGAGACAAGCACACATTGTGAAATAATGTATTTGGTCTTCATCCGTTTCCAACAATGCAACTCCTAAAATCCTGGGACTCTTCCAAGTGAAAAGTGTCTTTCTGCATGTTAATGAGTTGACTGATAGCTGGCAGTCACCAGAAAGACCACGGCAGGATTAGAGGGCTTGGGACTTTCAGCCACAACCCCCAACCTCAGGGGAGGGGAGAAGGGCTGAAGGTCGAGTTGATAAGCAATGGCCAATGATGTAATCAATCTTGCCTATTTAATGAAGCCTCCATAAAAACCCAAAAGGACAGAGTCTGGAGAACTTGTGGGCAGCCAAATACATGGGGGCTTCCGAAAAGGTGAACAAGAACACACCCACTGGCTGGGAGGGTGGCATATCCCAACTTCAATGGGACATAAGCACCTGCACTCAGGACCCTTCCAGGCTTCACCCTGTGTATCTCTTCATGGGGCCGTTGATTTGTATCCTTTAAAATATCCTTTGTAAATGTGGGTGTTTCCCTGAGTTCTGTGAGTCCTCTAGCAGATGAATGGAACCCAAGGAAGGGGCAGTGGAACCCAGCTCGCTGGTCAGAAACACAAGCAAAATAACCTGGGGTTTAGGGTCAGCATCAAAACTGGGGTTCAGTCTTGTGGGACTAAGTCCTCAACCTGTAAGATCTGGAGCTATCTCCAGGTAGACAGTATTAGAGTTAACTGAATTAGAGGACACCCAGCTATCCACTGCAGAATTGATTGCCTGATTGCTGGTGGAGAGGGGAAAAAAAAAAAAAAACCACATATCTGGTCACAGAAGTATTCTGTGTTGATTGTTATGTGAGAAAAACACTTTGCTTTTTATTCCTATATCCACACATACCTTGCTTCTTCCAATTGTTTCTCTCTTGCTTTCCTCTTGGCCTTCTTTCCCTGAGTATTAGCCAAGCGGGCTCTGGCTTCAGAAAGCATCTCAAGTTCATCTGCAAAAATTAAAAGAAGAAAAACTAAGTATTTTCTTAGTTCTTACATACTCTAGAAGCAAGGTATGTAAGAGACACTCTATTGCTCAAAATGAGAAAAAAACATAAAAATACTGATTTTATGGTGTAGCATAATGGAAACAGCTTGAGTTTTGAAGTCAAAGAACCTAGGTTAAAAACCAGGCCCACCACTTGCTAGCTATGTGACCTTAGTCACTTACTTACCCTCCCTAAGCATGGTTTCCCTATAAAATTCGAATAACAATTCCTATTTCACAAGGATTTTGAGAAGGGCTAAGTAAAACGAAATATGTAAAGCATCTCGCAAGCATTCATTAAACAGTGGCTACAATTATTGTATCCTTCATTATTATCAACTAACTGGCACAGCACAAATTGTGAAATAGGGTAAAAACTATTTAATTATGAGAGAACAACTATCATTAGATACTTTTTTTTCCCCTCAGAACAATTTCTCTCATCCAATACATTTTTCGTGGCTCTATAGAATGGAATAATACATGCCACTATTGATGCCTTAGAACAATTCCTATGCAAGGCTGTCCAACTAAATCACATGGGAACTTGTAAAATACTCAGATTCCAAGATCACTGCTCTTCCCGTGCCTCCCACACCACCCCAGATGTACTGACTCAGTATATACAGGAGAAGCCCTGATATTTCTATTTTTAAATGCTCCCCCTGTGATAATGATGCAGCCAGCCTAGCCACAGCCTGCCTTTGGGAACCACTATGTTCAAACTTTACATTTTAGAAACTTAACAAATATTCACTGAGTGCTTCACAACAACCCTGCTAAGGTAAAGCAGGTATTAGTATTCCCCATCTCGCAAGAAAGGGAATCAAAGCTCAGAGAGATTTTATGACTTGTCTAAGGTCAAACAGCTAATAGGTGGCACACACGGGTTGAAAATCCAATTCCTGATTCTGTTAACTGATACATCATACTTTACATATTTATAGGGTACATGTGAGAGTTTGTTACATGCATAGAATGTGTAATGATCAAGTCAGTATATCTGGGGTACCCATCACCTTGAGTATTTATTTCAGACCTCTCTTCCAGCTACTTTGAAATATGTAATACACTGTTGCTAACTATAGTCACCCTATTCTGCTATCAAACATTATAACTTATTTCTTTCCATCTACGTTTGTACCCATTAACCAACCTCTCTTAATCCCGCTCTCCCACCCACACACCATACCCAGCCTCTGGCATCTATCACTCTATTCTAACTCCATGAGATCAACGCTTTTAGCTCCCACATATGAGGAAGAATATGCAGTATTTGTCTCTCTGTGCCTGGCTTATTTCACTGAACATAATGACTTCTACTGCCATCCATGTTGCTGCAAATGACATGATTTCATTGCTTTTTATGACCAAATAGTATTCGTGTGTGTGTGTGTGTGTGTGTGTGTGTATACCATTTTTTTTTTTTTTTTTTTTTTTTTTTTTTGAGACAGGGTCCTGCTCTGTTGCCCAGGCTGGAGTGCAGTGCTTGATCTCAGCTCATGGCAAACCCAGCCTCCCGGGCTCAAGTGATTCTCCCACCTCAGCCTCCCCAGTAGCTGGATCTACAGGCATGCGCCACCACACCTGGCTAATTTTTGTATTTTTTTATAGAGGCAGGGTTTCACCATGTTGGCCAGGCTGATCTTGAACTCCTGGGCTCAAGTGATCTGCCCACCTCAGCCTCCCAACGTGCTGGGATTACAGGCGTGAGCCACCATGCCCAGTCCACATTTTCTTTATCCATTCACCCATTAATGGACACTTAGGTTGATTCCATATACTTTCTATTGTGGAATTCCTGATTCAATGCCTCCCAGAATCACTGTTAAGTCTCCATCACCGTCTCACAGGTTGCCTTCTCACACAGAATAAATAACTTGCCTATAGTCAAATAAGTAATTAATAGGAGGACTGAGGTCCAATATTCTGACTTGATGTCTCTCTCCATGGAATAGGAATGAGAAACAGGATCTTCAAGGGCTCACCTCTAGCCTCTGAAAAATCTACTCAGTAGAATTACACTACTCAGTTTTAAAGACAGGGTCTCGTTATGCTGCCCAGGCTGGCCTCCAACTTCTGGGCTCAAGGGGTTATGTTGCCCAGACTGGCCTCCAACTCCTGGGCTAAAGAGATCGACCCACCTCAACTTCCTTAGCAGCTAGCACTACAGGCACATACCACCACACCCCGTAACACTTAATTAACTTAATTAACTGAATTGAAGAAACAGAAGATGAAGGGGCGCTGTTCAGAAAAAGCAACTACTCTATAACAGAAAACACTGGACATATTTGGAAAGATACTTAGAATAAGAACACTGCTGACAGAATTGGGGATCAGGTATGGTGGCTCACACCTATAATCTCAACACTTTTGGAGGCAGAAAAGGGAGGATAGCTTAAGCCCAGGAGTTTGAGACCAGCCTGGGTAACACAGGGAGACCCCATCTCTACAAAAAAATTTAAAAATTAGCCAGGTATGGCGGCATAAACCTGTAGTCCCAACTACTCAGGAGGCTGAGATGGGAGGATTGCTTAAGCCCAGGAGGTCAAAACCGCAGTGAACCATGATTGTGCCACTTCATTCCAGCCTGGGTAACAGAGCAAGACCTTGTCTCAAAAAAAAAAGGGATTCTAAAGTAGAGGAGTTCAGAAAGGAACTAAAAGAGTGAGGCCCAAGGAGTTTACAGTTACCAAAGAAATAAATTCCTCAAAGCATACACTTACCCTCATCCATATCAATTGGATCAGGCCGCGCTGGTTTTGTTTCTGGATTTGGATCTATTTCTCCAGGTTTAAGTTTTCGTGGATCATCTGTTGTTTCCTCTTCATTGTCTCTTTGGGCAGCTTTATCCCTAGAAAAAAGCCCATAGGAGTTAGTCACACTACAGTACCATTTAGAGTTAAAATTACCAGATTTCCAAGTTCTGACGATATTTTTCCCCCCAAAAAAACCAATGGATGGGCTTTAACAACATAAAGCCTTTTTACTATCACTTCATCTGAAAGAAATGATATTAAAATTTGCTGATTTCAGTGACTGGTTTCAATCACTCTAAAATAGAACCCAAACAGATCCTAATCACAAATGCGGTACAGCCATACAAATTTAAAAAAAAAAAAAAAAAAAAAAAAACTATTAGTAAAGAACCAAAATGTTCCAGTAGTTAATTCTTAGCAGTGTGATTATGGGTGACTTTTATTTGCTCTTTTACTATTTTTTCCCCAGATTTTCTATGATGAACATGCATGACTTGTATAATTCTTTTAAATTATTATTTTAGGAAGTATATGACAGAAGGCATAATTTTGATCAACCATCTGAGATATGGAAAATATTATCCAATGGCTTTAGCTTTGGGTTTACTCACATCCATAATTAAAAGTTTAAAGACAGAAAATACTCAAAGTTTATTCAGCCTCTTTCAGAACATATACATATATTCTATGCTCTTTCTGAAGACTCACTTACAGAAGAAATTCATAGTGTTCTAAGCACTGGGCCGCTGTTCTTCCAATGATTGGAGCAATGGTCCTCCACTGAGTTGGCATCAACTTGGCCAAGTGCAAGAGTTTTTCCTCTTCTTCTCTGGACCATTCTGTCTTCTTAATGCTTGGATCCAGCCATTCATACCTATTAAACATAGATCATTTTATATATTAATCAGTTACCTGGCATAAATATCCAATTTGCACAATGGATACACTGACTTGTGCTCTCATCCTTCAATTACAAAAACTGTTCTTTTTGACAACAGAATATTTGCTGTGTGGTTACACTTACCCCAGTCAATATTCCCCATCTCATCACATTCTATTTTATTTTAATTATGCAAGATTAGTAATGGTTAAAAAAGGTTACTTCACTGAATCATGATCATAAGCCTTCTTTCTCATCTATCATGTTTTTATTTATTTACGCTTTTCTAGAAATTTTGAAATATTTGGAAGACAATACAAAATCACGTTTCTTACAGTGTTTCCAGTTTTCATACTATTTTCTCATGCTTTGATTCTCACACCATGGCTTATTTCTTTAAGCATTTGACTTACACTCACTAAATTCACCGTAACCTTTCATTTGATATGTTTTAAAATTTAAGTAAAACTACTATGACATTCCCTCTGTCTTTCCTAATTCCCCACCCAGCCCACCTTTTCCATCCAGTCTACTTAGCTGGATGACAGGCAGGCAAACAGGACTTAAGTCCTACCAAATATGACAGCAGGAACTGGTACCACTAAGACAAACAGAAATCAGAACGACTTCTTCAGCCTAAAAATCATCTTCCTCTTAACAGCCAATTTCTACATTCAAAAAGCCTCACTCTGTCGCCCAGGCTGGAGTGCAGTGGCAGCATCTCAGCTCACTACAACCTCCACCTCCTGGGTTCAACCGATCCTCCCACCTCAGCCTCCCAAGTAGCCACCACGCCTGGCTAATTTTTGTACTTTTAGAAGAGACGGGGTTTTCACCATGTTGGCCAGGCTGGTCTCAAACTCCTGACCTCAGGTGATCCCAGCCTTGGCCTCCCGAAGTGCTAGGCTTACAGATGTGAGCCACCACGCCTGGCCAATTTCTACATTCTGATACTTTCCCCTAACCAGGTGCCTAGGAAATTAGGTCATTCTTATACAATCCAAAGTATTTTCCTAATGCCACATGACTTGGGGATGGTGCTAAATAACTCATGCCAAGAACACCCTAAATAGCTTCACGTGTCCACTACCCTATGATTTAAGAGGTGACACCAGCCGGGCGCGGTGGCTCACGCCTGTAATCCCAGCACTCTGGGAGGCCGAGGTGGATGGATCACGAGGTCAGGAGATCAAGACCATCCTGGCTAACACGGCGAAACTCCGTCTCTACTAAAAATACAAAAAATTAGCCGGGAATGGTGGCAGGAGCCTGTAGTCCCAGCTACTCAGGAGGCTATGGCAGAAGAATGGCGTGAACCCGGGAGGCAAAGCTTGCAGTGAGCTGAGATCACGCCACTGCACTCCAGCCTGGGCGACAGAGCAAGACTCCGTCCCAAAAAATAAAAATAAAAAAGAGGTGACACCACAGGTTCAGAGTTGGCTTATATCTTTTAATATATATAACATATTAAATATGTTTAATATATACAATATATAACATATTAAATATGTTTAATATATAATATATAACATATTAAATATGTTTAATATATAATATATAACATATTAAATGTTTAATATATAATATATAACATATTAAATATGTTTAATATATAATATATAACATATTAAATATGTTTAATATATAATATATAACATATTAAATATGTTTAATATATAATATATAACATATTAAATATGTTTAATATATAATATATAACATATTAAATATGTTTAATATATAATATATAACATTAAGTATGTTTAATATATAATATATAACATATTAACTATAAAATATATAATATTTCAACTGTATTATGAGGAAACTCAACTACTGTAGGCTTACTTAGAAAATTAGCCATTATTTATCATTTATTTCTTTGAGCAAGTAATTTCTAAAACAGCTAACTTATGCACTTTTAGAACACAATTAATTTACAAGCTGGGGCTCATCTGTCCCTGAAAGTAGACTTTGTATGCTTCACAAAGCACTCTCAAATACATTAACCCATTTAGATGACAACTCACATCTCTATCAGTCAGGACCAAGTATTATTATCCCTAATTGGGAGAAAACAAGGGCAGGGGAGAGGGATAGAAAAATGGCTTGCCTAAGACCACACAGGAAGCAAGTGACAGCTAAGTCAAACACCCAACTTCCATCTCCCACTCCATGCCTTGTTATATTACAATGTCTGCTTTCTTTGATAAGGTTCACAGAGTTGACATTTTCCATCATCATAATTAAGCTCCTTTTCTGTTTTCCACTTATTAAACTGATACATACCATCTGGCTTTGCACTGCTTTGCTGATTTTCTATGCAGCAATGAGGCAATCCTAGACCACTGATTTTTCCCATATTTCATTACCGCTGCTTTCAGAATTTCATCCTAAAAAAAATTGCCAAAGAGTACATTCAGTCACAAAACTCCAAGTGGGAAAAGACAAAATTTAAATTAACTCTGATAGGGCTATTGGAGAAAGAGACATATAACATGCACATACACACCACCTAGGTTAAAAGACTAAGGATGAAAACCTCATTAACTATAATAACAGCAACCAAGAATTGAGAAATTAAGAAGAAATCCCTTAGAAAGACAGCTACCCACCCTTACACCACACTCTCCAATAAATTGGGAGTGGGAACAGCCCAATCTGAGAAACCCTACTTTATGACAAAAATTAAGAAAAAGTATTCTTCAACGTGTGGCTGTCCTTCTCTTCAAAAAGGATAACTAAAAAACACAACAACAACAAAAATGTATAACTCATTCATTTATACACTCACTCAAAAAACACTTCCTGAACATCTACCTTGAAACATCTACCTTTCCCTTGGGGAAAGGTCTTATCAAACAGGACATATCCAGGCCTCAAGAAGCAAGTTGGGACTCTGGTGAATATATTCTCCAATCCAAGCCTCCTGTCTCAAGTTTATACATGGCATTTCCCCTCCAGCCCCTTAACCCCAACTATGACCCAAGAATCCACATCTCAGGTCTAACCTAAGAATTACATATTTCTACCCCAACCCCACTAGTCAGCTCTCCTTCCAATTTCCCCCCATCTCTAGATACCATTTCACCAGGGCACCCATTGCCATGTGGAATGCACCAACCTCAAGGAAGCCTGGCAAGCCAAGCCAAAGACAAGAAAGTTAATGGAGCCATAGATGCATGCACTTAGGCGATTTTACTTCTAGGCTTTTTTTCCCACATTGGATTTGAGGTACGTGCCTCTTGAGATACCCCACTCCATCCTCTACATCTCCCATGATCAAAGATACTTTTTAAAAAGACTGCAGAGCTTTGACCACTGCATAGGAATCCTACTGTTACTTGATTTTATATCTGTCTCTCCCTCAGAAGTCATCTCTTCTCCAATTTAAACAGTCTGGTTCCCTCGGTGGAAGCTGAGGCAGTTTTCATTGTCTTTTTTGTAACTTGGTTGCAGTACAACTACACTTAAACACATTTTCAATTAAATAGATACAGCAGATACCTACTCTACTTGATTCATTCTGCAAATACCTGTCGAGCAACCTACTTCATGTTGGTTACTGTCCTAGGTCCTAGGGATACCAAGACCTGGTCCTCTCGCCATGCTGTCTGGTGAGGTGAAAGAGCAACTAGCTCTTACTCAGAGGCTACTATGTGCCCTACTCTGATCTAAATATTCCAAACGTATTAACTCGTGTAATCCTCAAGAGAGGTTAAGTATTATTATCCCAATTTAGAAAAAGTAGAAAACTGAGGCTTTCAGAAGTTAAGAAACTTACCGAGTACCACACAGAGGATGTGATGCTTACAAAAAGACAAAGCAAGTTTTAACAAACGGAAGAAAAAGGTATCATGAGAATATCGGGGGTGCAATTAATTCTTACAGAGATTCCAAGAAGTGTTTCCGAACTAGGTTTGAAGGATGATCAGAAAGATGTCAAGCGCTAGGAAGGCAAAAGATGTAAAAAAAAAAAAAAAAAGAAGCCATAAAATGTAACGAAAAAAAGACACAGAGCATGAAAAGACATGATGTGCTCCAGAAACTGATAAATTCGGTACACTCTGAACACAAAACGCACTAAAATCTAATTTCTATTTCACTCCCACTCTACTGCCCTTTGGCTCACCAATGGCACTATCCACTACGTTTCTGGAAACAGAGACTATCCTAGGCCAGTTTTTCCTTTCTGGCTTCTATCTAGGCAAAGGCAGTGACAGAAAGAGACAGACCTTGGGATCTGTCGAGATGGCAGACAGGTTATGCCCTGATAACAGATAACCAGAGAGATGCGGGCATAAACGGGCTCTCTGAACCTGGCACTCAAACTGCTTCCCCTCTGCAAGGAAGTCAATGGAGACACAAAGTTGTGGCCACGGCAACTTCTTTATTTCTGAGTATGAGACAGAGTCGTGGTGCCTGGACTAAGAGTGGATGGTGCCCCGGGGGACCAACTCTGGCTGAGTTGGAACTCTGAGTTCTTCCCGGGGCCGGGGGGGGCGGGGGGGCGGGGTGGGAGGGGGCGTATTCAAGTCAACAAATGTTCACTCAGGGCCTAACAAGTGAGCTTGGAGCCGAGTAGCCAGGTGGTGACATCACGGTCCCTGTCCTACTGGCGCTCGCACAACACGGGGCCAGACACACGGAAAGGGCCCCAAGGGTCAGCCCCCGGGCTGCCCTCCACGCAGACCCCACAGGGTCTCCTCGTCGCCCCCCCGACCTCCGCGCGCGTGCGCACAAGCTGCTAGAGGGAGCGGCGGGCAGCGGACGGCGGGAAAAGGAGACTTACCTCGGTATTCCTCCATACGCCCCCCTTGATCATAATTCGAGGCATCTTGGCGGCAGGGTGTCTCGGCAAGCAGCCGAGAGGAGCTTCAGAGAAGTAGTAACAGCGATTGGGCCACCGGACTCAAAGCCGCCACTTCCTCCAAGCGCGACCTTCTGCTTTGAAGATCTGCGCAAGCGCAAGGTGGGAGGGGGCGCAGAATAGCAAGTCTCGCGAGATATTGGGTGGCTGAAAGGGAAAAAGTGTCTTGTGGAAGCTCAGCTGCAGGAAGACTAACACAAAACCATCAAACCACTCTGGCCAAAGCGCCTTACGCCCCGCGCATGTCCAAAACAGAATGGAAGAAACTACGGCTCTCGCGAGATAGCGGCGGTAGCGCTTGGCTGGGAACTTAGTGGTGGGATTGATCGTGACGTCACCGAGTGGCAGAGGGTGGGAACGTCACGCGTACGGAATTTCAGCACAGTTGCTCCGAAGAAGGCTTTGTTAATTTATTAATCTAGCCCTTTCAAGTATTTCAGTAATAGGAATTTATTCACAGAATACTCAGGAAAATCCAGTAGTTTATTTAAGGCTCAGTTTCCTAACCTGTAAAATAGAGATCATAGTAATGCCAACCTCACAGGATTGTCGTAAGGGCTAAATGAGATCATAGACCCAGCACAGTATCTGATCCATAATAACTGCTGCAAAACAATAGCAGCTATTACTGCAAGGAGGGCAACGCCAACTTCACCCCGTCCCCAGGTGATCCAGGCTTCTTCCAGAAACCTGCAGAAACGTCACGTCAGAGTTTTTAATTCATCGCCCAGTCTGGATTAATAATGCCATTGGTACGCACTGGTATTAGACAAAGTCGAGTTGGGTTGAAATATTGTGAAATCTTGGCTTTCTCATAAGTTTGGGTAATAACCTTACTGAATCTCAGTATCCTCATCTGAAAAGTGGAGCTAACAATACCCGCCTCGTAAATGAGGAGGCAGATTAACTGAAACATAACTAAAACCCAGTGAGGTAGGGATTGGCAAACTCTCTGCTACCCCACCCCAATTACTCATGCAGTCTCCTTCATCCTTCCAGAACATCTCTGGCTCCATCCCTGGAAAATATCAAAATATTTAGTGGGTTGGGAAATGCCCTATTTATAGTACTTAGTATTTATATAGTGCCTATCTCTTTATATTTCTTCATTTCTCCGTTTGCCTCTTCTGGAAGAGCTACAGAATTTTCTTTTTCCTTTTAGCTTTTATTTACACACATTCTGTGCAATTATGGTCAGCAAGAGGGCATTTTCCATGGCCACCCTGGTAGTGTTTGCCACTCAAAGGTTTATGCTGGCGGGCAGCCCGCCCTTGAGCTGTTTACCCACTGTGTGGTGTATAAGAAACCATTGGACCTGTGGCCAGTTAAACTCAAACAAAATGTTTTCATTTGGACCTCTCCTGTAATGGGGCGGTTTTTTTTTAATTTGTTATATTTAATTTTTGTGGGTACATAGTACACACATATTTATGGGGTACATGAGATATTTTGATACTGGCATACAACACATAATAATCACATCAGGGTAAATGGGGTATCCATCATCTCAAGTGTTTATCTTTTGTTTTACAAACAATCCAATTATAATCTTTTAGTTAATTTAAATGTACAATTAAATTATTTTTTACTATAGTCACCCTGTTGTGCTATCAAATACTAGGTCTTCGAGATTTTAACACTGGAGCATAGAGGAGGTCAGTCTCTACTGACTGCTGAACATCCAACACGTGACACCCAGGAGTTGTCTACCACCATGTTTTGGACTAAGGGAAAAAAGCAGGTAAAGAGAGAGATGTAAGTCCTGACCATGTCAGAGTACCTGGATCCAGCATGTTCCTGAGTCCCAGCTGCATTCCTGTCCTTGCATTCTGATTATTAGTTTCCTATTTGTGTTAGCCACTTGGAATTGGGTTTCTATTATTTGTAAGGAAGAGTCCTAACAATTCCAGAGATGGACCAATACTCTGTCAGAGGCCTTTCAGATCTCACATTCCAAGAGTTGATGAAGGCTTCTCCCTCCCACTCAGGGCCACCTCTTTACCATATGTTACTTTTGTGAGAACTAGAAAAAGGTGCCCCTTCCTCAAGACACTTTATGCCACATGCTGGAAAATTGTCACAAAATACTGGTGTTCTGAGAACAGGGCACTCTATTACAAGAAAATTGGATCTACCATCTCCACTATGTGAATTCCACCCCTAGAGACATGCATTGTACAACTTACTCATCCAGGTAAAACAGCCCTGTCAACTGTCCCTCATTTCACCTTTGAACATGCAGATTGTATATTCCCTTTCAGAATTCAGAAAAATGCAACATCATGGAAGTTCCAGGATGTCTGAAACCAGAGCACTGTAGCCACAAACATCAGAACACAAACACACTGTTCTCCAGGATGGCCTGCTTGGCCAGCCTCCCCCACCATACTACTGCAGCCTCACCAGCCAGGTATGGGAACCCTTACAAAGAGGCCACAGGGACTGCCAACAATCTCTTGAGGGACAGCCATAAGAAGCATCTATCGTTAGGCAACCAGACTATATGGTCAGTCACTGTGAATCTTTGGTAAAGTGAGTGGCCACTGCTAAATAGTCTCACTCACCCAAGGCATTTTTCCCCAAACATGTTCCTTAGAACACCAGTTACATAAAATACTCCATTTAAAAAAAAACAAAAAATAAAAAAAAACATGGTTTTTATGTCCTCCCCTCTTGCAGAGTCACTGAAATTAAAGCCTGTAAGAAGCTGTCAGATGAAAAAATCTGTTTCTCCCTGTTGAGAGTTGAATTGTATTCCCCCCAAATAGATATGTTCAAGTCCTAACCCCTGCTACCTGTAAATGTGACCTTATTTGGAAATAGAGTCTTTGCAGATGTAATCAAGTTAAAATGAGATCATACTGGAGTAGGTTGTCCCTAAATCCAATGAGTAGTGTCCTTATAAGTGGAGAAGAAAAAAGATACAGACACACAGGGGGAATATCATGGGAAGAAAGAGGCAGAGATTGGAGTGATGCAGCTCCAAGCCAAGGAATGCCAAGGATTCTGGCAGCCACCAGAAGCCAGGAGAAGGCATGGAACACATTCTCCCTCTGAGCCCCAAGAAGGAGCCAGCCCTGCTGACACTTTGATTTTGGACTCCCAGCCTCCAGAACTGTAAGAGAATACATTTCTCTTGTTTTAAGCCACTTAGTTTATTGTGCTTTCTTGTGGCAGCCCTAGGAAGCTAATACACTCCTTTGTTAATACAGCAGATCCTTGAATAACATCATTTTGTGCAAGATCGTTTCATGATAACATTGATGAGTCCAGGCATGGTGGCTCATGCCCGTAATTCCAACACTCGGGGAGGCCAAGGCAGGAGGATTGCTTGAGCCCAGGAGTTTGAGACCAGCCTGAGCAACATAGTGAGACCCCATCCCTACAAAAATATTAAAAATTAGCTGGGCATGGTGGTGCACACCTGTGATCCCAGCTACCCATGAGGCTGAGATGGGAGGATCACTTGAGCCTGGGTGGTCGAGGCTGCAGTGAGCCATGATCACACCACTGCACTCCACCCTGGGCGAGACCTCATCTCAAAAAAAAAAAAAAATCCGCTTGAGGCCAGGGCCACTGTCTGTGTGGGTTTCTTCCAGATACCCTGGTTTCCTCCCACATCCCAAAGCTGTGCAGGTGAGGTTCATTTGCAAGCCTGCAGTCTGAGTGAGTGTCAGGGTGTGTGAGTGTGCCCTGCAATGGGATGGTGTCCTGTGTGCTGTCCAGAACTGATTCCTGCCTTGTGCCAGGATAGGCTCCGGCCACCTGTAACCCTGAACTGGAATAAGCGGGAGTACATTTCTTGTTTTTATTAATCTTTCTTTTCTTTTCTTTTCTTTGAGACAGAGTCTCACTCTGTGCAGGCTGGAGTGCAGTGCCACAGTCTCGGGTCACTGCAGCCTTGACCCCCACCCCACTGGCTCAAGCAATCTTCCAACTTCAGCCTCCCGAGTAGCTGGGACTACAGGCGTGCACCCCCATGCCTGGCTAAGTTTTGTATTTTTTTGTAGAAATGGGGTTTCACCATGTTGCCCAGGCTGGTCTCAAACTCCTGAGCTCAAGTGATCTGCCCCCCTTGACCTCCCAAGGTGCTGAAATTACAGGTATGAGCCACCGTGCCCAGCCTAATCTTTCTTAAATGTATGCATAGCTTACACTTATTTCAATGTTTAATATTAGAAGTGTTTTGGTCTTTGTTTAGAAGTTCGTTGATGTTTTGTGACCAGAAATATGCCATAGAAACTTAACTCTTGTTTATATCAATTAGCCTATGGTAAAATTGATTACATGATACATCCTTTTGCTTAAAGTTGCAGTTTCCAAAAACCTAACAATGATAAAAATGAGGACTTACTATATAGCATTTCCAAACTAATTTGACCCTAAAAACCTTTTGTGTTATATATCCATTGACACTCAGGAAACACAATTTGGGAAACTCTGGCTCAGGAAAAAGAGGTTAGAAGTCCATCCAACTTACAAAGGGGAACCAGAGATGTTAGCAGGAGGATTTTTAGGTTGCATTGTCCCCATTTCCCTACCCCTCACCCCTCTCTGGGTAGCTGGTTCTGAATGGATTGACATTTACTTAGCAGAGAAAGTAATCAAAATTCTAGTTTCCCTTTCATCCAGTTTTTTCACCACCAAGAAACTATGCAGGAAAGGGCTAAAATTAGGGGCAAAAGCCTATGGCAACAGCAAGGCATAGTTTAGAGGCAGGATTAATGACTCTCACAATCTTCATCATCTCCCCAAATAAACATGCATAATAATTTAAATAAAAATACTGTCCTGCTTTGCAAATGCAGTCATGTGTCAATGACAGGGATACATTCTGAGAAACGCATCGTTAGGTGATTTCACTGTTGTGAGAACATCACAAAATGTACTCACACCAAATCTAGATGCAGTAGTCTATTACACACCTAGGCCATATGGTATATATAACCCTTTGCTCCTAGGCTACAAACCTGTACAGCATGTTACTGTACTGAATACCATAGGCAATTGTAACACAATGGCATTTGTGTATCTAAATACAGAAAAGGTACAGTAAAAACATTTATCAGTAAAATGTCTTCTAATAATTGTTAAAAGACATTTGCAAAACAATAAAAAATAAAGAAAAGATACAGTAAAAATATGGAATTATAATCTTATGGGACCACCATCATATATGCAGTTTAGAGTTGATCAAAATGTCGTTATGCATTGCATGATGATATCATTTCAAGACAGGTCCTCTAGCCCAACCCATCCACCAGATTGCCATCCATAAGCCCCTCCTTCCCATTTAGAAATTCCTCAACCAGCATTGGGAAAAGCTAATGTCCTGGTGTCAAGTTGCTACAAAATGATTTCCAAGCATCCTAAATCCTGATAATTCATGTTGTATTGCTGAAAACATCACCTAAATTGGCTTGAGTTTCATCCATTGACAATTCCTTGTGGTGGATCCAGTTGTGGTTTTATAGTTCTTTCTCAGGGTTCACCTTTGTGGGTGTTCTCTAGGGAGTCCCCTGTGCCCTGAAGTGGAGAAATGATCCCAAGGAGAATTTGCTTTTGCTCAGGCCCTGAGGTTTGAGGGTCTTTTTGAGCTCGTTGCTCAGTTTGGGATGGATATTCCAATTGTGTAATTTATATCTAGCCCCTGCATCTACATGTCACAGGCTTAGAATATACATTTCTCACAGGGGACTTTATTTTTCACATGCGTATATCCAGACCCCAGATTTATATGCCCGACTACACCCTAGATAGTTCCACCAGTGTCACAAGTTCCTCAATGTCAAATTGCCCAACATTGACCTCCTGCCAAAAAATCTGTACTTCCCCAGCATGCCTCATTTCAGCAAATAGCACAAGGCTGCTGCATATGGTTGTGTAAGAAGTTCACTGCACAACAAGGACATGGGGATTTAAATCCAGCTTGCACACAGCTCACTAAGCTGTGCATCCACAGGGCTGTGTCCACCAAGAGGGCATCATTCTCTAGTTGTACAAAGATGCTACATGAGGTCCAGATGGCCCTGGCAACTACACCATCATCCATCCAGTTGCCATTTCTCCTTCTCGTATATTTTTACCCCACCCATTCCCAAGTCATCCCAGAGTCTCACCACCTTGACCTCCTACTTAGTCCTCAAATCTATCTCCTTTGTGCCACCTGCACTATAAGTTGCCAGTTCTGACAAATAAAAATGCAGAGCTCGGCCGGGCGCAGTGGCTCACACCTGTAATCCCAGCACTTTGGGAGGCTGAGGCGGGCGGATCACAAGGTCAGGAGATCAAGACCATCCTGGCTAACACGGTGAAACCCCGTCTCTACTAAAAAAACAAAAAAATTAGCCGGGTGTGGTGGCGGGTGCCTGTAGTCCCAGCTACTTGGGAGGCTGAGGCAGGAGAATGGCGTGAACCCGGGAGGCAGAGCTTGCAGGGAGCCGAGATGGCGCCACTGCACTCCAGCCTGGGCGACAGAGCGACACTCCATCTCAAAAAAAAAAAAAAAAATGCAGAGCTCCCATTTAAATGAATTTTAAATAAAGAACAAACAATATTTAGTATAACTATGCCCCTAAATCCATTCTGTCTAACAGAATCCCAACTTTTACTCCAGCCCAAACTGTGCTCAGACAAAAGAACACATTTCTAGCCAGATAAGCATACCCTTGCTCACAGCTTCACCACTGGAAGCTGGATCCGTCTGCTGCCCCCACACCACATTTGGTGGAGGCAGACACATTTCCTCAGAAAATAAGACATTGGGATATTTTGGCTGCTTGTTTGATATAAGGCTAGGACCCTTCATGCACACCACAAAATGTTTACTTTTCATGTAAGTGTTATAGCCTGGATTTAGGAGCCTCAGTGTTGGCTCCCAGGTGAGTCAGTAGTGGCCTCCCCATTCCTGAGGGTGGCATCAGGCCACAGTACCTCTTGGGGCTCCCCAGCATGGGAAGGACACCAGTCATCTCAAATGGGCTCCCACATCCTCTCCCAGAGTGTGCCGGGAACTTGGCTCGTAGACCCCGTAAAAAGGTGCGCCATCCTGCATCAGGCATGTGGCTCAGTTCTGGGTAGAGGTAATTATATACCCAAGTACTCTCTCCTGATTTCCCAGCCAGGAAAGAAAAGCCTCTTTAGGACAGAGACATGATCTTGAAGGACTCCAACTCTAAAATACTTCACCAAGTCAAGTCCTGTAAACAATGTGTTTACCTGCCTAGATTTTGAGACCAAAATGCCTAAGAACAAAACAAAACTAACCAAACTGAGTGCCTCGTATTAGAAATGTGGACAATTAGTGGAATCCTACAGTATATTCCTAAATTCCTTGTGGAATTTTAGAAGTTTAATATCCTACTATCTTAACATTTTGGTAACTTGGAGTTCAGAGATCACTAATTCGAACGTTGGTGCCACTAGCTGAATAATACAATGTTTCTTCATGTCCACAGAGGTCATTTTTCATTTATCCCAGGATCCAAAATTAGAATACCTCTGTGCAATATAAAATTGCACACTAAGAAATTTACTTGTAAAGTTTCACATATAGTTTATTTCTATTGAACTTCAGTTATTGAAAGTAAGAATTGAACACACACACACCTCTGCACCCACATGTTTTTATTTACCAAAGACCCTACAGTGAGGTGAAGGGGATCTTTACATCTAACAGGTTCAACCTCTTTCTAGCTGGAAAGAAGCAAAAGCTGGAACAGCTATGATATGCACATATTTTTCCCATGTGGCCTTTCTCTATGCCTTTGTCTCCCCACACACGTAGACATACTCATGCTGTCCAAAGTTGGCAGTGGAACTCTACCTGACAGCTATTGAGGTGCCGTGGAATAAGGCCTGGGCATCGAGATGTACCCACAGAGAACACCAGATCCAGCGAAAACTGCCCTGATTTTCAGGGGATGAAATGTAGCTCTGCAACTCCAGAAGTTCAATCATCTAACAGTTGTGTAGGGTTTTTTTGTTTTTTTGTGTTTTTTTTTTTTACTCATGGTTTTTGCGGCCTGGATTAAAAGAAAAAGGAATCAAATCATATCTACTTAGAGCAGCACCTAGGAATTATATAGACCTCTTTGAAACCTAGAGACTACTCCAAACCTTCTAAAACTGTATTTTGGTTGTTTTTCTTTCTTTCTTTCTTTCTTTTTTTTTTTTTTTTTTTTTTTTTTTTGAGACAGAGTCTCACTCTGTTGCCCAGGCTGGAGTGCAGTGGCACAATCTTGGGTCACTGCAAGCTCCGCCTCCCAGGTTGACACCATTCTCCTGCCTCAGCCTCCCGAGTATAGTACAGTCCTGGGACTATAGGTGCCCACCACCATGCCTGGCTAATTTTTTTGTGTTTTTAATAGAGACAGGGTTTCTCCATGTTAGCCAGGATGGTCTCGATCTCCTGACCTCGTGATCCGCCTGCCTCGGCCTCCCAAAGTGCTGGGATTACAGGCGTGAGCCACCACGCCCAGCCGGTTGTTTTCCTTAATATATTTATGGTGTAGGACTCCCTCCTTCCAAAACACCAGGGAACCTTCTGAGAGCAGTTTCCTGTGCCACCTAGATAATCTCACCAGGAAATCTCTGCAGAATCTTTTTTTGTTCTATATTGTGTCCTCCATTACTAACCCACCTGGTGGTTGCAGTTGACTTTTTTTTTTAGGGGTGGGGCATTGTTTTTGACTAGGGGAAAGAAGACTTTTTTACATTTAAGTAATAGAGGCACAAAAAATTATTATCTTTTCAGAAGTTAATGTGTCCTGGAAAATCTCTTGGCAGCCTCTGTCTTTTTAAAAATTATTTGGTGTTTTTTTAAATTATTATGTTGGGAGCAGGGGTGGGCCTGTGACCCAGGGGCCAGAGGATTAGCACGGATGTATGCTGATGTTAACCCAAGGAGTGGTCAGGCACAGCAGCTGGCAGTCGGCACCATGCTCTCTGCCAGTTAGTCTAGAGGCACATATGAAGGTGCCATGAATGCATTGTGGTTTTTGTTTGCTTCTTTGTTTTTGGGATGGAGTTTCGCTCTTGTCGCCCAGGCTGGAGTGCAATGGCATGGTCTTGGCTCACTGCAACCTCTGCCTCCTGGGTTCAAGAGATTCTCCTGCCTCAGCCTCCCGAGTACCAGGGATTACAGGTGCCCACCATCTTGCCTGGCTAATTTTTGTGATTTTAGTAGAGACAGGTTTCGCCATGTTGACCAGGCTGGTCTCGAACTCCTGACCTCAAGTGATTCGCCTGCCTCGGCCTCCAAAAGTGCTGGGATTACAGGCATGAGCCACCACACCTGGCTAAATGTATCGTGTTCTAAACCTGCTTCATTCACTTTGGCTGTGACTGGAGACAACAAACATTTTGGGAAATAAATCATGCTCATGTCATAGACATGTGGAGTCTCAGCATGGACCCCAATCTCTTTCCACTTTAAGGTTTTGGAGATACTAGATCTGCAGCCTTCATTAGCCAGCCAAGGGGGTTCCCTAGTGGAGAAAGAGATTGGCTGTAAAAATGCCGTGAGTCACTAGTTTGACTGTGTCAAAGCCTGTGAGGCAGCTTTTGTTTTCACCTTTTCCTCCAAATGTTTGCTTCTTGTCTGATTGACAGGAGGCCCTAAAACTCATGACTGGTGGTCACTGAGCTCTCACCCTGCTTGGCTATTGTAGATAGGCAATACTAAACTGGGGAATGCAGCTACAGGGCAATAGTATTACTTACCTGGTATAGATCCAGCCTTCATGTTTTTCTGACATGTACCAAGTTAACATTAGAGAAACATTCCAAAAGGTATTAATAAAATGAAAAGTTTTACCAAAAGCAATGAAAGTTCACTGCTATGGTCTAAATGTTTGTCCTCCCCACCCCAAAATGCATATGTCGAAACCTAATCCCCAAGGTGATGGTATTAGGAGGTAAGGCCATTGGGAGGCGATTAGGTCATGAGACCAGAGCCCTCATGAATGAGATTAGTGCCCTTGTAAAAGAGACCCCAGAGGACTAGCTCACCCTTTCTATCATATGAGGACACAGCAAGAAGGTACTATCTATGAGCCAGAAGGCTGGCCCTCAGCAGACACTGAACCTGCCAGCACCCTGCGCTTGGACTTCCCAGCCTCCAGAACTGTAAGAAATGAATTCCTATTGTTTATAAGCCATTCTGTTTATGGCGTTTTGTTATAGCAGCCTGAACAGGCTAAGACACTCACATCATGTCTGTATTTTATGATTGATTTGAGGGCATCCTTAGAAAACTAAATATAATTGACTAAAATTGAATGTGGACTAAATGTTAATAATATTTTATCAGTGTTAAATTCTGTGAGTTTGGTATTTGTGTTGTGGTTGTTAGACAACATCCTTGACCTTAGAAGATACATGCTGAGGTATGTAGGTATACAGGTGTAAAGGGTTACAATATCTGCCACTCACTCTCAAAGAGTTCAGCAAAATGGTAACTGTAATATTGTGAGAGAGAGAAAGTTTGAACAAATATTAACAATGATAGAATCTATGTGAAGGATATGCAGGTGTTTGTTGTACAATTCTTGCAACTTTTATGTAAATGTGAAAGTTTTCAAAATATAAAGTTTTAAAAAAGCAAAGCACAACACTTCCTCATAAGGGTCAAACACTGGATTTAGAACAGTCACATGACAAAAAACATCAACTGGAAAAGGGTCGCCAGAGTGCAGTCAGCACATGTTTTGTGGGCCTGTTTATGCTCAGGATTGTCTTGGAAAGTCCAAAGCACCTGTGGATAGAGGCATGGAGTTACAGGTTTTCTTCCATTACAAAACTAACAATTCTCAATCAATACACTCGACCCCCAATGCTTGGCTATGACATCTGCCCATGAGACCACCTCGGGACAGAAGACACATCCACTCCAGGAGATACTTTGCCTGCCCTCCTTTCCACTGTGAAGCCTCTCAAAATCCTGTTCTCTGGACTCCTCCAGTTTTGTTTTGTTTGTTTGTTTGTGTTTGAGGCAAAGTTTCGCTCTGTTGCCCAGGCTGGAGTGCAAGTGGCACAATCTCAGCTCACTGCAACCTCCACCTCCCAGGTTCAAGTGATTCTCCTGCCTCAGCCTCCTGAGTAGCTGGGATTACAGGCACGCGCCACCACACCCAGCTAATTTTTGTATTTTTAGTAGAGACGGGGTTTCACCATGTTGGTCAGGCTTGTCTTGAACTCCTGACCTTGTGATCTGCCCGCCTCGGCCTCCCAAAGTGCTGGGATTACAGGAGTGAGCCACCATACCCGGCGGACTCCTCCAGTTTTTACACTATTCTTTGAAGTTTCTTTAACCCACCAGAAAGGTGTAGCATGTGCATTAAGGGCACTGCTGGCTGCCAGTTGTCAAGCTCCTCAACCTCTTGTATCTCATTTTTCAAACTGTTGGCCTTCTCCTTCACCCAGAAAGGCAAGCTGTGGGAAGAAGACAACACCCTGAGTTGTAGTTTGATGCAAAATTTACAAACACCAACAGCGGATAAGAAATTATGTGCTCCAAAAGTAAAAAGACCTCCAATTTAGGAGACCAGCTTCAAAATAAAATATGTTAGTTGTTCACCGTTTGCTCCTGCCTCAAACCCTCTTGTTCAGCCCTTCTCTGCCAAGAGGCTGACCTTGCAGCTAGTATCACCTGGGCTCCTCTGTGCTTCCACATTTTTTTTTTTTGAAACAAAGTCTCACTCCATCGCCCAGGCTGGAATGCAGTGGCACAATCTCAGCTCACTGCAACCTCCGCCTCGCAGATTCAAGCAATTCTCCTGCCTCAGCCTCCCGAGTAGCTGGGACTATAGGCACATGCCACCACATCTGGCTAATTTTTGTATTTTTAGTAGAGACAGGGTTTCACCTTGTTGGTCAAGCTGGTATCGAATTTCCGACCTAAGGTGATCCACCTGCCTCGGCCTCCCAAAGTGCTGGGATTACAGTTGTGAGCCACTATACCCAGCCCATATTTTTTTGTTTGTTTTTTGAGACAGAGTCTCACTCTGTCGCCCAGGCTGGAGTGCGATCTCTGCTCACTGCAACCTCCGCCTCCCGGGTTCAGGTGACTCTCCTGCTTCAGCCTCCCAAGTAGCTGGGACTACAGGCACATGACACCACGCCCAGCTAATTTTTGTATTTTTAGTAGAGATGGGGCTTTACCATGTTGGTCAGGCTGGTCTTGAACTCCTGACTCCAAATGATCCTCCCACCTTGGCCTCCCAAAGTGCTGAGATTACAGGCATGAGCCACCATCCCCACCCGTGCTTCCACCTTTGAGCTGGGCTTGGCTGATGGCACCGATAGGAGATCAGAAGGTGGACAGAAATTAGGGCATTTCTTACCTAGTTCCTCCCCTGATGTCCTATCTCCCAAGGCACCCCAATTCTGGCAGTGCCACAGCTCCTGTTGGGCAGCCCTTCTCCCGGAGCTCCAGCGCTTACTGTTCTGCAAACTGTGATCCCTCTTCTTGCTGCTCAGACCCAAGAGTAGTAACGCTTCCCACTGTCATGAGCCTCTGGGTGCTTCACCCTCCCATGTGGGTTCCCCCAACCCTGCCCACACACCCATAAATAGTCCCTTTCCTTAAGCTGTCTTCAGAATCCCAGCTGAGTGTGCTTTCTGTTTTCTGCTGGGACCTTGGCTAATGCAGATACCCAGAGTCTTCCCAGAGCCACTGAGACCTGAAAGGACATTTCTGGGCTGCATGTGGTCCAATAGGTAGTAGGAAGTGTGACTCTGGGATGAGTTGGAGCAGGCAGATGCAAAATGTTTTCATCTTTTGGAAGCTAGAATTCTTGTGCTTTAGGGGAGAAATATACCACAATTGGCAAAATGCCCTGATAAAACTGCTGGGGGTAGGGAAGTCCCTGCAAGAACGAAGAGGACGGTTACCACATAGGTAATTGGTGAAAGTCAAAGTTATCACTTAAAGCCAACAAGCCAAATAGTAGAAACCCAAATAAGAAAAGCAGGACTAAGAGCAATGTATAAAGATACTAGCGTAAAGAACTACTAGAACAAAAACACGAGCATTTCTAAATATCAAAAGAAAGCATTTTTCAGCCTTTGTTGAAACAATCAAACACTGAAAGACTCACACTAAATGTAATACAGTACACCTAATAAATGTAACAAATAATGTAACAGAACTGAAATCAAATATATCAGTCTAATCAATAAATGCAAGTGGCCTAATTCACCTGAATTAAAGAAAATATTTTCAAGCTGGCTCACGAGCAGAATCCAATTCTACCCTAAAAGCAAAGTGCTTCAAAAGCAAAAGAATGGGCAAAAAGAATGGGCAAAGGTCAGATGCAAATAAAATAGAGAATTAGAACCTTAATAACTGGCTAGGTATACTTTAGGACAAAAAGTATTAAATGAGAAAAATAAAGATACTTTCATAATGCTAAAAGACACAATTAACAACAAAAATAGTCGAAATGCTAATATTCAGACACCTTAACTCTCACACTAACTCTCAGTCCAAACTAGGCCAAGTGAACAAAAGTAAGGAAATATAGGGGCTAAACAATATAACCAATAAAGTCAATCTTCTGTATATGTATCTAACTTTCCATCCTGATTAAGTGGAATACACTTTCTTTTCAAGCACATGTGGAAATCTAAAAATAAATATTAAGTGACCTAATATAGATGCATCCCATAATACTTTGTCCTTGGAAGATACATTAACTGCAATGCCTCATCTAGGACCCAGATCAAGTACCACCTCCTCTGCAACATGTCCTCAACTTCCCCCATGTCTTTCCTCTATGTACACATTGTACCATATTTGCTTTCAATTGTTTTATGATTACTCATCTAGTGGTCTCTCCCCACAATAGACAATGAGCCTTGAAACAAATATCATATCTTATTCATCTTTGTGATCCCTGCCTCCATTACCTCACCACCTTCCCATTTCTCCTGTAGATTAAGTGCATAAACGGTACTCAAAGGATGTCTGCTGAGTTGAATAAATAATCCCTGTAAACGTACTGCACATTATAGGGACCTTTTCAATAAGTAATCTTACCTCCCTAATTTTTATTCTAATTCTGGCTCTCTCTGTCACTAACTAGAGAAGACTTGGCAACTTTATCTGGTTCTGGTTATCAGGTTTTGTTCTTATTTTACAGGTGGATTGTTGCATTTGCAGATTTAACATTCTTAAATTTCCAAGCACAATTACTACACTATTTAAAGATATGAACAACTTTGATGACAGTAATGGAGCAGTACAAAACTGATTCATCAAATAACTTGGGAAAAAACCTACAATTTTTATTAATAGATGATAGATAATAACATTTCTATTCATAGATAATAATTCCAGCCATAATGAAGTAGCGGGGATCAGATTTACTCTCCTGACTTAAACAAGTAGAAAACTGGACAAAATGTATGAAATAACAATTTTCAGAATGAGACAACAGGCAGCACAGGATTGTGATCCTAAAGAAAAGGAAAGCAAATGAAGAGATTCCTGTAATCACCCAGCTTTGCCTGGAGGCACATTCAAGACCACAGCGTAGGATGAGCAACCCCACACAGAGCATGGCATTCTCTATGAGTTTGAGGAGCCGAAGATCCAAGTTCAGAGAGTCTTGGAGGACTGGAAGCTGCAGGGCAGAGTTCTGGGGAAGAAGGAACTTTACAAAAAAATGAAAGTAAGAAATTTACACAGCACTTCCTTTGAGTCTTTGCTGAATATTAAGACACACATGTGTAGGGTAGAACTCCAAAAGATCAGACAATAGAGTGACTGGGAACTGAATGGGCTCACAAAGGGCTAAAAATCATTTTAGTTCCCACCAACTAAAGTGAAGACTCCTCACTGATCACTCAAGGTATTCTGCAGAGACTCTAAAAGGGCCACATCTTACTTAGTAATGGAGTTAAACTATCCCTAAAGACTGCTTTAGACACGCCCTAACAAAGCTTGAAAACAAGCCTCAAACCAAACTGCAAGTGACTTAACTGCCTGCTACAGCAAAGACCAGCACTCTTTAAAAGAAGACCACAAGGCCTGTTGCGGTGGCTCACGCCTGTAATCCCAGCACTTTGGGAGCCCAAGGCAGGTGGATCACGAAGTCAAGAGATTGAAACCAGCCTGGTCAACATAGTGAAACCCTGTCTCTACTAAAAATACAAAAATTAGCTGGGTGTGGTGGCACGTGCCTGTAATCCCAGCCACTCGGGAGGCTGAGGCAGGAGAATCCCTTGAACCTAGGGGCGGAGGTTGCAGTGAGCCCAGATTGCGCCACTGCACTCCAGCCTGGTGACAAAGTGAGACTCCATCTAAAAAAACATAAATAAAATAAAAAATAAAATAAAATAAAAAAAGACAACAAAATCCAAATACTCAACAATATAAAATTATAATGTCCAGTATCCAAATAAAAATTACTAGACATACCAGGAAGCAGGAAAATGTGACCCATAATCAGGAGAAAAATCAGTCAGTAGAAACACACCCAGAAATGACACAAATAATAGAATTAGCAAACAAAAATCTTTTTTTTTTTTTTTTGAGATGGAGTCTCACTCTGTCGCCAGGCTGGAGTGCAGTGGCGTGATCTTGGCTCACTTCAACCTTTGCCTCCCGGGTTCAAGTGATTCTCCTGCCTCAGCCTCCCAAGTAGCTGGGACTACAGGTGCGCGCCACCACACCCAGATAATTTTTGTGCTTTTAGTAGAGACAGGGTCTCACCATGTTGGCCAGGATGGTCTTGATCTCTTGACCTCAATCTGCCTGCCTCGGCCTCCCAAAGTGCTGTGGTTACAGGAGTGAGCCATCATGCCCGGCTGCAAACAAAAATCTTTTTTTTTTTTTTTTTTGAGACGGAGTCTCGCTGTGTCGCCCAGGCTGGAGTGCAGTGGCACCATCTCAGCTCACTGCAAGCTCTGCCTCCCAGGTTCACGCCATTCTCCTGCCTCAGCCTCCCGAGTAGCTGGGACCACAGGCGCCTGCCACCACGCCCAGCTAATTTTTTGTATTTTTAGTAGAGACAGGGTTTCACTGTGTTAGCCAGGATGGTCTCAATCTCCTGACCTCGTGATCCGCCAGCCTCAGCCTCCCAAAGTGCTGGGATTACAGGCATGAGCCACCGCGCCCAGCCCACAAACAAAAATCTTTAAACAGCTATTACTATGTCCAAGTATTTAAGGAAAACATGAAAATAGGAAAGAACAACAGATATAAAAAAGAATCAAATAGAATTTCTAAAGATCGAAATACATAATCACTGGATAGGACTAACAGCAAACTAGACGCTACAGAACAAAATAGAGAATCTAGGAAACAATAAATGCTAAATCCAGCAACAGAAGCCTTTGTCACTTCTGCCATGACTAACTGGTTAGTAGACTTTTTCATTAGGGTGACTGTCCCTGAGGAAAGGGTCCAAGTCTCACAATTGTCTTATTGACCATAGCACAGAGGAATATGCTGATCGACTTCTCTCTCTTTTTTTTTTTTTTAATTTGAGACAGGGTTTTGCTCTATCACCTAGGCTGGAGTGCATAGCACAATCGTAGCTCACTGCAGCCTCGAACTCATAGACTCAAGAAACCCTCCTGCCTCAGCCTCCCAAGTACCTAGGACTACAGTTGCATACCACTATGCCTGGCTAATTTTTAAAAAAAATATTTTGTAGAGATAGGGTCTCACTATGTTGCCCATGCTGGTCTCAATCTCTTGGCTTCAAGCAGTCCCCCTGCCTTGGCCTCCCAAAGTGCTGGGATTATAGGTGTGAGCCACTGCACCCAGCTAGCTTTGTACTTCAAGAAAAAAAAAAAAAAAACCTTTCTTTTTAGGAAAACCAGACTAATTGGTATTCTGGGGTTTATACATGTAAAAACATATTTGCATATGAAAGGTAATGTACAAAAGCTAAAATAGTAGAGTGATGAAATGTAGGCAATTGCTATTATTTGGAATATTCTAGAATAGTGTTTATTAAAAATGTAAAGTACAGACATGAGAAGCCCTAATCGTGTGCCATAAGTAACAATGCAACATAATAAAGACATTAAAATCTCAAGTTTGGAATAAAAGGTTTTTATTCCCACTGAGCTCCAGAGTGGGTTAGACCCTGGGACACATGCCCACTCATAGGAGACTGTTTTGTATTAGAAAGTAAAAAAAGAAAGAAAGAAAAGAAAATATCTCTTTATAGGTCAGAAACCTGCTTAGGTAAATAAGTGAGGTTCAGAATGGAGTGAAGCAAAAGTATGAAATTAAAGGAATGATATTTCCCTCAAACACAGAAGTGCTCTGTTAGCTTTCTTTCTGCCTCTTGAAACTCTAACCATTCTCGCCAGTTGCAATCATTTAAGTATGTGTCTTTTTTTCCCAACATACTCATGTTCTAGGAATCAGGAACCCTGTCTTTTTGTTCCATGTGAACTCTCCTATAGTGCATGGCTAGCACAACACATGGCATCTGGTAGTTTGTCAATTACATCTGTTGAATATGTGACCATCCCAATTGCAGACTCTACAGAATGTCTATCCAAACACCTTCCTTACAAACTGCCCCACCCTCCTGCTGGGATTCAAAAGGGCCCTGTGTCCTGGTTATCTACCTGCTCCTCCACATAAGGAAACAATAAAATAATCGATATTTAATAAAGATGGGATAACACAAAACATGACAAGAGAACTCACTTGGGAATTTGTGGAAGAGGCTCAAGTGGAATAAATGTATCAAATTTCTTTTCATAAGGCACTCTGAAAAACAGAAAAGGCAATCATAAAACTGGTATGCCATCTACAGCAAAGAGATCAATACATCATTGTATTCAATAGAATGTCCTGTTTTCCGATTTTAATTTTCAAGTATTGACTTCAAAACTGTAAGAACCGCAGATTTTATTTTATTTTATTTTATTTTATTTTATGTATGTTTTGAGACAGGGTCTCACTCTGTCCCCAAGGCTGGAGTGCAGTGGCACAATCTCAGCTCACTGCAGCCTCGACCTTTCAGGCTCAGGTGATCCTCCCACCTCAGCCTCCCAAGTAGCTGGGATTATAGGCACACACCACCATGCCCAGCTAATTTTTTGTATTTTTGTAGAGAAGGGGTTTCTCCATGTTGCCCAGGTAGGTCTGGAACGCCTGGGCTGAAGCAATCCTCCAGCCTCAGCCTCCCAAAGTGCTAGGATTACAGGCATGAGCCACTGTGCCTGGCCCACAGATTTTATATTATTTTATTTTATTTTATTTATTTTGAGATGGAGTCTTAACTCTGTCGCCCAGGCTAGAGTGTGGCGCTGCAATCTCGGCTCACTGCAACCTCCATCACCCAGGTTCAAATAATTCTCCTTCCTCAGCCTCCTGAGTAGCTGAGATTACAAGCATCTGCCACCGTGCCCAGCTAATTTTTGTATTTTTAGTAGACACGGGATTTTACCATGTTGGCCAGGCTGGTCTTGAACTCCTGACCTCAGGCGATCCACCCCACCCCACCCTTGGCCTCTCAAAGGGCTGGGGTTACAGGCGTGAGCCACCGCGCCCGGCCCACAGATTTTAGTTTTGATCATTTTTAGTCAACATCATTATATCCCACATGGTTAATTTTTTAAAATAATATTTTAAATGTAGTACACCAACTACCCAGCACTTTGGGAGGCCAAGGCGGGCGGATCACGAGGTCAGGAGATCAAGACCATCCTGGCTAACATGGTGAAACCCCGTCTCTACTGAAAATACAAAAAATTACCCAGGTGTGGTGGCGGGCACCTGTAGTCCCAGCTACTCGGGAGGCTGAGGCAGGAGAATGGCATGAACCCAGGAGGCAGAGCTTGCAGTGAGCTGAGATGGCACCACTGCACTCCAGCCAGGGCGACGGAGCGAGACTCCGTCTCAAAAAAAAAAAAAAAATGTAATACACCAACTATTTTTCTTTTAATGTAATGATCCTCCCACTTTTCTCCATCACTTTGGTCTAAGTTTATTTCCAAGTTTAAGTCCACCCACATAGTAGTCACTATGGCCAACAATCTGATTCAGTATGAAAATTTAAAAGTTTTCAAATCTGTGATAATAGAGATAGGAACAAAATTAACAACCACTTTTTTGTAGTCCAAGTCCTGTGTGTAATTTTAATTATACACATGCATGTGTGCAGACATTAATTAACTAAAGATGAGCTTTTCAAGGAATTTTCATCCAATCACATCTTGTTGACATCTATCCCTTTTAAAATATAATTTCTGTGTAGTAGAGAGACACAATTCCTTTAAAGTTAACTATATAATGCTAGTATTAACATACACTTACATTGAAAAATTCACTGGTGGGAGCATTGATCCTGCTTTGTGGAAGCCTTTACTCTGTTCTGGGTACATATATGGATTGTCGCCTGGAGTTAACTTTGGGATTCCATTCCTGGGATCAATATCTGTGGAGAAGGTTTGAAAACAAAATCATACAAGGGCTGAAGATGATCCACAGATTTGCTGTAAGTATTGGCATGACAATGGAAAGAGGATATTTTAGTATTTTATTATAAATTACATAGAAGTTTCTCAAAGTTCTGTTTGTGATTATCTTGCCTTAAGGAGATGAGCCTATATTTGGGACATTTTCCAAAAAGTGTTGTTGTAACTACCTCACCCTGGAAAAGAATTGTTAGATTCAGATGGAGTGTTTTGGTTTAAAATATAAGGTGAATCAGAGGTTTCTTTGCAATGATCCAAAAATCTCTGACCTAAAAATCTCTTCATTCCTGAGCATTAGTGCACTTTGAATCCCTGAGTCTTAGGAAGCCGAAGAAACAAGTGTCCCTGGGGCTCTGCCTCTCTGACTGGGTCCAGGAAGGAAACCAACTAAGGATGTCTTGCTCCTTCTGCCTCAAGGACTGGGGCCATGCAGCAGTGGGAGGTGGCTTCCTGGAGAAGAGCAAGATTACTCAGCAGAGGTTCTTACACCCAGCTCAGCCCCTGCTAAAGCCCTGGGAACAAGAAACTAATCACGGGAGTGGAAGGCATCAGCCTAGTGTAGGGTGATCATTTAAACCCACACACCTAAAGTCCTTAAAATTGCCTATTTAAAAAATTAAAATTTAAAATAAATAAATCAACCCACACACTTACACCAGATGCATCTCCTAAGAGAATAAGCCTGGACTACGAGACTCATCACCCTTGGGCTCAGAAGCAGGGACACGTGGCTGGAAGCATGACCTCCATCTTTGCCACACACCCAGATTCTTCTAGCTAACTCGGAAAAGCCATCAGCGTGACAGGTGGAAGTTCTTGGGTTACCAGAGTATTTACTTTTTTGTCTTTCTCTTTCAAAAACCTTTTCAATAACTGACTGTATTACACTTTTGATTAGCTCTTCTGTGTGGTGAAATAACATCAACTGCACCCATGCATTGAGTGCCTGCTGGGTATGAGATGCTGAGGATTCAAAGCAGAGAGAGTGGAGGTTTAAAATATATACTGAATCCCCTTGAGGCCAGGAGTTCTAGACCAGCCTGGCCAACACAGTGAAACCCTGTCTCTACTAAAAATACAAAAATTAGCTGGGTGTGGTGGCACACGCCAGTAATCCCAGTTACTCGGGAGGCTGAGACAGGAGAATCGCTTAAACCCGGGAGACGGAGGTTGCAGTAAGCCGAGATCATGCCACTGCACTCCAGCCTGGGAAATAGAATGAGACTCTGTCTCAACAATTTAATCAATTAATTAAATATACAGTGCATCTGAAACCTTTTGCATACCAAACCAGGGCACTGACAAGTAAGAGTTGGGTGACAAGAGGTGGTGGGAAGAGTTTGGACTTTGGAGTCTGTCGCACCTGAGTTCATACTCACTCCTGCAATTTCTAGTTCTGTGCCCTTGAGCTATTTATTTAACCTTACTAAGCCTTTTTAACCTCATTTATAAACTGTTTATTTCAAATGGCTACTTTGCAGAGTTATCATGAATACTAAATAATAATGATGTGAGCATATAACAAGCACCCAAGAAATAGTAGCAATTATTATTATTTGAAATCAGAACTGGACTAATACCCCTCATCCCAATTATTTTTTAATCTGGAGGATACGATTGCTATATAGCTGAGGTATAAATTTCTCCCCAGGGAATCTTATCTAGATAGGGAGACATATGTAAAGACGAAGGTAACACTACAAAGCAGTAAATGCCATATACTATAGAACAGTGGTTCCAAAATTTTAGCACACCTGAAAATCACCTAGGAAACTTGTTTAAAATGCAGCCTTTAACCCAAGAAATTCTGTTTCAGAAGATCTCTAATAGTTCCCAGAACCAGTAATTTTTATAAACTTTCCAGTTGATTATGATATAGGTGGTCTAAGGAGAACACCTAGAAATAGACTATGGTGGCCAGGCGCAGTGGCTCATGCTTGTAATCCCAGCACTTTGGGAGGCCGAGGCAGGTGGATCACCTGACATCAGGAGTTCAAGACCAGCCTGATCAACATGGTGAAATCCCGTCTCCACTAAAAATACAAAATTAGCTGGGCATGGTGGCACATGCCTGTAATCCCAGCTACTCAGGAGGCTGAGGCAGGAGAATCGCTTGAACCTGGGAGGCAGAGATTGCAGTGAGCCGAGATCGCACCATTGCACTCCAGCCTGGGCAACAAGAGCGAAACTCTGTCTCAAAAAAAAAAAAAATATATATATATATATAGACTATGGTAAAAGATATCACAAGATAATGTCAGGAGGAAGAAAAAGAGGCAATGGTGTGATGTCAGTATAAGGTGTTACTTTTAGGGGGAAAATCTCCCAAACAACACTTCTGAGATAACATGTTTGTTTAAGCTA
This sequence comes from Homo sapiens, assembly GCF_000001405.40. Classification (NCBI taxonomy): domain Eukaryota; kingdom Metazoa; phylum Chordata; class Mammalia; order Primates; family Hominidae; genus Homo; species Homo sapiens. The sequence continues at coordinate 44,365,974 of NC_000006.12, read as the reverse complement.
TTAAGTACAATATGGGGCCTTGGTATAATTTCTGGATATCTCACCAAAACAGGTATCAGCCCAAAGGGCTGGCCACTATGTATCAATAGCTGATGGACCCATAACACTGCATGATCAGTTCTAATGCTTGTTTGTTTTTAGACAGACCATCCAATTTCCTGGATGTAGACATTCAGGAGGTAGAAAATGGGAAACATACATTTAGAGACAAATAACCATATAAGGGAGCGAACCGTTCACCAAATAACTTACTCTGCCCCACATTTCAGTGCCCCGATGCGTTTAGGTAGAGCCATGTTCTGACTGATAGATTGTGAGCAGAGATGATATGTGCCACTTTAAAAAGAAGCATTTAAGGAGCTGATGTGAAAAACCTTCCAGCATTTTCTCTTTACCCTTCTATGGCAATCTTAGAAGCCACAGGTTGAGATGGAAAGGTCACAGATAAAAGCAGACAGCATCCTTGGAAAGGAGCTGTCCTGGAGAGCTGCTGGATCCACAGTGGACTTTACAAGAGAAAGGAGCAAACTTTAGTGCTTAAGCTGCAGAGATTTCAGGGACTGTTACTGCGGCAGAATCTATCCTATTCTGACTAATACAATATGCTGTACTGTGGGAAGAGCTACACAATAGAAAATTGTATTTTCAGATCTATTTCCCTACCACCTACAATCATAGATGGCATTTTGTTCTGTGGCAACAGCTAGGCCTTTAGGGAACTCCACCAATATCCTGGTTATGGCTGATGGATAACAGTCAACCATTATTTAAAGATATTTTGATTGATTTTTTGATATAATAATGCGTTGCATTCCAGTTTAAAATGGCAGCTGGTTGGCAGTCCCTGAGCCTACCACTTCATCTCATCCAAGAAATAATGAGTGGGGGCCAGGAGTGGTGGCTCACACCTGTAATCCCAGCACTTTGGGAGGCCGAGGCGGGTGGATCATCTGAGGTCAGGAGTTGGAGACCAGCCTGGCCAACATGGTGAAACCCTGTCTCTACTAAAAGACAAGAATTAGCCGGCAGTGGTGGCACATGCCTGTAATCCCAGGAGGCTGAGACATGAGAATTGCTTGAACTCAGTGGGCGGAGGTTGCAGTGAGCCAAGGTCACGCTACTGCACTCCAGCCTGGGTGACAGAGCGAGACTCTGTCTAAAAAAAAAAGAAAGAAAGAAAGAAAGAGAAAAGAAAAGAAGAAAAAGAAAAAGAAAGAAAGAAAGACAGAAAGAAAAAAAGAAAGAAAGAAAAGAAAGAAAGAGTGGGGAGAGAATTTCACAAAGGAAGAAGTATCCAGTGTCAAGCTTGACAGTATCAAGTGCTGCAGTGAGATCAAGGAAGAGAAGAAATGGAAAAAGACCATTGCGTTTGATGTTTAAAGAAGTCACTGTACATCACCTAAGAAGTAATCATATACTAAAACGAATCAAGCCTGTAGACCCAACTACCACTTCACAGGAAATACACAGGAAAGAGGAACCTGTTAAATGATACCAAGCAATGTAATCAGCAAAGTCCTGATCATGGTGAATACTGCAGGATAAGGCCTAGTTTCTTCACCATACAAATTGCAAGAAAAAAGGAGGGAGAAAGAAACTTAACAGACATACCAACCAATTTCAATCTGTGGGCCTTACTTGGATCCTGATCCAAACAAACTAAATATTTTTAAATTGTGGCATTTATGAGACAATGGGATATTTGGACACTGACTATATTAAGGAATTACTGTTAATTTTTAAAATATGATATTATGATATGGAATTGTGGTTATGTTAATAAAATAATCCTTATCTATCAGAGGCACATATGATATATTTAGAGATGAAATAATATGATGTCTGAAATTTGCTTTGAAATAATCCCTGGGAGGAGGAGTAATGATGAAACAAGTTAGCCAGGTGTTGATCATTATTGAAGCTAAGTGGATGAGTACATCGGGTTTCATTTTGCTATTGTTTGAAAATTTACCTAATAAGTTTTTCTTTAAAAAAATATGAAATATGGGTTACCACTGGAGTTGGAGGAGGAAAGATGGAATATTCGGGGAAGAGGATATTGGAGCCTTCAAATATAAAGTTAGAATTTTATTTCTTAAGTGGAGTAAAAGAACGCAAGTATTTGTGATATTTCATTTTATATAGTCAACAAATGTTTCATAAATATATCATTGCATTTACTCAGTATTTATAAAACCCTAAAGGAAGAAGGGAAAGAAGAAATGAAAGGATGGAGAGAGGGAGGGAGGAAAGGAAAAAGGAAGGAAGGAGGGAAGGAAGGAAGGAGGGAAGGAGGGAAGGAAGGAAGGAGGGAAGGAGGGAAGGAAGGAAGGAAAGAAAGAAAAAGAAGAGGAAAGGAGAAGAAAGAAAAAGAAAGGAAAGGAGAGGGAAGAATCATAAACATAAAATTCAGGATAAGGTGGTTTACTTTTGAGCCAGGAGGGCAGTGATAAGTCAAGATTGAGATTTAGGTCATTATGATAATCCCATTTACTTTTGATAGGTACTTGCAGCTCAAGAGTGCAGGGTAGGCTGGCTGCAGTGGCTCACACCTGTAATACCAGCACTTTGAGAGGCCAAGGCCGGCTAATCGCTTGGGCCCAGGAGTTTGAGACTGGCCTGGGCAACATGGAGAAACCCTGTCTCTACTAAAAATAGAAAAATCAGCCGGGCATGGTGGCACATGCCTCTAGTCCCAGCAACTTAGAGGCTGAGGTTAGAGGATTGCTTGAGCCTGGGGCTGGGGGGCTGGCATTCGGAACTGCAGTGAGCCAAGATGGTGGCACTGCACTCCAGCCTGGGCCACAGAGCAAGACCTTGTCTTAAAAAAAAAAAAAGTGCTGGGCACGGTGGCTTACGCCTGTAATCCCAGCACTTTGGGAGGCCGAGGCAGGCGAATCACCTGAGGTCCGGAGTTCGAGACCAGCCTGACCAACATGGAGAAATCCGTCTCTACTAAAAATACAAAATTAACCGGGTGTGGTGGTGCATGCCTATAATCCCATCTACTCCGGAGGCTGAGGCAGGCGAATGGCTTGAACCCGGGAGGCGGAGGTTGCTGTGAGCCAAGATCGCGCCATTGCACTCCAGCCTGGGCAACAAGAGCGAAACTCCGTCTCAAAAAAAAAAAAAGTGCAAGGTGCAGGACTCCTCACGGATTTCCATATCAATGACCACTCTCCCAGCTCATTTAGTATGGCTTTCTACGTATTTTTCTACCCAAATAAATAAAAGCCTCAATTCTCAAAACTATTTGTCTCTGTTGTGAGTTTAAGTCTATTTTAAAACTCAAAAATGAGAACAGTCTACTTCTTTCTCTTTGTATTCCTGCTACAGCAATCCTATTTATTTCTGGAGCAATGGTTGCCTCCTACACAGAGATTTATATAGAAAAATGTGTCATAAATGGTCAGTTGGTACTCAGCAACTTTTGAGGGTCTTTCGGTAAGTCTATTATGAGTAGGTTGGGGCAAAGAACTCACTGAGCTACAAACCAAGGAGATATAGATACACAGGTAGATATATATTCATTTCAATAGCCTTTAATTAAATCAGCAATAAAATAAAAACATGCACTTCAGGCTGAGGTTTATGGGATGTTTTCCTTGTGGAGAATATAAAGTACAATTTAAATGTGTATGCCAGGCAGCATCTAATTGGAACATAAATTCTTTTCTTCAGACTTCAATGGAGGTTTCTATTAATAAGTATCTGAGAGAACTTATCTGATGACTTAAATGTCACATTTGCATTTTATGAAATTCAGAGAAAAAAGAAAATGTGGATTAGCATCTGCTGTGAGCTCTTTGCCAAAACGTGCAGCCTGCAAACTGTCCCCTTCACTTTTCTGTCTTCCTGGCTGCACTAGGGGAACATGGTGACTCTACAGGGCTGCCCCCAGCTACAGAATGCAGGGCCTATAGAATCACGACTCGAGAGTTTTTCGGGGACTGCACAGTCAAGACCCAGAAGGAAACATCACCGTATTTCTTTCTCCCAAAGCACTTGTCCACCGTCCTCTCTGATAGAGACCTCTTGTTGCCGAGGAAGACTCCATTAAAGAAGCACTGCTTTCCGACGTGGTAGGTGTGGATGTTGCTGCTAAACCTTGGGTAAAATGTCCACTCAGGACGATGCCCATCTTCTGCAATACACCAGAAAGCCTTCCATTAGCACTGTTCCCAGCCTCATAATGCAACTGGATGACAAAAAGCTGTGAAAACTCCACAGGCACTATCTGGCTATATAACTTTAATTAATGTGTATAATCCCTTGGTTCTACATCAGAGACAGTGTGAAACTCTGTGGGACTAGACACAAAAGGAAGGGAAGTCAGGGGAGAGCTATCTAAGAGGCCGTCTTTGTTTTTGTTTGCCCTCTTCACCCTCTCCTTCAAAAATAAAGCCAACTTTATGTTTGGAAGTTAAGTATTGATTGGGAAGCTCAGAGACAGTCTTACAAGTACCTGTGATACAATCTTCACTCTGATAACGGTGTAGGAAAAATAGAATGCCATCAACCAGCAAATGGCTAGGCCAGTGCCATCCACATGGCACCTCAAGTGGAGGAAACATGGTGTTGGCTGCAACAATAGCACGCGCATGTGCTACGGTGACACCGGGAAATGGACCTGTGATAATTTCAAATGAGAAAAGCTGTCGTGAGACCCCAGGCTAGTTTCTGGACCTTGCAGTGCCTTTGTTTCATCATCTGATACTTTTCCTGTAAGATGGCTAACAGTGACTTTAAACAATAAAAGATCCCCTAGTAGCTCTAGGGGTGCTTGAGAAATGTGGGCTCTGGGATATCCAAGAAGAGCACAGGCTTCGAGGCAAGCAAGTGTGGGTTCTGATCCCATTGCTCTACTTCCTGGCCATGTGGCTTTATGGATGACTGAATGTCTCAAAGCCTCAGTTTCCTCCTTTGTAAAATGGGTATGTCTATATTAACCATATAGATCTATATGTATTGACACAGAAAGAGGTCCATGATCTATTTATACCAGTTTGTATACTAACCCATTTATTTTATATCTATATATGTACACGTGTATGTATACACACACACATACATTTCAAAATATTGGAAAAATATATATCGACTCTTCACAGCTATGGGGCAGAATAGGGATATTGTTGAAAAATATTGGGGAAGGAGTTTTTATACTCTATATACTTCTATATTATTTTAATGTCTTTCTGCAGTATTTTAATGGGTTTTATATAAAGGCATTTTATTTTTGAAAAACATATAATGGCTTCCTGGCAGAGGTTTTGTGAATTTTGAGATAAAGTACATCAAATGCTTGACAGTTGTGGGCCTTCGATGAGGGTGGCCAACAGTATGGCAGACTTCTGAAAAGACCTGGGGCACAGAAGCATGTGGAGGAGGGTCTGTGACTTACTCGTCTGCAACTTAAGCAGGCTGAATTCCTCAGGATATTTATCCTTTTGGACTTCAGGCAACGACATTTCAGAGGAGTGATCAGAATGTGAGAAGGAGAGTTTCCGATCCAAGTCAGCAGTGGTGCTGGAAAGAAAGCAGAAGGATTCTTCCACGTGCTTAAACTGGTAGTTACAGCCTGATCTCACATAGTTTACCCTAGAATTGCCCTCGCTTATGAGAACTGGGACTACTCCTCTATAAAAGTCCTTGAGCATATCATTTATTTACTCATAATTTGAGGGGACTGAAACTTATTGAAAAGATGGGTATTCAGTGGCACACGCCTGTAATCCCAAAACCTTGGGAGGCTGAGACAGGTGGATCACTTGAGGCCAGGAGTTTGAGACCAGACTGGACAGCATAGTGAGATCCCGTCTTTACTAATTTTTTTAAGTGTTTAAAAATAATTTGGTGGTTCCTCAAAAAGTTGAACACAGAATTACCATAAGACTCAGTAATTCTGTTTCTAGGTGTATACCTAAAAGAACTGACAACAGAGATTCAAACAGATACTTGCATGTGAATGTTCTTTGCAGCATTATTCACAACAGCCAAAAAGTGGAAACGACCCAAGTGTCCATCAAGAGAAGAATGGATAAGCAAAATGTGGTACATAACACATACAATGGAATATTATTCAGCCTTAAAAAGGAATGAAGTGGCTGGGCATGGTGGCTTATGCCTGTAATCCCAACACTTTGGAACGCTGAGGCAGGTGGATCACTTGAGCTCAGGAGTTCAAGACCAGCCTGGGCAACATGGAGACACCCCATCACTACCAAAAATACAAAAATTAGCCAGGCATGGTAGTGCATGCCTGTAATCCCAGCTACTCAGGAGGCTGAGGCAGGAGAATTGCTTAAACTCAGGAAGTGGAGGCTGCAGAGATCTCGCCACTGCACTCCAGCCTGGGCAACAAAGTGAGATCCTGTCTCAAAAAAATAAGAAAAAAATAAAGGAATGATGTAGTGATGCATGCTACAACATGGTGAGCCTTGAAAACATTATGCTAAGTAAAATAAGCCAGACACAAAAGGACATATTATGTGATTCCACTTATATGAAATATCTAGAATAGGTAACTTCATAGAAAGTAGATTACAGGTTACCAGGGGCTGGGGAGAGGGGAGAATGGCAAGTTATTGCTATGGTCATAGAGTTTCTGTTTGGACTGATGAAAATGTCTGAAAATAGACAATGGTGATGGTTACACAACATTATGACTGCAATTAATGCCACTGAATTGTACACTTAAAAATGCATAAAATCAGGCAGGCGCAGTGGCTCATGCCTATAATCTTAGTATTTCGGGATGCCAAGGTAGGAGGATCACTTAAGCCCAGGTGTTTGAGACCAGCCTGGGCAAAATAGTGAGACCTCATCTCCACAAAAAAATTTTTAATTAGCCAGGTGTGGTGGTGCACACCTGTAGTTCTAGCTACTTGGGAGGCTGAGGTGGAAGGATCACTCCACCTCATTCCAGCCTCCAGGAAGTGGAGGCTGCAGTGAGCAGTGACTATGCCACTGCACTCCAGCCTGGGCTACAGAGTGAAATCCCATTTCTTTAAAAAACATTTTTTAATGGATAAAATGGCAAATGTTGTGCCATATATATTTTACTACAATTTTTAGAAAGGAATGATATATATTACAACATGTATGCACCTTGAAAGCATTGTGCTAAGTGAAAGAAGCCAGACACCAAAGACCACATATTGATAATCCTATTAATATTACATGTCTGAAATAGGCAAATCTATACAGACAAAAGTAGATTAATGGTTGTCTCAGACTAGAGGGATAGGAAGATGGGGCTGCAGGGGGATGATTGCTAAAGGGTATGGATTTCTTTTTGTGGTGATGAAAATGTTCTAAAATTGATTGTGGTGATAGTTGCACAACTTTATGAATACACTAAAAACCATCGAGTTGTGTGCACAGTTTAAGTGGGTGACTTTTAAGGTATGTGAATTATGTTTAAATAAATCTGTTACCAAAAAAAGCATGTTTAATAAAACCATTAAATGCAAATAAAAAATCAATAAGTATGTAAAGAAGACGAAGAAATAATCAAAAACAAACCTAGGCTGAAATGATTACAATAATAGAGCATTATGTTTAGCGCTGAACTTCCTAGCAGTTTATAAAGGCCCACAACAAACTATTATAGGTGTCAGCTGAAAATGCAATCACTTCTGGTTTAAATGGCTTTGCGTCTGAAACCTGGCCTTGGACAATGTTTTCAGGTACAATGATCTGTTATCAAGTCACAGGATCTTTTTTCATAACAATGCGTCACTCATATTTAAATGGCATCAAAGCAACTTCATATTGCTTGTCTTGTTTGCTCCCTACTAACAATCCTGTGATGTAGGTAGGACCAATAACTCAGTGCCCCCACCCCTGATTCAGAATATAAGCAATTTTGGAGGTGTGTTAGTTTCCATGACAAGAGTATAGCTGGGGACAACTGGAATTGGGGTTCAATGTCTCAGAACTGTCACTCTCCTCTGCTTATCCTGACACCTTGGCTTCCTTTCTGCCAATTGCAGATGAGCTTCTTCACAAGAGCAAAAAGGCCACTGACAGACCAGATTCAAATTCTCATGTCTTCCAACCAATTTTTACCCGTATCTCCAATGTGAAAAATCTCAGGGAAGGACTCACTGGCTCAGCTCAGATCACACGTTCTCCCTTAAATCAATCACTATCAAGAAGTGGAGATAAGTAAGATGATGGTAGCTCCTATTCAGAATACTCATTAAAACTGGGTAGGCAGGAGTTCGAGACCAGCCGGGGAAACATAGCAAGATCTTGTGTTAAAATGTTTAAAAACTGCATAGGGAAGGGCTGGGCACAGTGGCTCATGCCTGTAATCCCAACACTTTGGGAGGCTGAGGGGGGTGGATCACCTGAGGTCAGGAGTTCAAGACCAGCCTGGCCAACATAGTGAAACCCCATCTCTACTGAAAATACAAAATTAGCCAGGTGTGGTGGCATGCACCTGTAATCCCAGCTATTCAGGGAGCTGAGGAGGGGGAATCACTTGAACCCAGGAGGCCAAGGTTCCAGTGAGCCGAGATGGCGCCAATGGACTCCAGCTGGGACAACAGGAGCGAAACTCTATCTAAAAAAACAAACAAACAAACAAACAAAAACTGGGTAAGGAAGGAGTGAAAATCAATTCCCCAGAAAAAGGAGAATAGCATAGACGACGCCACTGGAAAGTCAGTGGAAGCCAAGCAGCTTCTACAATATGTGAACACAGCAAGGCATTGGAGGAAGCCACTTCAAGCAAAGGAGGCAATGTGAGCAAAGGCATAGAAGGAAGAAACATCAGGGAAATGAAGAAATTTGATGTGGTTGTGGCAGGAGTTTTTGAGATAAAGGTGGAGAAGAGAAGGAGACAGATCTGGAGGACTTGCAGTTCATATGAAGGGGGACTCTTTTTTATCAAGCTTTAATGGAATATCATTAAATAATGGTAAGCAACGACATGACATGGTCACATGTGGTTAGAAAACTCTGGAAGCTGTGAAAGGAATGGGCTTTGAGAATATAAAATTTAAGTCAGGGAGTCCACTTAGGAGAGTGTAGCAGGCAGCCTCTGACATGGCTGCCAGTGATCCCTGACTCTTGGTATTTATTCCCTCCTGTAATCTTCTCTCTTTGAGTATAGGCTAGACCTACTGACTCACTTTCAACAAAGAGAAAACAGCAAATGTTATGGGATGTCACTTCCCACATTAGGTTACAAAGAGACTGTGGCTTTGTCTTATGTGCACTCCTGCTTGCTTGTAAGGAGAGACAGCTGCTATGTTGTGGGATGCCCTCTGTAGAGACAAGGAACTGAGGGAAGCCTGTGGGCAACAGCCAGTGGGGAACTGAACTCTCAGCCCCAGCAGCCTGTGAGGAAGTGAATCCTGCTATCAACCATATGAGTGAGCTTGGAAGTGGATCCTCCCACAGTTGAGCCTTCAGATGAGCCCACAGCTGTGGCCAACACCTCGATTGCAATCTTGTGAGAGAGACCTTGAGCCAGAGGCACCGATCTAGGTTATACTCAGTTTCCTGACCTGTAGAAAATGTGAGATAATAAATGTTTGTTGTTTTAAGTAACTAAGTTAGGGTGATTAGTTGTGTACCAATAAATAACTAATCTAGAAGGTATTACAGTGGTCCAGGTAAGAGATGATCAGGGCCTTGAGTGGGACCATGGTAATATAGATGGAGTAGAAGAGATGGACTTATACGGTGTTTCAGGGCTTGATCCCCCATTGGATGAGCGGCAGGAGACAAGTATGATCTGTCAATCTATACCTTTGGAGCTGTATGAATACTGAGATTATCAACTGAGACAAGGAACACAGAAGGATTTGGTTTGTAAGGATGGGTGATGAGAAGTTCAGTCAAGGCATGTTGAGTTTGGGGGCCTGTGGGACTTCAGGTGGAGATATCTGGAAAGCAGTTCAATATATCAATCTAAAGCCTGAGGCTATGTCTAGAGTGGAGCTTTAGATTCGGCTACACATGCTTTGACTGAGTTAGGTCCTCCGTAACCCAGGCATCATGAAAGATAAAGGGGACTTATTTAGGTGGGAATTAGGAATGTAGAAGTGGCAGCAATCACGCAGTTCCCCATCCTACAGGATGTGAACCTCACATTCCGGGCTTTCTTTCCCTCCCAATACATGGTCCCACTACTGCTGCTAGTGATATACACCTGTTGCAGAGGACCTAAAGAGGCAGAGCTTAAGAATTATGCCAGCCTCTTCCATGTCTAGTGCTGGGGGCAGCAAGTCCACTTGGAGCAGATTTTGTGATATAAAGAATCACTTGAGCAACTTCCCTTAACTTTAACTGAATAAATCCATTTCTAGGAATTTACTTTTATGATATAACCAGAGATGGGCAAAAGCTGAATGTACAGGGACACGCATTACAGCACTATTTACAATAGCAACTCTTTAAAACTATAGGTCACTGGTTAGATTGTGGTCTATTCATCTGACACTCAAGCACCGCAGTCATTGAAAACCATGTTCTTGAAAAACACTCAAAGGTATGAGAAAATTCTCTCCACATATTGCTCAGTGGAAAAGCTGCCTTTATAAGATGTCCTTCAGTAAGTGAATGAATAAATAAACTATGGTACATCCAGACAATGGAATATTCTTCAGCAATGAAAAAATGAGCTATTAAGTGGTGAAATGACATGAAGGCAACTTAAATGCATATTATTGAGGGAAGCCAATCTGAAAAGGGTATATACTATACGATTCCAACTATATGTCATTCTGGAAAGGAAAAAACTATGGAGACAGTAAAAATATCTGCGGTTGCCAGGGGGTGGGAGGGGTGGGAAGGGATGAATAGATGGAACACACAGGATTTTTTAGGACAGTGAAACCATAATGTGCTGGGAGCAGTGGCTCATGCCCAGCACTTTGTGAGGCTGCAGCAGGTGGATCACTTGAGTCCAGGAGTTTGAAACTGGCCTGGGTAGCATAGTAAGATCCTGTCTCTACAAAAAAAATACATTTACAAATTAGTTGGGCATGGTTGCACACATCTGTGGTCCCAGCTACTCAGGAGGCTGAGGCAGGAGGATTGCTTCAGCCTGGGAGGTCAGGGCTGCAGTGAGTCATGATCATGCCACTGCCTGGGTGACAGAACAAGATCCTGTCTCAAAAATAAATAAATAAATAAAAATAGAGAAGCTACTACAATGATGGATACATGCCATTATACATTTGTCCAAACCCATAGACTGTGCAACACCAAGAGTGAGCCCTATTGTAAACTAGGGGCTTTGGGTGATTATGATGTATCCATGTAGGTTCATCCATGGTAATAAATGTCCCACTCTGGTGCAGGATGTGATAGTGGGGGAGGCTGTACATGTGTTGGGGCAGGGAGTACATAGGAACTTTGTACCTTACTGTTAATTTTTCTGTGTACCCAAAACTGCTCTAAAAATAGTAAAACCCTTAATAAATCTTTTTAAAAAGTAGGTTTTACAAAAGAGTAATATAATATGATCTTAATTGTAAAATAAATATATATTTTATGTGCAAAAAATATGTTTACTTGCACATATAAAAAACTAATATCAAAATGTTAACATATTCTCTAAGATGTGAAATTATAGTGACATTTATTTATTTATTTATTTATTTATTTATTTATTTATTTTGACACAAGTTCTCACTCTGTCGCCTAGGCTGGAGTGCAACGGCTCGATCATGGCTCACTGCAGCCTGGAACTCCTGGGCTCAACTGATCTTCCCAACTCAGCCTCCTGAATAGCCAGGATTACAGGTGCACACCCCCAGGCCCGGCTAATTTTTGTATTTTTTTGTAGAGTGGAGTCTCACTGTGTTGCCCTGGCTGGCCTCGAACTCCTGGCCTCAACCTCCCAAAGTGCTGGGATTATAGGTGTGAGCCACCATGCCCAGCCATGTGACTTTTTTTTGTTTTTTTTTTTTTTTTGAGGCGAAGTCTCGCTCTGTCGCCCAGGCTGGAGTGCAGTGGCGCGATCTCGGCTCACTGCAAGCTCCGCCTTCCTAGGTTCACGCCATTCTCCTGCCTCAGCCTCCCGAATAGCTGGGACTACTGGCACCCACCACCACACCTGGCTAATTTTTTGTATTTTTAGTAGAGTTGGGGTTTCACCATGTTAGCCAGGATGGTCTTGATCTCCTGACCTCGTGATCCACCAGCCTCGGCCTCCCAAAGTGCTGGGATTACAGGCGTGAGCCACCTTGCCCGGCTGTGACTTTTATTTTCAATACTGTCTTCATCTGTTCAAATTTTCTACAATAAACTTAAATTACTTCCATTGTAACAAAAATTATTAGAAAAGCATTTTCAAAACTTTTTATTGTAAAAGAAATATAAACAGGGAAAGTACATAAAACACAAAGTCAATTTTACAACTAATTACAAAGCCAACATCCTGGTCAAGAAACAAAACGTTAGCCCGGCCCAGTGACTCACACCTGTAATCCCAGCACTTTAAGAGGCCAAGAAGGGAAGATTGCTTGAGCCCAGGAGTTTGAGGTTAAAGTGAGCCAAGATAACACCACTCTACTCCAGCCTGGGTGACAGAGAGAGACCCCTGTCTCTATCCAAACAAAAGAAACAAAACATTGCCAGTCCTTCCCTTCCCCACTCCCCAGAAACCATCTGTGTGGGTCCCTTTCCGGGAAAAGTAACCACTACCCTAATTGTGACTCTTACGATAATCATTTATTTGCTTTTCTTTAAGTTTTACCACCCATGTATGTATGTACATATCCCAAAAATATATAGTTTCACTTATTTTTGAACTTCGTAATAGCAAGCACTTACACAGAACTTGCTGTGTGCCAGGAAGTCTTCTAAGCTCTTTCCAGCTATTAACTCAATTAATCCTCACAACAATCCTATAAGCTATCATCAGCATTTTACAGATAAGAACACTGAAGCCCAGGGAGGTGAAGTAATTTGCTCAGATTCACACAGATACTAAGTGGCAGAACCGGGATTTGAACCCACACAGTCTAGCTCCAGAATCCATGCTCTTGCCAAGCATACCATGCTACCTCTCAGACTATTGGCTTCTTGGTCAGAATCTCCCCAACCGTGACAGCTCTGCACCAGACCCTTACTTACTCTACGTAAGCAGACACTCTGGGGAGGCCAGGAGGCTCACTGACACTTGGGCCTGTTTCCACAGAAGATGAGGAACTGACACTTTTGCCAGAGGGTGTTGTGTTGGCAAAACATCCCTTAGATTCCAGAAAATCACTGCAATTAGCACCTGTAACACAGAGATATCACCATTTAATTACATTATTGAAAATACATTCCACCCTATTTTGTTTCCTAGATTATAAATAAATTTTTAAAACAGCTAACATTTATTGAACATTTACTGTGCACTGAGGATTATGTCAACACCTTTACACATATTATTCCATTTATCCCTATAACAACCCACAGGCTTAGGTATTCCTTATTATCCCCATTTTATGGTTGAGAAAACTGAGGCTGAGAAGGCTAAGAAACTTGCCTATGATTGCATAAAAAGTAAACATCTAGGCCCGGCGTGGTGGCTCATGCCTGTAATCTCAGCACTTTGGGAGGCCAAGGTGGGTGGATCAGATAAGATCCACCCTGACTTGAGGTCAGGAGTTCGAGACCAACCTGGCCAACATGGTGAAACCCCGTCTCTACAAAAAACAAAAACTAGCTGGTCATGGTGGCACACTCTTGTAATCCCAGCTATTTGGGAGGCTGAGGTGGGAGGCTTGCTTGAACCCAGGAGGCAGAGGTTGCAGTGAGCCGAGATCACATGACTGCACTCCAGCCTGGGCAACAGAGACTCTGTCTCAGAAAAACAAAAAAGAAAAAAGAAAACATCTAGGCCCATATTTGATTACAGCTCTTGTGACACTAAAGCCTGAGATTCTAAGCCCTGTACTAGACTGCTTGCCCCTACATATAGTTCACCTACTCTGAACTAAGTGGAAGACCTAGGATCTGAAGTGAGCTATATAGCACTGTACATTGTATTAAGCATCTCAATATAATTTTCCAAAGGATTTGTTTATAAAAAGACTGATGAATATAATGCTGATCACAACCCAAAGAATGCCCTCAGAAACTTCTGTGGGTTCCCCTCACAGTTCTTATTCATCTTAGTAGAATCCATAACAGTGCCTGGCACAAAGCAGGTGCTCAATAAATGTTTGAGTGAATAAATGAAAAAGAATTATAACTCCCCAACCACCCACAGTTACAAGTAAGGGAGTCCTGAAAACCAGTGAGTGTCAGACATAGAAGAATATCCATTATCTTCACTCTGCTATACTATTAATACTTCATGAAAGCCAATTTGTTCTGTTATCATCTCATACAGTTATGTACCTCATCCAGCCACAAAAATAAAAAGTCCGATGAAAAGATTATGCATATTTCTTTATGCATAATTTCGTAGAGCACTAAAGCTCAATAGATGGCAATGTAACCTCTGGTTATGAGAAAATTGTAAGAAATAAGAGTCAAACTCTGATTCTTGAGTACATTTTTAGACTGACTACTATTCCACCTACACAGTATCATGCTTCACACATATAGAGTCATCTTTTGGTATCGACGGGGGATTGGTTCCAGGACCCCCGCAATACAAAAATTACAAAAATCCAAAGATGCTCAAATCGTTTATATGAAACAGTGTAGTATTCGAATATAACATATGCACATCCTCCTGTATGCTGTACTGTAAATCATCTCTAGATTACTTGTAATACCTAATACAATGCAAATGCTATGTAAATAGTTGTTATATACTTATTTGTATTATTTTTGTTGTTATATTGTTGTTTTCTTTTCTTTTTTCTTTTTTTTTTTTTTTTTTTTTTGACACAGAGTCTCACTCTGTCACCCAGGCTGGAGTTCAGTGGTGTGATCTCAGCTCACTGCCACCTCCGCCTCTGGGTTCAGGTGATTCTCCTGCCTCAGCCTCATGAGTAGCTGGTATTACAGGCACTCGCCACCATGCCTGGCTAATTTTTGTATTTTTAGTAGAGACAAGGTTTCACCATGTTGGCCAGGCTGGTCTCAAACTCCTGGCCTCAAGCAATCCACCTGCCTCAGCCTCCTAAAGTGTTGGGATTACAGGTGTAAGCCACGACACCCAGACTTGTTGTTTCCTTTTTGAATATTTACTATGGGCAGTTGGTCGAATCTGCCAATGCAGAACCCGTTGATATGACTGTATAGTGTAAACTATGCAAATTCCCACCATCTATCAGCAGGACTGCTACTCAGAGAATTTTTTATTCATTTCCTCTCAAATTCATATCACAAGTGAATAATACCTTTTCCATTCTTATCAAGTCCCGATCTATCACCAAACCTTTCACTCCTAAGAGGACTTTGCCTGTTACTCTACAAAGCTTAAAGTTCAGCTGAGCTACTCCCTCCCTTCAAAATCCTCCCACTCTGGGGCTTCTCAGGACATGGCGCAAGGCCTATCTGCATCAGAATTACCCAGGAAGCCTGTTAAAAATACAGATTCTCAAATTCCATCGCAGACCTATTGAATTAGAATCTCTCCAAGTGAGGCCTGGGAACCTGCATTTTAAATAAGCCCCCACCCTCACCCCTGCTCTTCATTTAGGCTCACGTTTGGCAGTAATCTCCTTCTTGAAGTCTAGTTCCATCACTGCACTGTATTTTATCCAGTTCCACTTCCAGATTCCCAACTGCACAGAACTTCCTGAATTTGCCCAGTCACGAGAATCCCCTTGGGGTACTTGTTCAATATGCAGGCCCCAGGGCTCTGACTCAGACCTACAGTCTGGGAGCCAGGATATTTAAGAAGCACCTCAGGTGATTCTTAGGGTCAGCCAAGTGTGGGAAGTGCTGCTCTGGAATATGCCCTAGAGCCTAGAGCAGCCCCCAGCACAGTGAGGTCCAACTGGTTGCTTGAGGTGTAACTGGGATGGAGTCAAGCCCAGGGGAGGTGGCAGGCAAGCAGCAGGTGAGGATGAGGAGACGGGTCCCCAGTAACCAAAGGAAGAACCACCCATATACCAAGCCACAAAACAAGTATCAACAATACATAGACCACACTCTCTGACCACAATGCAATACAATTAGAAATCAATAATAAAAAGACAGCCAAAAAGTATCCATAAGCTTGGAAACTCAAACCACACTTCTAAATAATTCACATACAAGAAGAAATTGTAATGGAAATCATGAGTTGCTTAATGATCAATGAACATTGAGTACTATATATCAAAACTTGTGGGATTCAACTAAAGCAGTAATTAGAAATCTGGGGCCTTGAATGCATATGCTGTATTTCACTGAATATAAGGCACCATCAATTGTAATAGCATCGTTATTTTATGTATCACAAAGAACAAAGGCTGCCAATTAAAGTATGATACATGCTTTTATCACTTAGAATTTTTATTTTATACTTATTGATGCATTCTTTTAATTTATTTATAGATTTTAATCACATATCACTCATGCACATATATAAAGAAGGAAAATATAAGCACAATAGACTGGTTAAGGCATTCCTAAATCTTATGCACATTCAGAAATCTGACTACTAAACCACTTTCAACTCAATCACTATTGTCCACACTTTCCACCTAATACTGACCTAATATTTCAATAAAAATGTGAGTTGAGTGATGCAGCATTTCTTTCTTTTTTTTTTTTTTTTTTTTTTTTGAGCCAGAGTCGCCCAGGCTGGAGTGCAATGGCATAATCTCGGCTCACTGCAACCTCCAACTCCAGGGTTCAAGCAATTCTCCTGCCTCAGCCTCCCGAGTAGCTGGGATTACAGGTGCATGCCACCACACCCAGCTTATTTATTTATTCATTTCTTGGAGACAGAGTCTCGCTCTGTCCCCCCGGCTGGAGTGCAGTAGTGCAATCTCAGCTCACTGCAACCTCCGCCTCTTGGGTTCAAGCGATTCTCCTGTCTCAGCCTCCCGAGTAGCTGGGATTACAGGTGCCCACCATCATGCCTGGCTAATTTTTGTATTTTTAGTAGAGACGGGGTTTCACCATGTTGGCCAAGCTGGTCTCAAACGCCACACCTCAGGTCACCCACCCATCTCAGCCTCCCAAAGTGCTGGGATTACAGGCGCAGTGGCGCCAGGACCAATTTTTGTATTTTTAGTAGAGATGAGGTTTCAACATATTGGCCAGGCTGGTCTCTTAGCCAGGCTGGTCTCGAACTCCTGACCTCATGATCTGCCTGCCTTGGCCTCCCAAAGTGCTGGTATTACAGGCGTGAGCCACCGCGCAAAAGTGCTTCTCTACTGTCTCTGGAGTTTTTTCCAAGCTATGAACACACGTTCTACATGCTTCAGTGCTCATACAGCAAAAATTATTACAACTACATCCTACCTGCTGCTGGGCCCACAGACCTGGTAACATCCAGTCCCTACTTCAAAGATGCAAACTGTCTATCCAAGAATTGATGGATTATAGTGTTCAAAATCAAAAATTCCAAAATGAATGAGCCAAGTTGTCAATTTAAGAAATAAGAAAAAAAAAAGAGTAACCCCTCTCCCCCCGAAAAGATTTTAAGGAATAAAATCATAAAAGCAGAAATGAATGAAATAAAGATTATCAGAACTATGGCTTCATGCAAAAGCTGATAATGCAGATAAACAAGGTTCAAGAAAAAATTTTAAACACAAATAAATAATATTAGAGCCTGGACTGTAATCCCAGCACTTTGGGAGGCCAAGGCAGGTGGATCACCTGAGGTCAGGAGTTCAAGACTGCCTGGCCCAACATGGTGAAACTCCGTCTCTACCAAAAATACAAAAATCAGCCGGGCATGGTGGTGCACGCCTGTAATCCCCGTTACTCAGGAGGCTGAGGCAGGAGAATCGCTTGATCCCAGGAGGCGGGGGTTACAGTGACCTGAGATCATGCCACACTGCACTACAGCCTGAGCAACAGAGTGAGACTCCATCCCAAAAAAAAAACAAAAATAATAATAATAATAGAAATGAAACAAGGCCATAATTATAAATAAAATAGAGATAAATTTACAGATAAAGAAATTAAGCTCCAGAAATGTCAAATAACTTGTTCAGGGTTACATAGCCATGGAGTATAATTTATAAAATGTAGTCTAATGTTCAAATAATCAAGACAGTACTGACAAAAACCCTAACAGACAAATCAATAGAACAAAATAGTAAACATAAATAGAATAAAATTGTATATGAAAACAAGTGGCATTTTATCTTGGTGAAGAAAGGATGGGTTATTCAAAAAATATTGCTGGAACAACTAATTAACCATTTGGAATAAAAATAAAATTAATCCTTTCTTATCCCAAACTGGAAAATCCAGATGACTCACAGATTTGAATGTAAAAATTGAAATTAAAGATGTACCCGAAAAAAGTAAGTGAAAGTTTATATAATCTTAGAGTGAAGAAGTTATTGCCAAGAAGATACCAAATACAGGCAAAATAAAGGAAAAGAGGCATAGATTTGAATATGCCTCTTTAAATATAAACTTAAAACTTTCATAGCAAACTATAAACTGGGGGAAAATCTATAACAACATGATAGAAAGAAAAAAGAGTGAGTAGTCATGACAAATTATGAGCTTTTTTTTTATACTTTAAGTTCTGAGGTACATGTGTAAAACGTACAGGTTTGTTACATAGTTATACACATGCCACGGTAGTTTGCTGCACCCATCAACCCGTCGTCTACATTAGGTATTTCTCCTAATGCTATCCTTCTCCCCTCCCCCAACCCCACGACAGGCCCCAGTGTGTGATATTCCCCTCCCTGTGTCCATGTGTTCTCATTGTTCAACTCCCACTTATAAGTAAGAACATGCAGTGTTTGGTTTTCCATTTTTGCGTTAGTTTGGTGAGAATGAGGGTTTCCAGCTTCATCTATGTCCCTGCAAAGGACATGAACTCATCCTTTTTTATGGCTGCATAGTATTCCATGGTGTATATGTGCCACGTTTTCTCTATCCAGTCTATCATTGATGGACATTTGGGTTGGTTCCAAGTCTTTGCTATGTGAACAGTGCCGCAATAAACATACGTGTACATGTGTCTTTACAGTAGAATGATTTATAATCCTTTGGGTACATACCCAGTAATGGGATTGCTGGGTCAAATGGTATTTCTAGTTCTAGATCCTTGAGGAATTGCCACACTGTCTTCCACAATGGTTGAACTAATTTACACTCCTTGAGCTTTTATAAATTTATAAGATGAAAATAAATATCCAAAAAGAAAAAAAAAGGGCAAAAGATGTGATCAGGTAACTTATTTTTAAAAACAGGCTGGACAAGGTGGCTTATGCCTGCAATCTCAGCACTTCGGGAGGCTGCGGCAGGTAGACTGCTTGAAGCTAGGAGTTCAAGACCAGCCTAGGCAACATATGGAGACCTGGTCTCTACAAAAAACTAAAAAGTTAGCTGGGCGTGGTGTTGCACACCTGTGGTCCCAGCTACTTGAGAGGCTGACATGAGGACTGCTTGAGCTGGAGAGGTCGAGTCTGCAGTGAGCCCTGATCATACCACTGCACTCCAACCTGGGTGACAGAGTGAGACCCCATCTCAGAATAAGATAAAATAAAATAACACATACATATAGCCAATATGTATTTGGGGGAAATTTCATCCATCCTAATAATTGGGTTTGGGGGAGTGGGTGGTTATTTTGTGGGTTTGTTTTTTTTTTTGAGACAGGGTCTTGTTCTGTCACCCAGGCTGGAGTGATCTCGGTTCACTGCAACCTCTGCCCCTAGGACTCAAGTGATGCTCCCACCCCAGCCTCCCAAGTAGCTGGGACCATGGGCACACACCAGCATGTCCAGCTATTTTTTTGTTGTTGTTGTATTTTTTGTAGAGATGGGGTCTCACCATGTTGCCCAGGCTGCTCTCAAACTCCTGAGCTCAAGTGATCCACCCACCTCAAAAGTGCTGGGATTACAGGCATGAGACACTGTACGTGGCCCCATCCAAATAATTGAAGAACCGAATTTAAAATGAGATGCCATTATTTGTTATCCGTTTGCAAACACCCAGGTGTTTGGCACAGCTTGGAGGAATGGCATTCCTATCATTGCTGGTGGGAATGTCCCCATCTTACTGAAGAGCAATTTGGCCATATGTGACTTCCGAAGCCTATGAGAAGTGCATGTCATTTGACTCAATAGTTCTACATCTAGAAATGTATCTATGAAAAAGCCATGAAATGCATGTTTGGAGATGTAGAATGGATTCACATATGTGAATGAAATGAAATCAAGGCCAAAGATGTCCTCTATGTCAATAATTGCATGTGAGTTCTGAGGTATTTACAGTAAGATTTACTTATGGTAATTTTTGGCCATAGGTTTTAACAGTGGCTGCCTTTCATAGCATGTAAACATTTTAGTTGTATATTGCCACTATAGGACTTGAGAGTTCACCCAAGCAAGAATTGGTTGGCTCTATGGATGGTATCAGAGAGGGTCCTTTCCCAAGCTTTTTGTTTGTGTTAGGAACAAAATGTAAATGTACTGCATTTCCCTAAGCAGCGAGCAGTGAAACACACCTAAAACTTTAGCACACTTCCTTGCTTGCTTGAAAAGTTTTGTGGCAGCAGCACTCTAGAAAGTGGCCTGTGGCCACTATAATGGGGAAAGCTTGTCTGATGGACAAGGATGGGAAGAGCAATCTCTTGCTAAACTGGCAAACAGCACACTCTCTAGATCAAGCTGACTACGGCATCTTCCTGAGAGTAACTCAACCTCAAACTTGAGCTGGAGACACTTAAACATGTTCTCAAGATGCCTCCCCGCCCCTCCCCTGGTAAAAGAAGATTAGCTGGAAGAGAAGCTGGAATTGCAAGCCTGAACACTTACTAATACTGACGCTAATACTAATACTGATGCTCCCACTGCATAGAGTACCATCCAGCTACTCTGAGCAAGTCAATTACTTCTCCACGCCCAGCTCCCAGTGGCTGCCCTCTCCCCCATCTAGCTCAGAAGGCTGTGGGGAGACAAACACACTAAGGAGATACACCCTGCTTGAAAGTTTCACCATTTATCATGAAAATTGTTATTCAAGCGCAATAAATGTCAAGTAAGCCAGAAGTCAGAAAATTCTAACAAGTTTCTAAAACACTGCAAAATTAAGAAGAAATGATGTAATTAAAGGCCAAGAGAAGGTTCTGGTAACCAGAAAGGAATTCAAGGGAAAAAAGAGAATTTGGAAGAAAGTCTGTTTCTTTATTGCCATCTGTGGAATTCAGGATAATTATTTCCATTTTTTTAGGCAGGAATAACACCTTACATAACCAAAGCACTTTCATATGTTTGTCATCTCAGCTGATTGTCATAATAGCTCTGTCTGGCAGGGAGAAAAATAATACATCAAGCCATGTTTGTTTAACATGGATACTCATTTAACCAAACACTATTTCCCACCCCTGCTTATCTGCTTCACAAGGGGCCTAAGGATCAAGGACAGAAGTTTTTAACCCGTTTTTTGATTCTATCCTCTCCCCCATGAGCAGTAATGAAAGCAATCGGTTCTCTGATGGAAAAATGCACACACACACACACACACACACACACACACACGTATCTTCAATTGGTTTGTGGAGCCCCTTCCTTGCTGAAATCCATAGACTCCATGTTAAGCTAAACTCAGATGTATTCTCCTGAATAGACTCACCTACACAGCAGGAAAGGACACCATGGGTCTTTCATTAATGTGGTCTGGGACCTGGTACCCTTCTGCTACCCCTAACTCGAAAACATGGATCCTCCCTAGGACATCCTTAAAACAGCAGCTTCTTCCTTTACCCCAAACTGGAAACTGCAGGAAGGTCTGGAGCTTAAAGTTAGAATCCCAGAACCCTTTTCTCCTTGCTGTTGCAGACACACTTGGACAATTAATAGCTCTAACTCCTCCAGCTCCTCCTTCTCTACGGTCCTAGCTTATATTAATAGCTGGGTGGAATGAGTTGTACCTCCCTCCTTTCTCCCCACTGTGAAGGAGAATGAGGAGATCACACACCCAGAATACAGAAGACCAGGGAGAAAGCTAAGATCTGATCCCGCAAAGTCTGGATATTTCACAACCCCTTTTTGCAGCACTCAGGCCACTCACCCATAACAGGTAAATGAGAACTTGAGCGCAGGCGCACTCTGAGCTTTTCTGGGAGACTGTGGCTGTTCAGCGCCATGACACTGTTCTCCAAAGGCAAACGTGCCCCCAAATACCCTCCTCGGCCTTAACCAATTATGGAGCTACCAGCCATTATTTAATTTTTAGAGTGTTCATAATTCTCACCTGAACTGTCCCATCCAATAAACAATGACACAAACCTACTAATATCTGAGCAAAGGAAAGATGAAAGGACACAGGCTCGAAAGTATGGCAGACTCATGTCAAATCCCAGGCTCATGTCAAATCCCAGGCTCACCTTTTATTAACCCAAGCACTGGGCAGGTCAAATCTCTGGCTCCCTTTACTCATAGGTAATATACTTCTCCACTGCTGTGAGATCCAGTGAGGTAATTTATGAGACTCTCTGCTTTGGTGGTGCTCTCTGCCTAATCAAATCTTGGGTTAGCACAAACATAAGCTACTATTCAAGCAGCTCTTTTTACATGCCCCCAAACTAGCTTCCTTCTAAACTTCAAATGGTGCCCCCCACCTGCCCCCGCCCCCGGGTGTAGTATACTTGGATGTGGCCACCAACTCCACAGCCTGGATTTCTTAGAACTCAACTGTAGGTCCTCTCCACCTCGGTCATGCCAGAGTCCCTTTTTTCTGGAACCTTCTCCAGCTGTCTGCCGCAGGTCGTGCTTGAGATGGAGGGGAGACGGCAGCCCCGTGGACTGTTTCCAGTGAGCATGGATGGACTCATCTGTGCCCATGATGATTTTAAATATTAGAAGCAACCCAGAGACAAAGAAAGTCCCTCGTAAGAAAGGTATCAGTCAAAACAAACAAATTCCACAAGCCACCGAAAGTCAGGAGGGCAGGACTGGCCTCTAAACGGGAGCCTTACTCCCTCCACCTGGGCGTTTCGTGGTTTGGAAGCCCTGGGAGCCCCAGCGAGTCCGCCCCCAGCCCGAACCAGGCTCGCTGCAGCCCCCATCCAGCTCAAGGTGCTCCTTCTTTTCCACCTCGGGGTCTTCCCACCCCCTTCCCCAGGGGAGGCCCGGGTCTGTGCTCAGAGGCCTCCACGGACCAACGAACCAACTGGCAACTGAACTGCCGAACGCACGCCGCACGCCGAGGCCTGAGAACCGAGAGCCTAGGGCAAAAGGGACACCGCAGCCGCCTGCTTCTCCCACAGAGGCGCGTTCCGGGGTTGCCGGGACACCGGCTCCAGTAACGCGGCGCGCAGCGTCCTGCCTGGCTCGGCTGCCGGCCCCCCTGTCTGTCACCCCCCGGCTCTCTGGCCATTGGTACAGGATGGAGGCTCCTGAGAGGTACGGAGCAAGGAGCTCCAGCCATGGCCCGGCGTCACAGGCAAGGACCGCTGCAAAAGCCACTTTGTGATTTTGGACTTTTTTTTTTTTTTTAAGAGTTGTGGTTCTTTTCCAGGCAATTTTCATTATTAGAACTGTAGGCTCTGGTAGCAGTGAAAGATGCGCCCTCCACAAAGCTTGCAGATGCCTGGTTATAATTGGCGTTGATTAGACAGGATCCACCTACCACTTACAGAGCGCCTTTTCTGGGCCAGGCGCCCTGGTGGATATTATCTTCCTTAAACAGCCAGCTGCGTTTTTCAAAATAGAAAACCAAATTTTAGCAAAGGCTTGCGCAAGGTCACCCAGAAAACAGATTCATTTCTAAGTTTCCTCATTCCAAATCCACCACTCTTTCCATCATATTGACTTAAATTTGTCTTCCTCATCCTTTCCAGTATCTAATAAATCTTGCATAGAAAGCTTTTCTCCAAGTCTAGTTTAAGTCCCTAAATTCGTGTTTAGACCAAGTTTTCCCTTCTTTTGTTACTGATTATAAGAGAAATAAATGGTCATTATAGAAATATTGGAAAATATGGAAAAGTATTATTAATATCCATGATCTCACCATACAGAAGTTAAATACTTTTTTCCTGGATAGCTATTGCTATATAACAAATCACCCTCAAACTCTGTTGTTTTAAACAACAACATTCATTTTTAATTTCTGATCCTGGTCGTTGGCTAGGCTAAGCTAGGCTGTTCATGCTTGGGGTCTCTCACAGGGTCTCAGTCAGAGGTCACAGAGGAGCTTCCTCACTCATGTGTCTGGTGATTGATGCTGGTTGTCAGTTGAGGTCAGCAGGGTTAGCGCCAGTTCACCCATGTGTGGCGTTTCCATGTGCTTTCTCACACCAGTGTCTGAGTTTCCAACGTGAGCATCCCAGGAGGACCAGGCAGAAGTTGTATTGCCTCCATAGTCACAAATGCATGGAGAGGGAACTTAGATCACACCTCTCCATCATGGTCATACTGTATGAAGAGCACAGGGGACAGGGGATCTTGTGGCCCTCCTAGAAAATACAATCTCCCCTACTGATATTTAGGGGTTATTCCTTGTCCTTTTTCTATGCACATGTATGTCATATACCCCTAGTGATTTACACCCCTGCTGATATTTAGGGGCTCCTTCCTCTCTACCCTTTTTCTGTGCACAAATATGTTAACATATTATAGATAGATAGATAGATAGATAGATAGATAGATAGATAGATAGATATAGATATAGATATCTCTTGTATTGGGCTTTTAAAATTTAAGATTATAGTTGATGGCTGGGGCTGTGGCTCACGCCCATAATCCCATAATCCCAGCACTTTGGGAGGCCGAGGTGGGTGGATCACTTGAGATCAGGAGTTCAAGACCAGCCTGGCCGTCATGATGAAACCCGTCTCTACTAAAAATACAAAAAAAAAAAAATTAGCCAGGCGTGGTGGCAGGCACCTGTAATCCCAGTTATTTGGGGTGCTGAAGGAGAACTGCTTGAACCCGGGGGGCAGAGGTTGCAGTGAACTGAGATCATGCCACTGCACTCCATCCTGGACAAGAGAGTGAGACTCCATCTCAAAAAAAAAAAAAAAAAGTTGGCCCTCCATATCTGAGGGTTTTGGATCCACAGATATGACCAACTACAGATTAAAAATATTCAAAAAATATATAAAAATTTAAAATAATACAGATAAAAACAGCAAAGTATAGCAACAATTTACATAGCATTTACATTGCTTTAGGTATTATAAATAATCTAGGGATGATTTGAAGTACCGTACAGGAGGATTTGCATAAGTTATATGCAAATACTATGCCATTTTGTAAAAGGGACTTGAACATCCTTGATATGCTCAAGATTTTGGTGTGGGAGGGGAGTCCTAGAACAAATCCCCCAGGGATACAGAAGGATGGCTGCATATCCTGAGCATTTCCCCTTATTGAAGTTAAAAAAACATGTTATCTCTTTATCCCACGGTAGGAGAGGTAACAGTTATTTAATAGAAATGTTAGCTGGGCAACAGCATAGTTAGTTATTAATGGCTTGACTCAAGAGGCTGCCTCACCAGGAAGGCAGAGATTTTTGTCTATTTTGTCCACTGCTGTATGCCAAGCAACTAGCACAGTGCCTGGCACATATAAATGCTCAATAACCATTTATTTAATGAATGAATAAATGAGTGAGTGGGTGGGTGGGTGGATGGATGATTACAATGGTCTGAGCTGAGCCCCTCCCTCTCTTGCTTGCATCCTCCTAGGAGGAAAGAGTCCAGGTTTCTAACCTGAACCACCAGGTTCCAAGACATCAAGATCTATCTGTTGGTCAGGTGATTTTGCAAGGCAGGCGAGTGAATCACAGAAGGGAAACTTTCTCATCCTTAGTGAGTCCTGTGAACTGTGACTCACAAGCCTTCCCTTACTCTGCAGCTTAAAACCTCCCAGGCCACCTTGCCCTCACTCCTTGGGCAAGTTTTAGATGCCTGTCGCACCAGGCCTGCCCTGGCAGCTGTGCCCAAGGTTTGGCGAGGCACTGGAGCCAGCTAAAGTGTTCTCAAGGCCGTGGAGCTGCCTCTGATCAGCTTGGCCCCAACGCACAGCCAGTGTTTTCCCAGGATTGGCACCTGAAGCTTCCTGTGCACAGCAGCCCCACAACCAGAGTTCAGCAGCAGAGGCGAGGGGAGGATGCTAGATGTCCCCAGAAGACTGAGGTTCCTGAAGGTCCCAGAAAATCTTGCCTGTATAGCCGGGAGGGTGAGCACAGTTGGGCAAGAAGAAGGCCTTCCTCAGTGTTCCCTTGCCGTCCCCTGTCTGAGCACCCCAAACCAAGCCCAGCCTGGAGGTTACTGCAGCACCTGTGCAGGAACATGGAGGCCTGATGCAGGGAGGGGCGGTGGTCCCAGGTCCTTAAGGTCAACTCAACTGTTTCTCCAGCTTTAGGGCCCTCCTTTCAGCTTTACAGTCCGGGATCCTGATGTTCCACAAGCCTGGCTCTCCTGGGTCTGAATGAGCTCAGGAAACCTGGGGCTCCAGGCCAACACAAACACGCACAGGGTTTACGTGTGAAGTTTTCCACTGAACTATATAAAATTTCTGGTTATGTAGGTGAAACATAGTTGCATATCAGCAAATTTATGTTATTCAACTTAATCATGAAGGACAAATACTTCTAGCAGGTTTCATGGTGAGGCCAGAGGAGGGTGGGCTGAACTTTAACCCCCTCCCTTCCCCTTTGCTCCTTCTCCCTGAAGGACCCCACTTCGCTTTCAGTAGCTGGGAGCTTGTCTCTGGGAAGGAATGATAGACAGTGAGGCGGGGGTGGAAGCAGGGGGCCAGGCACTGGATAGGAACCGTTGGTTCTGGTTCTCCCCTGGCTCCCCCAACCCCAGACCCTTGAGAGCAGCTGGGGCAGCCATAAGAATCAAGAGCCCAGAGATTAGAGGAAACCAGACAGCAGAGGGAGAAAGATAAACTCAAATAAACTCTACCCCATTCCTCTTGAGTCTTGGCAGGACAAAAAGTGCCTGCTGGAGAAAGAAACTTGAGCCTAGAAGGATGGTATTATTTAATTGCCTAGGGTCAGAGACATTGGTAAAAAAAAAAAAAAAGCCTCGAGTTTGGTAAGCCTCAAGAGCTACAAGCTAAACTGGGTGAGGAGGGCGTCTTAAACACCACTTCTCCTCGAAAGAGCACTGCAGGCTGTCCCTATAGGGGAGCCTCTCTTCCCCAATGTCAAGGAAAGGTCACCCAGCAGAAGCCCTCATTTAACGCGCGTGTCCCATAAGTGTGCACCAGAGGGCAGTATAAACCCAGGTATGGAAAACGGGATGCGCTCATAGATTGTCTACAGTTGACTTCAAGTAAGGGGCATCACAGAGCCTTGTATAAAGACAGCGCTAGGGAAATAGGTGTTGAGTGGATTACTGACACACGGCCACCGTCAGAACCCTTCAATGGTAGGCAGAAGAAGCCTGGCAAAGATAGGGGAGAGAGAGCATTTGCTACCTCAGAACTGACTAACATGGCCAGCTCCCAAATAGCCAGAGGGCCTCCCCATCAGTTCAGGCCAGGAAACAATGACCAGACACCTGCTATGTTCCAGGCACTGTGCTAGGTACAAGAATTTAAAGGTGAGTAAAACACAGTCCTTTCCCTGACTGAGTTCCCCTGATAGCTTTGCCCATCTCTTTACATTTGTTTATCTCATTTAATCCCAACCACAGTGAAGTGCTAGTAGAATCATCCTCTGTTTACAAATGAGGAAAGACAGACTCAGAAGGCAGAAGTAACTCATCCCACCACCGTAACTGGCAAAGCTGGAGTTTAAATCCAGTCTCTTTAGATTCAGAGCCTAAGCTTTCACCACTGTGCCAGAGCCTTCTTATATGTGCCCTCAGCAATGAGCAGGTCCGTTTGTCATCTCAGTACTGGCCAGGCTGTCAGGGCTACATCCTAGGCTGCCAGACCGCCTGGGAGAGGCCTGGGAGGACGCTTGTCCCAGAAACACAAAAGTCCCTTTGGACTTGGATTTCTGAGTAACATAAATCAATGACTAAGATTTTAAAATGTGTGTAACCTATGTAATATATAAAACAGACATGCAGAGTAAGGACAGCAGCTTCTGTGAGTGGAATGCCTATACTCTACAGAACAGGAAAGGAAAAGGCTGAATTACGTGAGGTTGAAGTGGAATTCCTTCAATATGAGGTTTAACCCAATATGGACTAGGAAGTCACTGCAGATCTCTCATCAGAGGAATGATGAGGCAAAAATGGCATATGCTGCCCATCCTTGTATCCCTCCCAGGTCCACTCCCACTGTCTCCACCTTGTTTTGTGCCTGCCTGGGAGGTTGGCCTATGTGGACTGCACCCCCCAAATCCCATAGAGGCACCCCCAAATCCCATAGAGGAAGGCAGGGAGGGAAGTGAAGTCAGGGTATTTACCCCTCAACCCCTAGCTCCTGTCCTGTTGGCCTCAGTTGTCTATGCCCCTCCCCTTAGGGCCACGGCCCCTGTCAGGGGTGGGCTCCACACAGCTCTCTTTGGGGACTACTGACTGCTTCCTTCCCTGGACCTTGCAGGCCTAGGAATAGAAGTGACTCCCAGCTGTTACAGCCCTGAGGCATTGCCCCATTCCCTGCTGCTTTTCCTAAACCCCACCTTCACCTCTGTAAATAGTGCCTTTATTATACCCTGCAGTTACTCAGCTGGAGGGTGCCATTTCTTTCTTAGTAGAACCCTAGAGCTCTAGGGAGATTAGTCTGATGAGGTGGGAAGGCTGCTGTCTGAGGAAGAGGGCCAGGCAGAAGGCACTTAATGGATATGAGAAGCCAACCAAACAGAGGAGGCAAAGACAACCCCAAGACTTACGGCCTGAGGACACCAAGTCTTGGAAAAATAGATCTAATTTTACATGGGTCTCTGTGTGAACTGGAGAGGAAAGAGGGTTAGCAAAAGAAATGGTTAAGCTGGTTTCAGCTAGGCTGAGAGTGGGAGATGTTGGCCTACCAACAGGAAGTTGAATGAACTTTTTCTGGTGCCTGAAATTGGTACCTGGGGCTCCAAGTTGGAGACGAAGAGGCATTAAATAATCCATATTCTAAAGAGAACGAACATTCATCCACAGAAGGCCAGACTATTACTGGAGCCTATTAAGAGGCTGCCAAATCTCTGAACATTGCTGAATATTTGTTACTTTTGCAGAAAAAATAAGCAAATAAATGTTATTGTGGTCTTCAACCCAGCCAATACTGTGAAAATAAGCATTATGACGTTATAAGAACAAGCGCAGTCTTCAGAATCAAACTTCCCGAGCGCAAATCTTGCCACTCCTGCTTACCAGCTGTCCACTCTAGGTAAGTTATTCAGCCCCTGTGAGCCTCAGTTTCCTCATCTGTAAACGGAGATCATAATAGTACTTCCCTCATAAGGTTGAGAGGATTCATGAATAAATACATGTCACTTAGAATGACAGGCACATGGTAGGAAGTCAATAACTGTGTGCTTTTGTTATGAAGAGCAATTCCTTCTATGACTGATTTATATAATAAAGAAGTACAAACACTCAACTCTGATGCAAGAGGACCTGTACAGTATTTGGCTTGTTCTCTTGGGGAAGAGTGGAGGAGAGAAACCAATAGAAGAAATTTCATTCTTGCAAGTTGTTAAAGAGCTAAAGGTTCTTGGGGAAGAAGTGAGATCATCTCCTTACCGTGCTCATCATGAACTCTGAGAGGAGGGTGGCTACATCCTCCTGCATCTTCACTCAGATTTGAACCAGGACCAGGGACAGACTGAAACCCTCCAGAAGGGCCAGCTTTTAGAAGACAATGGGGAAGACTGCCTCCTGAGAGAGACGGGCTTCTCCACACAAACTCTAAGAAAAATGCAAAAATGGCTAGGTAGGGAGCTCATTGGCCTTGGAAATTCTCCCCTAAAAAAAAGAGTGCAAGGCAGAACTAGGGCAAGATTCTATGGTAGGTTAGGAAAAGAAATGCAAGTTAGCATGGCAGGATCTTCCTGGTTTAAAAAGCCCCAGCTGTTGTTTTGTTGAAGGTCATATGATCCATTTCACAAACCACAGGTGCAGCAGAGGGGTCACCTAGCTCATGGTGGAATTGCCAACTATAAAATAGCATTTCCACAGCCCAAGCTGGTGGCAAGAGGTAGCATGCTGCTGAGCTCTGCCATCTGCTCTTTCAGGTCCACCTCCACTTTTCTTTCCCCCTACAAGCATAAGAATAGACAGATTTCCCGAGAAACAGAGAAAGGGGAAAGAAAACAAAAGCCAGCAGGTTGGCTGATGTGGGCTGAGGAACAAATGGTGGAAGTCAGATTTCTGCTCAGGGTATTGCCAAGGAGAGATCTGTAAGAAATGGACATGTCTTGTTTTTCTGAGCCTAGATATTTCTTAAAAGTAGAAGGCCGAGTGCAGTGGCTCACGCCTGTAATCCCAGCACTTTGGGAGGCCAAGGCGGGTGGGTCACCTGAGGTCAGGAGATCAAGACCATCCTGGCCAACATCATGAAACCCCGTCTCTACTAAAAATACAAAAAATTAGCTGGATGTGGTGGTGCGTGCCTGTAATCCCAGCTACTCAGGAGGCTGAGTGCGACAGTCTATTTGCTGGGACTTCGACTTTTTTTTTAGACGGAGCCTCACTCTGTCGCCAGGCTGAAGTGCAGTGGTGCAATCTCTGCTCACTGCAACCTCTGCTACCTAGGTTCAAGCGATTCTCATGCCTCAGCCTCCCGAGTAGCTGGGATTACAGGCACGCACCACCACATCCAGCTAATTTTTTGTATTTTTAGTAGAGATGGGGTTTCACCATGTTGGCCAGGATGGTCTTGATCTCCTGACCTCAGGTGATCTGCTCGCCTCGGCCTCTCAAAGTGCTGGGATTACAGGCGTGAGCCACTGCGCTCGGCCTTCTACTTTTAAGAAATATCTAGGCTCAGAAAAACAAGACATATCCATTTCTTACTGAACGCCAGATATCAGTCTCATTACAAAATGGCAGCATAAGTTGTGCATGGTAGCACATACCTGTAGGCCCAGCTACTCAGGAGGCTAAGGCAGGAAGATCACTTGAGCCCAAGAGTTCAAGGCCAGCTTGGGCAACATAGCAAGACCCCAACTCAAAAAAAGAAAAAAGAAAAGAAATGGTGACATAGCTATTGATGCTAATTAATGGTGGGCTTCACTCTGTGCCAGGCATTGTGTCAGAGGCTCCCCGCATTAACTCTTTGTAACAGTCCTGTGGGGATAGGTACTGTTATTATCCCCATTACCCCCTAGCCTGCGTTTGGAGAGATTAAGTAGCTTCCTCAAGGTCACAGGACCTTTCAGAGCCCTGCTCACACCAACATGGCCTGGAAGTTCTGCTTCGGAGGGCTGGTTCCCTGTACTAATGACTGTGTAGAGTTAGGGAGCTCCCAGCTAGTGATGCCAATACCCATTCAGCAGCGTTCTCCTTAGATCTCACATGCCCCACCTTTCCATTATTGTTCCATTGACATAGCATGACTATAAGCCCAGGTTGACCCCATAACTGGAAATCCTGACCCTGTTAGGAGTCAAACTTCTACTCTCTGGAAGCCTCCTGGATATTGGCAACACTGAACAAAGATACCAGAAAGGCCCAGTACTCTGCAGAGGCACAGAGGAGGGGTGTGTGGGGAGGGGGGCTGCCACTCCATCCAGGCTCTGTTGGGCTGCAGTGCAGTATTCCTTTCCTCCATCCTCTCCACCTTGTTCCTGCAGGCCCTTCCCCACATGCTGTCTGCTCAGATCCCACCATCACTTCCGTATCGACTCACACATCAGCCACCTACTTCACTTGCCCTTTTACTCTTGGCTTCTGTATTTTGGCCTTTGTATTACTCAGCTATTGCAAAAATAATGTTGTGTAACAAACTACCTCAAACTCAGTGTCCTACAACAACGAACACCTATTTTGCTCACTCACGAGTCTGGAGGTCAGCTAGCATCAATCTGCTTCAGGCTAGACCTGGTCAGCTAAGCCTGGCTTCAGACTGCAGCTCAGATCCAGGTTCGCTCCCTGGGATTTATCTCATTCCCTAGGGATCAGCAGCAGCTCCCTAAGGCCTGTTCTTCTCATGTCAAATGGCATAGCACACGATGGGTGGGTGAAAACACATCATGTCTCTTGAGGCCTGTGTCTGAATTGCTGCACTGCCACTTTTGCTCATATTCTGTTGGCCAAAGCAGGTCACATGGGAAAACTCAAAATCAGTGAGGTGAACACATAGACTCCATCTGCACACGTGGGAGATAATGCAAAGTCACGTGGCGCAGAGAGTGGCTGTATTGTTCTAACACAGGGAGGCTGTGATGAGTGGAGGACGATTATTGAGTCCTGTGAATTTCATCCATCCTCAACGTTCCTCCAAGACACCCATGAGGTCAGGAAGCCCTTGGTTCTTGTTACTTTGCAAATGGAGGGAAAACGCCTTCCTCTTCAGTCTTCTGCAGCTCCAGAGAGGAACTTGTGGTCCACATTTATGACGACTGGACTGCTCGCTGGTTCGTTGTGGGCTTTGGAGGGAGACAGGCCCAGCTGCAGGACTGGCCATTTCCTCCAAACCAAATGTCATCGTGATTTCCAGGCTCTGGAGTGAGAAGTGGACATGTTCTCCCAGCACACTTCAATCTTGTCAAATTTCCATTCTGCTCTTTCATTTTCCAGAAATACTCTAAAACAGATGTGCCTTTCTCTCACATGAAAAAGGCCTTTAAAAGCCCCAGATGTTCCTTATTCAGCTAAACAGGATTCAGGAGATTATTCAGCTAAAACAGATTTAGGAGAAGGGGTAATGGCAGGAAAGAAGCAGAACTGCGTAATTAACACTTTTTCTTTTTCCAAACAGAGGCTGTTTTGAATACAAAACCTACCTATTTAGGAAGAAATCTTTCAGAGGAGATGAAGAGGAAAAATTCAGAAATCATCACTAGTAGAAGCAGCATCCTTCAAACATAGCTTCCATTTGTTCTGAGAGATGGTGTTCACAGCACCACTGGGCTCTTAACCGAATCCACTTAAGTGGAAGGAATCCACTTATTACTGTGACGGGCAAGAGGAGTTAACTGTGAAGCTGGCAGCTCCTCCTGCTCACACTGGAGACTGCGGTCCGACATGGAAACATTAGCTGCATCACAGTTTCTCACAGTAATGACAGGAAATGAGAGAAAAATCCCTGTGCACAGTCTTCAAGGCAGCGTAGCTGGCTGGGGACCGTCATCACATGGCTTAACACTAATACACTTAGGCCAAATAAAGAGAAACAGGAGGCACATGATGTCAGGTGCTCAGGGTCACAGCTAGTGACTCATGACCACATATAACGTATCTGGAATAGTCAGATTGATGGAGGCAGAAAGTAGAATGGTGGGTGCCAGGGGCCGTGGGGAGGGGAATGGGGACTTCATGTTTAATGAGTACAGAGCTTCAGTCGAGGTGATGAAAAAGTTCTGGAGATGGATAGCAGTGATGACTACACAACAGTGTGAGTGTACTCAATGCCACTGAATTGTACACTTAAAATTGTTAAAATGGGGCCAGGAGTGGTGGCTCATGCCTGTAATCCCAGCTACTCAGGAGGCTTCGGCAGGGAGAAATGCTTGAACCCAGGAGGCGGAGGTTGCAGTGAGCCGAGATCGCGCCACTGCACTCCAGCCTGGGCGACAGAGCAAGACTGTCTCAAAGACAAAAACAACAACAACAAAAAATCGTTAAAATGGCAAATACTGTGTTATGTATATTTTACAACTACATAAATAACATTTTTGAAAGTCCATGACCCCCAGAAAATGCATCCAGCAATTCACCTGTGCATTTTTCTGCACATATGTTATACTTCAATGACAAGTTTTAATATGGTAGAGAAATAAATATAAAAATGAGAGCTAGAAATAAGTGCTATGAGGCCGGGCACAGTGGCTCATGCCTGTAATCCCAACACTTTGCGAGGCCGAGGCAGGCGGATCACTTGAGTCCTGGAGTTCAAGACCAGGCTGGCCAACATGGCAAAATCCCATCTCTACTAAAAATACAAAAATTAGCCAGGCGTGGTGGCAGGCGCCTGTAATCCCAGCTGCTCGGGAGGCTGAGGTACAAGAATCACTTGAACCCAGGAGGCGGAGGCTACAGTGAGCCAAGATCACGCCACTGCACTCCAGCCTGGGTGACAGAGTGAGAATCTGTCTCAAAAAAAAAAAAAAGAAAGAAAAGAAAGAAGTGCTATGAAGAAAATGAAATAGTGTAAGGGCATGGAGAATAAAGGAAGGGGAAGCAGGACGCAGGGCACAGTGCTCAGAAGGTTGTGTTATGAATTTAATTCTCTCTTCTAAGAACACCAGGAAGCAATTTTATACTCTCTTTTTTTTTTGTAGGCAGAGATTAGATTAAAATTCAAGCACTTAGTATGGTATGTATAGTAATTACAGCTCAATATATTTATCTATTATGTCAAAGAGGACAATGTTAACACATTCAGGGTTACATTTATGTTAAATAGAGGCCTTCTCATTTATCATTAAATTTTCATTTCAGCAAAATTCAAGAGCTTTTTCTTTCAGTATTTTATTTGTTCTATTTTATTATCTTTTTTCACTTGGTCACAACATTTTGCATGAAAAGCAAATGTGATAAATACATCTTTGTTGAAAGCCAAGTGAAAAGCATCTGTATATATGTATATATGCATGTACATATGTATTAGTCCGTTTTCACACTGCTGATAAAGACATACCCGAAGGCCAGGCGCGGTGGCTCATGCCTATAATCCCAGCACTTTGGGAGGCCGAGGCGGGCAGATCACAAGGTCAGGAGATTGAGACCATCCTGGCTAACATGGTCAAACCCCGTCTCTACTAAAAATACAAAAAAATAAAAAATAAATAGCTGGGCATGGTGACACGTGCCTGTAGTCCCAGCTACCTGGGAGGCTGAGGCAGGAGAATCACTTGAACCTGGGAGGCGGAGGTTGCAGTGAGCCAAGATCATGCCACTGCACTCCAGCCTGAGTGACAGAACGAGACTCCTTCTCAAAAAAATGGACTCATAGTTCCATATGGCTGGGAGACCTCACAATCATGGCAGAAGGTGGAAGGCACATCTTACATGGTGGCAGAGAAGAGAGAATGAGAGCCAAGCAAAACAGATCTCCCCTTATAAAACCATCAGATCTCATGAGACTTATTCACTACTACGAGAATAGTATGGGGGAAACAACCCCCATGATTTAATTATCTTCCACCAGGTCCCTCCCACAACATGTGGGAATTATGGGAACTACAATTCAAGGTGAGATTTGGGTGGAGACATAGCCAAACCATATCACATATATGGGTATATGCATAATATACATACATATGTGTGTATACACACACACACTCTTTATGTAAAATAATGCAATTTTCCTTAAAATATAATTTTAGGCAATTTTCCTAAAAGTCCATGACCATATACTTCTGGATTTTGGCTTTGACTTACGGCTGAGTCAGAATCAGACCCAGGTCTGAACTCTGGAGACTAGAGAGGTAAGGAAAAAGTTTGGGGTGAGACACCAAGGATGCCAGCCTCAAACCACATTTCAGGGAAAGAAAATTCTCATGACTGACCCTAGTCTACCTTTATCTTTCCTTGCTTCTCCTCTGCATTCTACCATCTTTTACCCCAACTACCAGAATCCGGACTCTCTTTCTGAGTGAATACGCTCTAAGGAAAAGAGCATGTCATATATCTTTCAGACATCAATATTTCTGTGAGACTGCTCCAAGGTAATTAATTACTGACTTTCTTTCACCGTCTGGCAAGTGCCATCTAATACCTTCTATTGATCATTCCCCACAGCCCCCTGCTTGGGCAAGGGTAACATCATCGTCTTCAGACCTGACAACCAGAGTTAAATAATTTGTCTGTCCTCTATCTGCCTGTTATTGAGGATGACAGTGAGTGAGCTCCTGCTTCCGTGAGCACTGTTTTAACTCCCCAAGGCCCCTGGCTGCTCCTTCAGCTTTTATCGCTGCTTAAAGATGAAGGAAGAGACGCTATCAGCTAAGGACCCTTCATAATCCTGGATGATATATCCTAGGTAATGTCTGCTTACCTACAGACATTGCACCTACAGTGCAAGAGAGCACATTGGCCACCCAAAAGTTCGCCAGAACCTGTCCCATGGGTGCAAGGAGCTTGGAACAAGAAGGAAACGGGGTAACTCAAGATGTTAGTTAGTTTCATGGGTCACGTGTCTCTAGGAAGAGAGAAGCCTCTGGATCTGGATGGGCTTTTCAATTCCAACTTCCATAAAACACACGTACTCCTTTCTTTAAGGAAAACTCAACTTGTCTTCGGCCTTAGGACTCTGTTTGGCCATCTCTCCAAAGAGCCTTCCCTGATGCCCTAAGCTGGGGCTGGATTCTGTGCTCCACCATCCCTGATCATCTGCATGCTCATCTGTCGGTGTCCCCCACACCCCAGTGACTGAGAGCTTTCTGAGGGCAAGGGCTCTATCAGCCTTGCCTGGCGCATAATAGCCATTCCATAAACATTTGTGGAACTGAATTGAATTTACATGCTCCCTTTATTGTATCCATCAAATAAAGTATACCTCCTTTTATTATCATCATTAAGGAATTTTCCAGAGATATTTCCAAAGAATTAAAGTTGCCCCTATTAGGACTCAAAGCTTGTTTGTTATTGAATTTCTAAATGCTTTGAATAATTCCTTGACTTGTTAATATAAAGTAGCCTTTCTTTCATGCCCTGGGATAAATTCATTGGCTTGTGAGTTTGGCTGCTATCACAGAGATTTAAAGCATCTTAAACAGAAGAGTTTATTTCTTTCACATGTAATAATGCAGGAATAGATAGTCCAAGGCATCCGTGGTAACTCCACGGGGTCGGAACCCAAGCTCTTTCCAACCTCTTGCTCTGCCACCCCTGGGTGTTACCTTTCTTAGCGCTCTGATGTGGGGAAAAGCAAGAGAGATCAGATTGTTACTGTGTCTGTGTAGAAAGAAGTAGACATAGGAGACTCCATTTTGTTCTGTACTAAGAAAAATTCTTCTGCCTTGAGATGCTGTTAATCTAGAACCTTACCCCCAACCCCGTGCTCTCTGAAACATGTGCTGTGTCCACTAAGGGTTAAATGGATTAAGGGCGGTGCAAGACGTGCTTTGTTAAACAGATGCTTGAAGGCAGCATGCTCGTTAAGAGTCATCACCACTCCCTAATCTCAAGTACCCAGGGACACAAAAACTGCGGAAGGCCGCAGGGACCTCTGCCTAGGAAAGCCAGGTATTGTCCAAGGTTTCTCCCCATGTGATAGTCTGAAATATGGCCTCGTGGGAAGGGAAAGACCTGACCGTCCCCCAGCCCGACACCCGTAAAGGGTCTGTGCTGAGGAGGATTAGTATAAGAGGAAGGCATGCCTCTTGCAGTTGAGACAAGAGGAAGGCATCTGTCTCCTGCCCGTCCCCGGGCAATGGAATGTCTCGGTATAAAACCTGATTGTACATTCCATCTACTGAGATGGGAAAAACCACCTTAGGGCTGGAGGTGGGACATGCAGGCAGCAATACTGCTTTGTAAAGCATTGAGATGTTTATGTGTACGCATATCTAAAGCACAGCACATGATTCTTTACCCTATGATGCAAAGACCTTTGTTCACGTGTTTGTCTGCTGACCCTCTCCCCACTATTGTCTTGTGACCCTGACACATCCCCCTCTCGGAGAAACACCCACGAATAATCAATAAATACTAAGGGAACTCAGAGGCTGGCGGGATCCTCCATATGCTGAACGCTGGTTCCCTGGGTCCCCTTGTTGCTTTCTCTATACTTTGTCTCTGTGTCTTTTTCTTTTCCAAGTCTCTCGTTCCACCTAACGAGAAACACCCACAGGTGTGGAGGGGCAACCCACCCCTTCACTCTGACCCCTAAGACCACATCCCAACTCATAAAGAAGGAGAGGCAGAAGGGCAGAGCTTGTATGACCTGGCACATCTCACTTCTGCTCCTAGTCCAGGGGCCAAAAATGTATCCACATGGCCACATCCAGCAGCAAGACAGACTCAGCATCTGTGGTCTGTTGCAAAAGCTGTTCTATAACTAAAAGAGAGAAGGGAACATTGAGCATGATGGTTAATAGCATAGGCTCTGGCCCCAGGCTGCCTGAGTTCAGATTCCTGCTCTACTATTTACTGTCTGTATGATGTCCAGCAAGTCACTTCACTTCTCTCACTTTCTTCATATGTAAAATGGGAATTATAACTTACCTCATTGGATTGTTGTGAGGATTAAATAAGTATTACATATAAAGCACGTTACCTGGTACATAGTAAGTGCCCAAAAAAGGGTAGCTACTATTAATAATATAAAGGAAGTTACTGATTCCAAGGGCCCTGAGTGAGTGTGGGAAAGACCCTCCTTTGAATTGAGCTTCTCAGACTTTACGGCAGCACTTCTTGCCGCTCAGAGGCCCTTTTTGCTCACTCCCATGCTCTGGGCTGTGTCCCAGATGGCTTAAAGCCCCTGGAAGCTGGTGGGCCAAAGAAATGGAGTGCCATTGTAAATTGGATTCAACTTGAATTTGATGTTTCATCTCACTCACATCCTGCATGCATTTTTAATAGCATCTCAAAGACAATGGAGTACATTGATAGCAAATGAAAATTGCATTAAAGTTAGGATTCTTAATTCTGTGTTTACATTTCCATTCTCCAGACATCCTTACAAACAGACAGAGGGCCCATTTCAAGAAGGGATAATGGAATTCTGTGTTCTAATTTATTAAGCACTTTTCATGGAAGGGCTTCCTATCACAGGTTTCTAGACCAAAGACAGAACAACTATCTCCTTCCATAACAGCTCAAATGAAAGATGGAAGTCAGATATTCTGGTAAGTGAGCCAATTTGACTCCCAGGAGCCACAGACATCATATAACACCTGACTTTGTAGCATGTCTTCTGAAAGATAACGTTATTCTGCAAACAAAA
This sequence comes from Homo sapiens, assembly GCF_000001405.40. Lineage (NCBI taxonomy): Eukaryota > Metazoa > Chordata > Mammalia > Primates > Hominidae > Homo > Homo sapiens. Next base: position 44,326,978 of record NC_000006.12, on the reverse strand, counting down.
ATCCCACATTTAGCAAGGGGTCTAAATATCTTTAATATCTTTATGAAAGGAAAGGATTTAGTGATAAACTTACCTGTAGAATAAACAAACAAGCAAAATAAAAACAAAGCAAAGAGAAATGAAAATAATATCAAAATAATGTACCTTGACAGCAGAGCCTCATGCACATTTATTAAGATGCGGAGTCTCTGTCTCACAGTGTGGTGCTCGTCTTTGTAACTGAAATTATGTTTAATCAGGCAAAGCCACAGCCTAAAATCTCCCTCTCTTATTTCTTCCAAGGACATGGAGAACATTGTTTCATGTTATTCTATGTCTCTCTTTTTATATTTCATTTATTTAATTTTGAATGGGAAATTCATTTATATAGCTTGCAAAATCAAAAACCAAAAAAAGGCATACAGGGAAAGCCTCTCTGCCACCCCACACCCCTGGCCAGGCCCCGCCTCCACCCCCATCTCAGTTGAAACCACTGTTATTTCTTTTCTTTTTTTTTTTTTTGAGATGGAGTTTCACCCTTGTCACCCAGGCTGGAGTGCAGTGGCGCAATCTCGGCTCACGGCAACCTCCACCTCCCAGGTTCCAGCAATTCTCCTGCCTCAGTTTCCTGAGTAGCTGAGATTACAGTTACGCACCACCACACCTGGCTAATTTTTGTATTTTTAGTAGAGATGGGTTTGCCATGTTGGCCAAGCTGGTTTTGAACTCCGGACCTCAGGTGATCCCCCTGCCTCGGCCTCCCAAAGTGCTGGGATTACAGGCGTGAGCCACTGGGCCCAGCAACCACCATTATTTCTTATGTGTTCCTTCCAGAGCTACATAAGCAAATATGAGTACATGTTTTGTTTTTGTTTTTGTTTTTCATTCCTTTATTTGCAGTAGTAGCATACAATCACACCATTCTGCATGTTTTTCTTTTCAGGCTTGGAGATCTTTTCATAGCATTACATACAGACCTTCTTTATTCCAGATTTTCTCAAGGAAGGAAAAAACACTACACAAGACCCCCGGCCTTGGTCAATTCTGATGAAAAAACTGATTCTTAATTGTGAGGCCTCCAGGAAAGCTACCCAGACACTTTGCCACATGAGCTTTATTAGCTAGTCAAACGCACTGCTTAGCTAATAGGGCTGGGATTATAGATGTGTTCTTTGTGCATCTCAACCCCTCTTTCCTTCTTCCTTCCCCTTCATAGTACCAAAGCATCTCAGGTCCATGACTGGAAGGTGGTCTTCTAAACAACACAAACCCAGCATTCACAACTACAGTTAAAAAAGCTGCTTAGCCAGGCATGGTGGCTGATGCCTGTAATCTCAACTCTGTGGAAGGCTGAGACGGGCAGATCACATGAGGTCAGGAATTCAAGACCAGCCTGGGCAACATAACAAAACCCGTCTCTAAAAAAAATACAAAAATTAGCTGGGCATGGTGGCTCGCACCAGTAGTCCCAGCTACTCGGGAGGCTGAGGCAGGAGGATCACTTGAGTCCAGGTGGCAGAGGTTGCAGTGAGCCTAGATCGCCCTACTGCTCTCCAGCCTGGGTGATGGGAGTGAAACTCTGTTTCAAAAATAAAATAAAATTAAGGCTGGATGCGGTGACTCACGCCTGTAATCCTAGCACTTTGAGAGGCCCAGTTGGGTGGATCACCTGAGGTCAGGAGTTCAAAAACAGCCTGGCCAACAGGGTGAAACCCCATCTGTACTAAAAATACAAAAATTAGCTGGGCATGGTGGTGCGTACCTGCAATCCCAGCTATTCAGGAGGCCGAGGCAGGAGGATTGCTGGAACCCAGGAGGCAGAGGCTGCAGTGAGCCGAGATCGAGCCACTGCACTCCAATCTGGGCAACAGAGCAAGACTCCATCTCAAAGTAAAATGAAATAAAATTAATAAAATAAAAAAATAAAAAATAGATGTTTACCTGTCCTATAATTTCATAAAAATTGAATCATTAAGTACACACTCTTGACCAGACAAGGTGGCTTATGCCTATAGTCCCAGTACTTTGGTAGGCCAAGGCAGCAAGATTGTTTGAGTCCAGGAGTTGGAGACCTACCTAGGCAACATAGCAAGACTCTGCCTCCACAGAAAATTTAAAAATTAGCCTGGTGTGGTGGTGCTCACCTGTAATTTCAGCTACTCCAGAGGCTGGGGTGGGAGGATTTCTTGAGCCCAGAGTTCGAGGCTGCAGTGAGCCACAATAGTGCCACTGCCCTCTTGCCTGGGAGACCAAGTGAGAGCCCATCTCTAAAATAATAATAGTAATAATAATAATTAGATTTTTAAAAATAGATGTTTGGGCCAGTCTCAGTGGCTCACACCTGTAATCCCAGCACTTTGAGAGGCCAAGGTGAGTAGATTGCTTTAGCCCAGGAGTTTGAGACCAGCCTGGACAACATGACAAAACCCCATCTCTAAAAAAATACAAAAATTAGCCGGGCATTGGTGGTGTGCACCTGTAGTCCCAGCTACTTGGGAGACGGAGGAGGGATGATCGCATGGACCCAGGAGGTAGAAGTTGCAGTGAGCTGAGATCACACCACTGCACTCCAGCCTGGGCGACAGAGCAAGACCCTGTCTCAGAAAAAAAAAAAAAGATGTTTGCCTGTTCTATAACTTCTACAACTTCACAAAAATGAAATCATTAAGTATGTACTCTTTTGTGTAAGGCTTCTTTCACTGAGCATCTTTTTAGATTCATGTATATTGTGTGTATATCACTGGTTTGTTCTTATATTGCTGAGTTGTAGTTCATTGTATGAATATATCACAGTTTGTTTATCCATTCCTTTGTTGATGGACACCTGGACCGCTTCAAGTTCTTGGTTATTACAAGTAAAGTTGCTATGAACGTCCACATACTAGTCTTTTTGAAGATAGCTCTTTTCATTTCTTTTGGTGAAATACTTAGAAGAGGAATTGCTAGGTCATGGGTAATATTATTCTTGATATGGTTAGGTTTACTGCCACCATTTTGCTATTCATTTTCTGTTTGTTCTATATGTTTTTAGTTACTCTGTTCCTCCATTTGTAACTTTTTTTTGAGTTAACTAAGTAATTTTTGTAATTCAATTTTAACTTCTCTATTAATTTTTTTTTTTTTTTGAGATGGAGTCTCGCTCTGTCACCCAGGTTGGAGTGCGGTGGCACGATCTCAGCTCACAGCAACCTCTGCCTCCCGGGTTCAAGCAATTCTCCTGCCTCAGCCTCCCAAGTAGCAGGGATTACAGGTGCACACCACCATGCCCAGCTAATTTTTTGTATTTTTAGTAGAAACGGGATTTCACCATGATGGCCAAGCTGGTTTTGAACTCCTGACCTCAAGTGATCCACCTGTCTCTGCCTCACAAAGTGCTAGGATTACAGGTTTGAGCCAGCGTTCTATTGAGCCACCTTCTCTATTAATTTTTAATGATCTTTTGGCCAGGGACAGTGGCTCACACTTGTAATCCCAGCACTTTGGGAAGCTGAGGCGGACAGATTGCTTGAGCCCAGGAGTTCAAGACCAGCCTAGGCAACATGGTGAAATCCTGCCTTTACCAAAAACACAAAAATTACCTGGGCATGGTGGCACGCACCTGTAGTCCCAGCTACTAGGGAGGCTGAAGTACGAGGATTGCTTGAGCCTGGGAGGTCAAGGCTGCAGTGAGCTGTGAGTGTACCACTGTACTCCAGATGGGTAACAGAACAAGACCTTGTCTCAAAAATAAATAAATCAAATTAAAAGTTAAATTTGTAATGATATTTTGTTGCACTTTTTAAAATTGAGGTAAAATTTACATAACACTAAAATAAGCATTTTAAAGTGTACAATTCAGAGGCATCTAGTACATTCACAATGTTCTGCAACCACCACCTCTATCTAGAGCTAAAACATTTTCATCATCCCGAAATAAGACTCTGTATCCATTAAGCCACACTTCCCATTCTCTTCTTCCTCAGCACCTGGAAACCACCAATCTGCTGTCTCTGTGAATTTACCTATCCTGGACATTTCATATAAGTGAAATCATACAACATATGCCCTTTTATGTCTGGCTTCTTTCATTTAGAGTAATGTTTTCGAGGTCCATCCCCATTGTAGCACGTATCAGGATTTCATTTCTTTCTATGATTGACTAGTATTCCATTGTATGCACATACCACTTTCCATTTATCCATTCATCCACTGATGGGCATTTGGGTTGTTTCCCCCACAATGAATAGCGCTGCTCATTGCATGATTTTTTTAGTGGTTGCTGTAAAGCAGAAATTTTCAGATGTTTAGTTTCAGGTTGTGCTCCTAAAAAGTATTGAAAACCCCCAAAGAGCTTCTATGTGGGTAATATCTATTAGAAATTAAACAGGGAGGCCAGGCGCAGTGGCTCATGCCTGTAATCCCAGCACTTCGGGAGGCCGAGGCAGGTGGATCACTTGAGGTCAGGAGTTTGAGACCAGCCTAACCAATGGCGAAACCTCGTCTCTACTAAAAATACAAAAATTAGCCAGGCGTGGTGGCGTGCGCCTGTAATCCCAGATATTCAGGAGGCTGAGGCACAAGAATCGATTGAATCCAGGAGGCAGAGGTTGCAGTGAGCCGAGATTGCACCACTGCATTCCAGCCTGGGTGACAGAGCGAGACTCTGTCTCAAAAAAAAAAAAAAAAAAAAAAAAAAGGAAAGAAAAGAAAAAATTTTTAAATTAAACTGGGAATTTAAAAAATATTCATATTTAATTAAAATAATAAACCCATTACATGTTAACATAAATAACATGTTTTATTAAAAATAATATACTTTCTCCCCAAAATAGTGAGGAGAGTGGCACTGTTTTACATTTTTGTAAATGTCTTCAATTTCTGGCTTCATGAAAGATGAATTCTTTTCTTTTTTTTTTTTTTTTTTTTGAGATGGAGTCTCGCTCCCGTCATGGAGGCTGGAGTACAGTGGCGCTCTTGGCTCACTGCAACCTCCACCTCCCGGGATCAGGTGATTCTCCTTCCTCAGCCTCCCGAGTAGCTGGGATTACAGGCATGATCCACCACGCCCAGCTAATTTTTGTATTTTTAGTAGAGCTGGGGTTTCACCATGTTGGCCAGGCTGGTCTCCAACTCCTGACCTCAAGTGATCCACCTGCCTCAGCTTCCCAAAGTGCTGGGATTACAGGCAGGAGCCACCACACCTGGCCATGAAAGATGAATTCTAATATCTGCTTCTGTAATCTGTTGTAGATATGTTGTTTTGGTTGACTTATATGAAGAAAATCCAGCCTCACACAGACACATAGTGGAAAATGGGAAGACCTCGAAGACTTCCTAAATGGGCTTTGGGGACCCCCAAGGTTCTTGTACCACACTCTGAAAACCACCGCTCAGAGGATTACAAAATATATCTTTCACTTTTCAGAGTCTACCTAGAGTTAATATTACACCACTTCATGTAAAATGTAATTACTTTGCAACTGTATGGTTCAACTTCCCATTCCCATTTTGTATGTTGTAGTCATATTACACATCCTGAAGGACAGGAGCAATAAATAGAACTAACAATTGCAATTTTTTTTTTTTTTTAAGAGAGAAGTCTCCCTCTGTTGTCCAGGCTGGAGTGCAGTGATGCGATCTCAGCTCACTGCAGCCTCGACCTCCCAGGCACAAGCAATCCTCCCCGCCTCAGCCTCCTGAGTAGCTGTGGCTACAGGCACATGCCACCATGCCCAGCTTATTTTTGTGTTTTTTGTAGAGATGGGGTTTTGCCATGTTGCCAGCCTAGTCTCAAACTCCTAGGCTCAGGAGATCCACCCACCTCAGCTTCCCAAGGTGCTGGGATTACAGGCATGAACAACCAAACCCAGCCAAATTCTTTTGCTTTAAACAGTTAAATACATATTGTTTAATTGAGGAAAAAAATAGCCTTTTATATTTATCTACATACAACTTAACATTTCGAGCACTCTTCATTCCTTCCTAAAGGTTCAACTTCCTATCTGGTAGTGTTTCCCTTTAGCCTGGAGAACTCTCTTATGGTGCAATCTGCTGGTGATAAACTCTCTTAGTTTTTATCTGAAAATTTTATTCTGTCTTCTTTAATGATATTTTTGCTGGATATAGAATTTTGTGTTTACGGGTTTTTCCTTCAGTGCCTTTAAAAAAGCCTGTCTTTTGGACTCCTGTTTCCGATGTAAAGTCAGCTTAAAGATAAAATTTTCTCTGGCTAAACTAGTGACTACTTCTTTAACATAATATTTAGATGTTACACACTAACAGTCTCTTGTCTCTTTTCTCCATCCAAAAAAAAAAAAAAAGCTTCCAAAGGCAGGAGGGAGAAGTCACATATCATATACATCATTATGTTTTTAAAGTTGTGTTTTAAGGTTTGAAACAGGATACTAAGGCTATTAGATGAAATGAGCCCCAAGATGGGTAGCGTTTACAACTCAAATACTGAACAAGCTTCAGAACTTTAACCATTTCCCTGCAAGCACCCTTCTTCATGCCTACCTGACCCCCATCACACTCGGATGGCAGGACCAAAGCCTGATTATGCCCAACTATCTGCCTGCTCTGAATGTGCAAACAGTAGCTGGGCATGGATGGAGAAAATCCCGCTGTGCTAATCAGCCTCAGTTTAAATCAAGGACCTCAAATCTTAAATGAGCAGCCAACAGTGTCAGCTAATCCCTAGCAAATCACCTTCTCTTTCTAGACAGCAGTTTCATCTCTACACCTCACTGCATATTCACCAAGGAAATAGGTGCAAGAGAATGAGTACTCCCTTGCTTGCTCCTCAGCCCTACAAGCCACTGGCCTACTAGAATTAGTATCCTCCATCTCCTTCTCTCTTTTTTTTTATTTTCCAGACAGAGTCTCGCTCTGTTGCCCACGCTAGAGTGCAATGGCGCAATCTCAGCTCACTGCAACCTCCGCCTCCCGGGTTCAAGCAATTCTCCTGCCTCAGCCTCCCAAGTAGCTGGGATTACAAGCGCCCACCACCGCGCCTGGCTAATTTTTGTATTTTTAGTAAAGACGGGGCTTTGCCATATTGGTCAGGCTGGTTTCGAACTCCTGACCTCAGGTGATCCGCCCGCCTCGGCCTCCCAAAGTGCTGGAATTACATCCTTCTCTTATTATAATGGAACAAGTGTTCCTGCACATGGCAATGGCCTATCCCTCTATTTTGTACTGAATTTTATCCTTTCAAATACTTTAAAACTTTGTTCCTGCAATAATCCTTTCATTTTCTTGCTTTATCAGCTTCTTCTCTGTACCAAATCACTTCTATCTGCATACAAACAAGCCAAATGTCGCTGTTCTTAAAAATAAATAAACAAGCCATGCACAGTGGCTCATGCCTGTAATGACTTGAACCTGGGAGGCGGACGTTGCAGTGAGCCGCGATCATGCCACTGCACTCCAGCCTGGACTTTCATATCGAACACTGAATGACCTCTCCATGTAGATGTCTAATTTCAAACTTAACACGATGAAAGCAGATTTTTTATTTCCCTTCCACAGACCTGCTCCTTCTCCAGGCTTTCCCGTCTCAGTGAATGGCACCACCACCCACACTGTTATTCAGGTCATAAACTTAGAAATGAGTCTTCTCTCCCTTTCTCTGCATCCCATCCATTGGCAAATATAGCCCTACCCTCACATGCAGCCTGAATCTAACCATTTCTCATCTTCACAGCTGCAATCCTGTCCATCATCTCTCTGCAATCCTGTCCATCATCTCTCTCCTAGACAACATCAGCAACAATGCCTAATAGGCATTGTTGCTTCCACAATGACCCCCATAATCAACTGTCCCTTGGTGGAAGGATCTTTCAAAAGCATAAATCAGATCATGTCGCTCCCCTGCTTAAAATCCTCTAACGAACCATTTTATCTGTAAATATATATTCCTCCTGTCTCTGTCCTCTATAAAAATCTGGAAACAATGACTGACCCAGTAGCAATAAGTATTGCTAGCACCTAGATTGTAGTGTTGAATTACCTTCTCCCTAATATTAAAAGGAGCTGGGACTTTTGTACATGGCTGATTCCAGGACTGGGGCAAAAAAATGGACAAAACGAGCCAGAAATATCTTGCCATAACAGAAAGCAAGGAATCTATCAAAGATTACTAGAGTCATGTCAAAGGGACTCAGAAGGCAAATCAAAAAGATTCCCACTAACCAAAGATGGGACACTTTGAGCTTTAATGGACACAGCACTGTAATTGCAATGGACTGGAACCATCAAATAGGCTGAAATCCATGACTTCACAATGATGCTGAAAATACAATAATAGCTCACTTTTGGAGAGTGATAGAAACAAATCCATTATCTTGAACACTGATAACTGAAGGGGGCAAAATCAAGCATGTAGCCTTTTCTACATTAACTATACCACTGATTAACAAATAATTGATTAGGGGAAGCATCTCTTCATAAAAAGACTCCGATTAATAAACGAAAAAGAGATGACAGAATTAACATATCACCATGTTGCACCTTCCAGTGCGTTAACAGATGTAGGCATTATGTTATCGGGGCTGCTAGGATCACAGAAATACAGACAACCATACATTGATGTACCCTCTGGTGAAGGGGTATCTATGGTCTTGCCAAAGAGATTCAAAATTGTGTCTAATCAAATCTCCACATCCAGGTGCTAATTTGCATGAAATAGAGAAGACAGAGGAACATGTTGAATGTGAGTTGAATGTCGAATATGGAGTCAGCAAAAACTTAGACTGTGGGAAACCACAGATCAAATCTCCGTAGCTAAGCAGTAGATACACTGTAAGGAAAAGGATGGAGATGGAACCTATTGATAAAAAGACTTAAAATATCAAGTCGATACGCTTTTTTAAAAAACGTGCAAGACTATAACATCTAAGGATGTACATTTGGGTGATAAACTGTAAAGAAATGCAATGCAGGCTGAACTCGGTGGCTCACACCTGTAATCCCAGCACTTTGGGAGGCTGAGGTGGGTGGATCACCTGAGGTCAGGAGTTCAAGACCAGCCTCGCCAACATGGTGAAACCCCATCTCTACTAAAAATACAAAAATTAGCCAAGCGTGGTGGTGGGTGCCTGTAATCTCAGCTACTCAGGAGGCTGATGCAGGAGAATTGCTTGAACCTGGGAGGTGGAGGTTGCAGTGAGCCGAGATTGTACCATTGCACTCCAGCCTGGGCAACGAGACTGAAACTCTGTTTCAAAAAAAAAAAAATGCAGTGATTACTATGAAAGTCAGGGTAATGGTCACCTTTGGGAGAAGGAAGCTGGTTGGGGGCAGGGCAGAATCCATGGAGGGGCCCTGGGGTGGCTGCAAAGTTCTATTTCAAGACCTGGGTAGTGGATACAAAGATGTCTGCCTTTGAATCAACAACATTGAAACAAGTCAACATTTGTTTTGGTTGATTTTCTGCATCTACGTTTTATGGTGTGATTTTTAAAAAATCTCTATTGCAGTGTTTGGCAAACTTTTTTTGAAAAGCCACGTATTAAATATTTTAGGCTTTCCAGGCCAAGAGGCAAAATCGAAGTTGTTATGTAGGTATTTCTTTTTTTAGTATTTATTGATCATTCTTGGGTGTTTCTCGGAGAGGGGGATGTGGCAGGGTCATAGGATAATAGTGGAGAGAAGGTCAGCAGATAAACACGTGAACAAAGGTCTCCGGTTTTCCTAGGCAGAGGTCCCTGCGGCCTTCTGCAGTGTTTGTGTCCCTGGGTACTTGAGATTAGGGTGTGGTGATGACTCTTAACCAGCATGCTGCCTTCAAGCATCTGTTTAACAAAGCACATCTTGCACCGCCCTTAATCCATTTAACCCTGTTTCAGAGAGCACGGGGTTGGGGGCAAGGTTCTAGATTAACAGCATCCCAAGGCAGAAGAAATTTTCTTAGTACAGAACAAAATGGAGTCTCCTATGTCTACTTCTTTCTTATGTAGGTATTTCTATAACCAGTTAAAATGTTTATCTTGGAGACCGAGGCATGAGGAATGCTTGACACCAGGAGTTCAAAACTAGCCTGGGCAACATAGCAAAACCCTATCTCTTTCAAAAATAATAAAAATAAAATAAAAATAAATAAAATGTAACTACAGTATTTTTTTAATGCATGAGGATAAACCTCTAGAATTGAGGCCCTCAAGGGTCCACCAATACTTGAATTCCTGATCCGGGGGCTCCACCAGCCATCGGCGTGCCCTGATGACTTTGCCAGATTCCCATGGTAACCGCTCCCCTTCCACCCTGGTCCACATTAACCTCCACGGCTCTAAGCCACAGGCGGACGCAATCACCACCCTCACTTCCCTAAGAAGCTGGGGGAAGGAAGGGGGCGAGCGCTCTTGCGCACGATGAGCTCCCAGCTACACCCACCTACTCTGGGTGAGCACCCCTCCCAGGAGAAAGGGAGAACCTAAGGGCACCTGAGTCTTAGGCCCCAGGACCAGGCAAAAGAACGTTTCCTAAAGCCTGTGTCCAGACTCCCCTCACAAGTCCTTTACTACACCCTTGTCACTCAAGGTATGGTCTAGTAGACTAGCAGCAGCAGCAGCATCACCGGGAGCCTGCTAGAAATGCAGAATTTCACCTACTCCAGACCTACTGGATCATAGTCTGCATATGTAACAAGATCGCAGGAGATCCATATGCATATTAATGTTTGGCAAGTGTTGGTTGCTTTCACAATCCAGATAAGCCAATGCCATAAATAAACACATCAAATCAGAAACACCTGTCGTAGGCTGACTTTTTAACCTAGACGCTAAAAGACTGTTTTTATGATTTATAAGAGGAAATTCCCAAAGTTGAGTTCCCCATGCTTAGTAAGAGTGAAAATTCCCTTTGTCTTCTCTGACCATCAATCCAGGACAGAATGTCTCACTGATCTTGGGGTCCTGCTCTCAAAGCCAATCGGGAAATCAGAAAGGACACTTTCTACTCCTAGAATAAGAGTGTTACATCTTTTAAACAAGGTGAAAGGGAGAGCACAAAGAATGGCTGGATGCCTTGAACCTACCAAGATAAGTAGGTCGAATGGCAACGTAAGGGTAAATCCCACCTCCAGGGAAGATAAAGCACCACTGTCTTAAACAATGAAAGGAGCACCCCAAATGTTGCTCACAAAACCCAGCTGAGTAACTCGCAAAAAGCAGACCCCATTTGCATGTTAAACCTCAAAATGAAATTCCCATAAATACTAAGACAGTGGATCAGTACCCTTCAGAGAAGTTCCCAGGATTGGTAACTTCCCTGTCTGATGAGTTTTCTCCACCTCCATCTATCTTGGGAAACTGCAGTCCTTCAATTTAACTTCCTCATCAGATGACAGCTGCAAACCAGAACAGACACGTCCCAATCCTAGATGAACCGCTTTGCTTCACTGGGAAATATTAAAAAGAACCTAATGATTCACCAAAGAGCACCACATTTAAAGAAAAGAAAATTATCATTTTTAGTGGCAAAGACAAAATTAGATGAGAGAAAAACCTACTTCAAACAGAAAACAACTAAAAACATTTTTCTAAAAATCCATGGTACATGCTACAACATGGATGAACCTTGAAAATATTATTTTATGTGAAAGAAGCCAGTTACAAAGAACCACATATTACATGATTCCATTTACATGAAATGTCCAGAATATACAAGTCTGTAGAGACAGAAGGTAGATTAGTGGTTGCCAAGGGCTAGGAAGGATGAGACGATTGGGGGTTAATGGCTAAAGGATTTGGGGTTTTATTTGGAAGTAATGAAAATGTTCTAAAAGTGATTGTGGTGATGGATGGGCAACTCTATGTAAATATACTAAAAGGCATTGAACTGTATACTTTATTTAAATGGGCGAATTGTATAGCATGTAAATTATATTTCAATAAAGCTGTTTTAAAAAAATTATATGGCTCCACACTAGATCCATGTTTGGAGTTTCTAATGTAACACAATGACTTTCTGGGCAAAATCTGAAAAAAAAAAAGTTGATGTCAGTACTGAGTAGAGGCCCTGCCAGGTTTGTATGGCAAAACACTCCCATCTCAGTTTGGGAAATAATTTCACAGTCTTGTCTAAAGATCATCAATCTCAGCTGGGCGCAGTGGTGCATGCCTGTAATCCCAGCACTTCGGAAGGCTGAGGTAGGCAGGTCAGCTGAGGTCGGGAGTTCAAGACCAGCCTGACCAACATGGAGAAACCCCATCTCTACTAAAAATACAAAATTAGCCGGGCGTGGTGATGCATGCCTGTAATCCCAGCTACTCAGGAGGCTAAGGCAGGATAATTGCTTGAACCCGGGAGACAGAGGTTGCAGAGAGCCGAGATTGTGCTATTGCACGCCAGCACAACAAGAGTGAAACCCCATCTCAAAAAAATAAAAAAGTCATTAATCACACAGAAATCCCCAGCTGGCTTTAGCTTTCTGTTCCAGAAACACTGGAAAAACCAAAACAGGCCAAACACACTTTCAAAACAACACCTTTAATCTATGTGGGCAAAGGGAGAAAAAGGGGATCATGGAATAGGAGTTATAGGTGCTGTCAGAACACAAAGTTAAGAATTTACTATCACTATAGAAATTCAAGTCCAATGTAGATTCCGCAGAGAAACTATGTATACAAAGACCCCAAATAACTTAACACACACAGAATCGTGGCTAAAAGAGACCACCCTGATGGCTAAGGCCTTCTCGGTTATTACACTGACCTCAGCTCTGGAACCTCTATTGAGTTTTAGCTTTGGCAGATTCTCTTCTGTCTTCCCAATCTGTTTAATTTCCCAAGCCAAGGGCATCATGAGAAGCCCCATGAGCACCCTGATTGCATCCACAAGGGCCTGTTGGCTTCAGGGTCACAGCTGTTACTATGGAAAGACAGAAGGGAGAGGTAGAACAGGTATATCTCTTATCCTAAACGAAAACACACAAAACCTTAGGGCATTAGAAGGCTTAGAGAGTGAAATCTCTGCAGCTATTAGCCAACAGCTTCCTCCTGCCTTGACGACCTGGATTCTCTCTGATCCCCAGGCAAATGAGAAGACCAAATGTTAGGCAATTAATAATATAGCAGATGCTGTTTGGCTTCTGTGTTCTCCTATAGACTCCTGCTTCACGGGCAAAAATGGCCGTGTCTGATGCCAAGGTCCAAGGAAACTGGCAAATGCCTAGAACAGTGCCTAGCACATACTAGGTCTTCAATAAATATTTGTTGAATACCTCTTGAATGAATGCTGATACTCCCCTGTCACTCTCTGCCTTCTTCCCTCAGCCTGGAAAAACACACACAAAACACACACACACACACACACACACACACACGAAGTTGAATCCACACCTGTTTATTGCAACCCCATCTGTAACTTTGCAAAACTAATAAGCACAACAGCAATTACTGCTAGAATACGGATTTCAGTGGGCAGGGCATTTTGTCAATTTTGTACCCTAAAAGCCCAAAACAATGCCTAGCACATAGTAGGCTCTCAATGAATATTTGCTTAATGCCGAATGAATTAAGAGCCTACTATGTGCCGGGCGCTGTGCTAGACTCTGCCAGCGACCCAATCGATCGCTTCCACCCCGGCGGCAGAGGCCGCCCCCTGAGTCCTCCTACCGCCAGGGGCCGCTGTAGGAAACGCCTGGCTTCCTTCCCTCGTCACTCTTTGACCACGTAAAGTCACTGCCCGGAGCTACGATGGCAGCGTCAGTGGCAGCTGCAGCCCGGAGGCTGCGGCGGGCCATTCGAAGGTCGCCCGCATGGCGGGGCCTCAGCCATCGGCCGCTCTCATCGGAGCCCCCTGCAGCCAAGGCCTCGGCCGTGAGGGCCGCCTTTCTGAACTTCTTTCGGGACCGCCATGGCCACCGGCTGGTGCCCTCCGCTTCCGTGCGGCCCCGCGGCGACCCCAGTTTGCTTTTTGTCAATGCGGGCATGAACCAGGTGAGGGCCGAACCATACTGATAGGGAGCGGAGTTCGTGAGTTTTCTGGTGAGAAAGACGCTGCAGGATTGGGCAAAAGAAGCGAGAGGCGGAGTTCGTAGCTTTTGGGGAAAGAGGGCGGTGCTTGGTTGGGTAAAGTGATGGGGGTACGGCGCTCAGAGTATAGGGAGGGCTTGGGGAGGGCTTGAGCTGGGAACTTCTGGATTGGGATTGAGTATTAGGTCCAGAAATGGCTGGAGTGGAATCCCGAGGGAGAAGTCTGATTTCATTTATTCGTTATTTAAATAAAGATAACGCTTTCATTAAATGTTTATTGATCACCTATTGTTTGCTGAGTACTATTCTCTAAGGTTTTGGTTTTTATCAACCACTCATCTTTTCTAGACTTCATTGTCCTCATCTGTAAAATAGGGGCGGCATAAGTTAACCTTAGAGGCCGTCTGGGCTCCCTACTAAATGAGTCTCAGTTTTGTTCCCTGAAGTTATTGGGTGTGGTTGAAGAAGCTGAGACGGAGGATGCCACCTTTCAGCGTCCCATTTCCAGCTCCCAACACATTCCTCCTTCTTTTACCTTGCCTATTTTACTAGGCAGAGGGTCTCCGGTTCATGATTTGTTTACCTCTTCTCTGCTCCCCACACACCAGAGATGGCTGTCCCGAGGCTCCCAGTTTGTCCTCATAGACCAAGATTACACTGCACTCTCAGGGGCACAGTCAGCCTTCGGTCTGAACAGCCATCCCTATCCTCACTCCCCACATTTCCCTTCTACTGAGAAATTGGATATCCCTCTCCCCCTCCCCACTCTATGTGCTTCCAGTTCAAGCCAATCTTTCTGGGCACCGTGGATCCACGAAGCGAGATGGCAGGCTTCCGACGTGTGGCCAACAGCCAGAAATGTGTGAGAGCTGGAGGACACCATAACGACCTGGAAGATGTGGGTCGAGACCTTTCCCATCATACCTTCTTTGAAATGCTTGGCAATTGGGCCTTTGGGGGTGAATATTTTAAGGTGAGTCTCTGGGGATCAGTGATCAGCCAAGAAGGGAGTCAATTTGTCCTGTTTCCATTGTACTGTCTGCTTAGGCAGGGCCTCATACCAGATGTGGAGGCAAAGTGCTAGTTGAGCCGGTGTAACAGGAATTACCTCACCTCCCTGATTGGATTGTAAGTCCCTGAAGGGCAGAGACTGTACTTTCTGCCTAATGATCACTCAAAAATTGTTGTTTGAATAAATGGTCAAACAGCAATGCTAAGGTGCTTACTGGAGTTAAAGATCACTCTAGGCTAGAGTAGGCAGAGAATTTCATGTGAAAGTGGGACTTGGTCTGGGACTTGAAAGAAGATAGGACTTAGAAGAAGGGGGAAGCTTTCTGGGCAGGAAAACACTCAGAGGCAGTAATGGTTCATGGCTTATTCTGGGAACAAGATGGCAGCAGAAATGCTTTTGTCTTAAGTCGGGAGCTAAACTCATGTGGCTTGATTACTTCAGTGGGGTCTCCCTCTCACCCGTCTTCCCCCCCCACCCCATGCTGGTTTCTGCTGCAGGAGGAGGCTTGTAACATGGCCTGGGAACTGCTGACTCAGGTCTATGGGATCCCTGAGGAAAGGCTCTGGATCTCCTACTTTGATGGTGACCCCAAGGCAGGGCTGGACCCAGACCTGGAGACCAGGGACATCTGGCTGAGCTTAGGGTAAGTCAGCCCCCTTCTTATGTTCATTCCTGGAGGTCAGGAGGACTGGAAAGTGGAGACTACCAGCACCAATCCTCAGAGTCTTAGCATTTCATTCCAGGATATTGTGGGGTCAGCCCTGTTCCTCCTCTTGCTGAGCTGTGACTTGAGGGAGGGGCTCTCATGGCAGAGAGAGTCCCAGCTTCTGGGTCTGTCTGTCTCCCACCACTCACCTGCTTTTCTCCCCAGGGTGCCTGCTAGCCGTGTGCTTTCCTTTGGACCACAAGAGAACTTCTGGGAGATGGGGGATACTGGCCCTTGTGGGCCCTGTACTGAGATCCACTACGACCTTGCTGGTGGGGTGGGAGCCCCCCAGCTGGTAGAGCTTTGGAACCTGGTCTTCATGCAACACAACAGGTAATAGGGTGCTGAAGCAGGATGAGAATCCCTGACTAGAAGTGGGAAAGGTGGCAATTAGAAGACTTTGATCTGTTTCATATAAAAACAAACATGTAAACGGTGCTTACCGTGTGTCAGGCACAATTCTCAACACCTTATAGATAATAACTGATTTAATTGTAGTCTTTGCCTGTGACAGCTTAAACAAGTCACTGCTATTCTCTGTTGAACTTGATGATCAACGAGTTGAACTTGATGATCTCAGATTTTCTTCTAGCCTTGACATATCTTTCTAGGGGCAAAGAATTCTGTCCCAAGATGGGATGTCTGGTGCCCAGGCAAGGGCCCAAGCAGGGGTGAGAATGGAAATAGCCCTATATGAGGAAGGACAGGACCCCAAGGCCATCATCATCTGCTATTGCAGGGTGGCAGGGGAAGATACTGATTGTCTGGTTCCTCCCACTGTCAGCTCCCTTGGGCCCCCCCCCATTTCTCTACTCCACTTGGGCATCTGTCTCACACCTGTAATCCTGGGTGGGGCCTCACCTTGCACACCTTCCCTGGCCAGAGAGGCAGATGGAAGCCTGCAGCCCCTGCCCCAGCGGCATGTGGACACAGGAATGGGCCTGGAAAGGCTGGTGGCTGTGCTGCAAGGCAAACACTCCACCTATGACACTGACCTCTTTTCCCCGCTGCTCAACGCCATACAGCAGGTGAGTGCCTCTTCCCTTCCAGAAGCCCTCTAACCTGCTCTTCACAGCCCTCAGCCCCATTGCATTCCATCTTTGTTGAGAACTCAGAGTGTTCTCAGCATCTGAGGACAATAACCAACCAAGAATTCCAAGACGTCAAGCAAGACACTAGGATTCATTACTTATTACCTGATGTTCCTCCTAACTCCTTGCCTCTTTCATTTATTTAGAAAATACGTGTTGAGTGCTTACTTTATGTTAAATCCTTTGTGTTTGGTACAGAAGACACAGCAGTAAGCAGGAAAGAGATCATGGAGATTATATGCTAGCATGAGAGATAGACAATCAATAAATGTGTTAAAGAACAAGGTAATAGCTTACAGATTGTGAACAGGCAGTAAACATGGGTGAAAGTAACTAGGAAGAAGGAGGGGTACAGAGGAATCTTAGATAAGGTGCTTGGGGAAGGCTCACCAAGAAGATGACCTTTGAGCTGAGCCCCAAAGGAGGAGTCAGCTACAGGAAGTTCTTTCCAGGCAGAGGGGACAGCAGGTACCAAGGGCCTTGGTACTGATGGATTAGATGGGGAGGGGAAAGAGAAATCAAAGATGGCTCCCAGGCTATTGGCTTGAGCAACACAGTGAATGGCATGACTGTTTACTGAGATGAAGAAGCTTGGGGAAGAGAGAGGTTTGGAGCTAGGTGAATCAAGCTCCCTGCTTTGGAGCATTTCCACATGTGTGTAGCTTATACCCTCCCTCCTTGCCCCGCAAGAAAGGGCTTGACATGTGCCAAAAACTAAAAGGTGGCCAGCCAGCTAAAGGAGAATCCCATGGGATATAGTAGGAACATGTGTCAGTTGGCTTTTGCTGTATAACCACCCTAATGCTCTGTGGCTTAACCAACAACCATGTATCTGCCCCCTGAGTCTGTGAGCTAGCGTTTAGGCTGGGCTTAGCTGGCTCATTCTTTGGTCTTGTGTGAGCTCATTCATCCATCTGTGGTGAGCTGAGAGGCCGCAGCTCCTCTGGGGCTTGGCTGGCTGTCAGTTTGGGGGCAGTAGGGGTGACTGGACCATGTGTCTGTCATCACCTAGCTGGCTAGTCTGGGCTTGTCCACATCACAGCTCAGCAAGGTTCCAAGACAGAGAGCAGACACATAGGCTCAGAACAGTGTTGTTTCCACTGTATTCTATGGGCCAAAGCAAGTCACAAAGCCAGCAGAGATTCAGGGGATGGAGAAATGGATTCTGTCCCTTGATGGGAAACAGCTGTAAAGTCCCATTTTAAAGTGGCATATGCCTAGGAAAGGGCCATTTTTGTGAACAGTCTCACAGAGAAGAAGGCAGAATCCAGTCTTGTGGGCCTCAAAGTCCAAAGTGGGGCCTTGATTCTCAGAGTGGTGAGAAGAGTTCTCAGGGCTGGGCACGGTGGCTCACTCCTGTAATCCCAGCACTTGGGGAGGCAGAGGGGGGCGGATCGCTTGAGGTCAGGAGTTGGAGACCAGCCTGGCCAACATGGCAAAATCCTGTCTCTACTAAAAAAATAGAAAAATCAGCCAGGCATGGTGGCACACACCTGTAGTCCCAGCCACTTGGGAGGCTGAGGCAGGAGAATCTCTTGAACCCAGGAGGTGGAGGTTGCAGTAAGCTGAGATCGTGCTACTGCACTCTAACCTGGGCAACAGAGTGAGAGTTCATCTCAAAAAAAATAAATAAATAAAAGTGTACATCAGATCATGCCACACTCCCCACTGAGAACCCTTCTTTTTTTTTTTTGAGACAGAGTCTTGCTTGCTCTGTTGTCCAGGCTGGAGTGCAGTGGCATGATCTCGGCTCACTGCAACCTCTGCCTCCGGGGCTCAAGCAATTCTCGTGCCTCAGCCTCCAGAGTAGCTGGGATTACAGGCACCCGCCAACACACCTGACTAATTTTTGTATTTTTAGTACAGATGGGGTTTCACCAGGATTGGCCAGGCTGGTCTCAAACTCCTGACCTCAGGTGATCCACCCGCCTCAGCCTCCCAAAGTGTTGAGATTACAGGTGTGAGCCACCGCGCCCAGCCTGATGTACACTTTTAAAAGGCTACTCCTGTTGCTGTGTGGAGGATGAGCTGGAGGGAGATGAGAGCAGAAACTTAGGAATCAGTTGGGAGGCTATTATCGGTCCAGGCAAGGACCACAGGGCATGCTTCGGATAATAGCAGTGGAAGTAGAGACAAGTAGATTGATTTGAGAGATGTCATGGAGGTAGGAGCAAAAGGAACCACTGATGGATCATGACGGGTAGGGGAAAAAGAATTCAAAGATGGCTCCCAGGCTATTGACTTGAGCAACACAGTGAATGGCATGACTGTTAGACGAAGAAGCTTGGGGAAGAGAGAGGTTTGGTGGTAAGTGAATCAAGCTCCCTGCTTTGGAGCATTTCCGTGTATGTAGCTTACACTCTCCCTCCCTGCCCACCCCCACAAAAGATGGGAGAGGCAAGAACAGGTAGTGGAGAGCACCTGGAGTCCAACAGGCCCGGCTGAGATCTCAGATCTGCTCCTTGAGAGCTGGGTAGCCTTGTGTCACTGAGTTCCTCTGAGCCTCAGCTTCTTCTTCTTTAAAGCAAGCATGCTAATACCTCCTGGAATGGGCTGTTTTGGGGATTCGAGGCCATGTTGTTCAAGTACTCACCCAGTTCTGATAGTAGAAATTCAGTAAATGGTCACAGATATGTTCACTTGTAGCACCAAATATGAGCCCCGTGAGGGCAGGGCCTGGCTTGTGCTCATCTGTGAGGCTTCTCAGCCCAGGACTGGACTGGCAAGGCCATTCTGGATGTGGTTGGCTTTAGGGCTGAGGGCAGATGCTCTAGAGGCGATAAAGAGCACCCACCTGGGCCAGGTCAGGCAGGGCCACTGGC
Organism: Homo sapiens; assembly: GCF_000001405.40. Taxonomy (NCBI): domain Eukaryota; kingdom Metazoa; phylum Chordata; class Mammalia; order Primates; family Hominidae; genus Homo; species Homo sapiens. The sequence continues at coordinate 44,307,413 of NC_000006.12, read as the reverse complement.
TGACTCTTCTGCTTCCCAGGGCTGCAGGGCACCCCCTTACTTGGGCCGAGTAGGGGTGGCAGACGAGGGGCGCACAGACACAGCGTACCGCGTGGTGGCTGACCACATCCGCACACTCAGTGTCTGCATCTCTGATGGCATCTTCCCTGGGATGTCAGGTCCCCCGTGAGTCTGGAAGGGCTACAGAGAGGACAGGGGCTGCTGGGGGTCTCAGGTGGAGGAGGGAGGGAACAGGAGAGGTGGGTCTGGTTGAGCCAGTAGGAGGAATGGGGAGAGGGAGAGCTTTGAGGTGGGAGCACACACTGGACCTCGTCCTTCCCACTCCCCATATTGCTGACCATGAGCCGCTGGGGATTCATGTCTGGGCTCTGAACCCCTTTAGGCTGGTTCTTCGTCGGATCCTGCGTCGAGCTGTGCGTTTCTCCATGGAGATCTTAAAGGCACCACCTGGCTTCCTAGGCAGCCTGGTACCTGTAGTGGTGGAGACACTGGTAAGGACAGAGCTTCTTTTTCACTCTGGGCCTCCCTGGGCACTTTGGGGAGCCTACCACTGAGCCTAGACAGTGCCCCCAGCCTGGGTGCCCAGAGGTCCCCACCCTAAATATCGAGCCCAGCATCCTATCAGCAAGCTAAGAAAGCTGTCCTTGCTTACAAGAAGCAGGAGAACTTGAGGAGGCTCCTTTTCCAAACTGCTCAGCCCTTGACCTCAGGACCCCCTTCTGCCACCCTACAGGGAAACCAGTTCCCCATTTGAGTCCCTCTCCCAGCCCCTCAATGTGTCTGAGCCTCCAGGGCAGGTGTCCTCAGGGAGGCCCAGGGTGGGGAGGTGGGGGTGGGTTGGTTGCCTTTCACACCTCCTCAGCCCTCTCCACCTCCCCCAGGGAGATGCTTATCCAGAACTGCAAAGGAACTCAGCCCAGGTACTGGATTCCAGTGGGAGAGAAAGGGGTTGATGGGAGAGTTGTGGAGAGAGACCCTCCTTCCAAGGAGACCCAGCTCCACTTCTTCTCTGCCTGGTTCAGATCGCCAACCTGGTGTCAGAGGACGAGGCAGCCTTCCTGGCCTCCCTGGAGCGGGGTAGGCGGATCATTGATCGGACTCTGAGGACCCTGGGGCCTTCAGATATGTTCCCTGGTAAGCAGGATACCTAGCCCATGCACAAGGGGCTCGCTGAGACTCACCAAGGTGGGCAGAGGAGGGAGCTCTGGGCCAGCCCCATGCCTCATATCCACCCCTGACCTCTTCCCAATGTTCCTTTCTCCCTGGACTCTCCTTCCATACCCAGACCCCTCTGCAGCAGGAATACCACCCTGCCTCTCCCCATGTCCACAGTGCCCAGCTAGCCCTGCCTCCTGCTTTCCTAGGTTGGCTTCGTGCATAGACTGAGCTTCCCTCCTCCCTTGAAATGATGTGTGCCCAGGGAGTACCCTGGACTACCCCCAGCTCTGGCCTTGAGGCATGAAGCCTGAATGTGACCCCTCTCCTGAGGCTACCCAGTATGGAGCGGGTATTTGTGTTTGGCATCTGGTGGCTTCTGCGTGGTTAGAAGGGCCCTGGACCTTATTTTTCTCCCCTTCTTTGTCTAATCCCTCCCCTCCTCAACATTCTTTGTCTTTCTTTCTCAAAGCTGAAGTGGCCTGGTCCTTGTCACTGTGTGGAGACCTGGGACTCCCCTTGGACATGGTAGAGCTGATGCTGGAGGAGAAAGGGGTCCAGCTAGACTCCGCTGGACTGGAGCGGTTGGCCCAAGAGGAGGCCCAGGTACAAGCTGTGGCACCCCATGCTGGGTTCTGTTAGGACACCTCTTCCCCAGCCCTGAGCTCCTGGGGGAGGAGCTGTGAATATTGAGAGGAATCAAGAGGCTGAGATAGGATCTGTCCCCTCACCTGGGAGGTTTCTAAAACCTCAGGCCACAACCAGTAGAAAGCAAAACTAGCCAATGGGCTAAACACAGGAGCAGAAGCCAGCACAGCTTCCTGGAGAGGGGCCCTCCAGGGGCAGCAGTGGGCAGGAAGGCCTAATCCCGAGGAGCCGACATGATGGATGGTTCAACCAGCTCAGGGGCTCTAGCAGCCAGCCAAGCCCTGAGTTCTTATTCCAGAAGGGCTGCAGAGTCCACAGCTGTGTGGCAGGGACAGGGCCCTGCGAGGCTGAAGTCCCACTTTCATTCTTTCATTCTCCATGCACTTCTTCCATGCCCATGCCCACCCTGCAGCACCGGGCACGGCAGGCTGAGCCAGTTCAGAAGCAGGGATTGTGGCTTGATGTCCATGCGCTTGGGGAGCTGCAGCGCCAAGGAGTGCCCCCAACTGACGACAGCCCCAAGTACAACTACTCCCTGCGACCCAGCGGAAGTTATGGTGAGAGCCTGGACCAAGGCCTGCCGCCACAAGCTTGCCTGACCATGACTAAGAAGAATGTCCAAGATGGTTGCTGCTAGCCCCTATGTATTCCCCAGGATGGCCACCAGGGGTCTCTGTGGCCCCCAGCTGGAAGTGCCCCTGCCAGCGGGGGTGCTTGTTGGCCTCCAGGCACAGACCCACCTTCACGTCCCCAGCCCCTGCCCACCACTAATAACCATTCTGTGCCCTGGCAGAGTTCGGCACCTGTGAGGCCCAGGTGTTGCAACTGTATACAGAGGACGGGACAGCAGTGGCCTCCGTGGGGAAAGGCCAGCGCTGTGGCCTCCTCTTGGACAGGACCAACTTCTACGCAGAACAGGGGGGCCAGGCTTCAGACCGTGGCTACCTGGTGCGGGCAGGGCAAGAGGTGAGTCTCCATCACAACCCAGGCTGATTTCTGTGGGCGGCAGACCCAAGCCTGAGTGGGAGCCAAGGGGAGGGAAAGGCTACAGGCACCTTGACCACTACCCTCCCTCAGGACGTGCTGTTCCCAGTAGCCCGGGCCCAGGTCTGTGGAGGTTTCATCCTGCATGAGGCAGTAGCCCCTGAGTGCCTGCGGTTAGGGGACCAGGTGCAGCTGCATGTGGATGAGGTAAGGATCCTCCCTAACTGTTCCCAATACCCTGCAGCCCCTTCACTCTCCCAACCCCCTGCCCTCACCCAGGACGCTGGGTGACAAAAGTATTTCAGGCCTGGCGTCTAGGCTGCATGGCGAAGCATACGGCCACCCACCTGCTGAACTGGGCACTGAGGCAGACCCTGGGCCCTGGCACAGAGCAGCAGGGCTCCCATCTCAATCCTGAGCAGCTGCGCTTGGATGTGACCACCCAGGTGAGCCCGGCATAGAAAGACAGGCTTCATGTGAGGTGACAGGCATAAAAGAGAGACAGCCTGCTGTGAGCGGGTTGCCCTTAGAGTCCTGGGCTCTAGGCCCAGCACGGCCACCCAATCACTATGGGACCCTGGGCAAGTCCTTTCCCCTTGGGCTCCTTGTGCAGCAGTGAGGAGTCAGGCTACAGAGTGTCTGGGGCCTCGCCCAGCTCTGATGTGGGATCCTGAAGGCCCTCCAGCAGGGGCCTTCCCTTCACCTCCAGCCGCTCCCCTTCCTTGTTTCTACTGTCATCCAAGCCATTCTTGCCTAAACTGGGCTGCCCTCTCCCTCTGCTGCCACCCTGTCTCCCTGCGCTTCTTACACATCTGGCTTAAATCCTTTCTCCAGGAAGTACTTGCTGGCTAATCCCCATCCCACCTGCTTATTCCCTGCCCCTGCATCCCCCCATCCTGTAGTTCTCTCTTCCATTGGGCTACCCCTTGTAAGCTCCATGTGGATACAGCCTCCTTTTTCTGTTTCTTTAACTTTTGGTGCCTGGTGAAAGGCCTGGAGCTTCCAATAGGCCCAACTCCCAGATAGCTTTCTAAGGAAAATAATTGTCTGCTCAGGTAGTGTTTATTGAGCACCTATTATGTGCTAGCCACTATTCTAGAACCTGGGGATAGCTCAGTGAACATTGACCGTGTTTCAATGCATCAGTTAGAGGTGTGGGGCTGACTGCATGTTGGTCTTTCCATTTCCTCCCCACCCCTCCAGACCCCATTGACCCCAGAGCAGCTCCGGGCAGTGGAGAACACTGTGCAGGAGGCCGTGGGGCAGGATGAGGCTGTGTACATGGAGGAGGTGCCCCTGGCGCTCACTGCCCAGGTCCCTGGCCTGCGCTCTCTGGATGAGGTGAGTTGGGGAAGCCCTTTTGCTGGAGATCGGGGGCCTCCTTCAGGCATACCTGGAGGCTTTATCCTTCTCCTTTGGCAGTTAACGGGCCTGTCCCCTCTTGACCTCAGGTTTACCCAGACCCTGTGCGGGTGGTATCAGTGGGGGTGCCCGTGGCCCATGCATTGGACCCAGCCTCCCAAGCCGCACTGCAGACCTCTGTGGAGCTATGCTGTGGGACGTGAGTCACTCCTTTGTGCTGCCTGGCCCAGGGGCCCCGGATCCTTGCCCTTCCCTTGGTCTTTGGAGCCATCAGCCCTTAATGGGAGATGCACGCTGGCTTCTCCCTTCTCTACTGTCATGCCCCGACTTTCTGTTCACTCCTTCCTCCCACAGGCACCTGTTACGTACTGGGGCTGTAGGGGACCTGGTTATCATCGGGGACCGCCAGCTTTCCAAGGGCACTACCCGCCTGCTGGCCGTCACTGGGGAGCAGGCCCAGCAGGTCAGCATGCCAGTAGGCCTGGGACTTCTGGGTTGAGTGGGTGCATGGGACACACGCAGGTGACATGCTCAGGCTCAGGGGTGCCCAGCAGCAGAGCCAGTGTTCATACTTGGACACCAATGTGGCCATATCAGCTATTGGCAGCTGGCATGTGTTTTGATTATTTGGTGCTGGTGCCTTGATTGGTCCTGATTGTTAAATCTTATTTGTCCCTGACCAGTAATGAGTTGAGAGGCCTTGTCCTGGGGAGATGAATGTAATCCTGACCCTCCTGTCCCCTCCCTGCAGGCCCGAGAGCTAGGCCAGAGCCTGGCCCAGGAAGTGAAAGCGGCCACTGAGCGGCTGAGTCTGGGGAGCCGGGATGTGGCGGAGGCACT